>NC_000003.12:92207389-92523107 GCF_000001405.40 Homo sapiens | reverse complement strand
TGTTAAACACTGTGAGTTCAATGCACACATCCCAAAGCAGTTTCTGAGAATGATTCCGTCTATTTTTTCTACGAAGATATTTCCTTTTCTGCCGTTGGCCTCAAAGCGCTTGAAATCTCCACTTGCAAATTCCACAAAAAGAGAGTTTCAAATCTGCTCTGTCTAAAGGAAGGTTCAACTCTGTGAGTTGAATACACACCACAAAAAGAAGTTACTGAGAATTCTTCTGTCTAGCATTATATGAAAAATCCCGTTTCCAACGAAGGCCACAAAGAGGTCCAAATATCCACTTGCAGATTCTGCAAAAAGAGTGTTTCCAAACTGCTCTATGAAAAGAAACGTTAAACTCTGTGAGTTGAACGCAAACATCACAAAGTAGTTTCTGAGAATGACTCCGTCTAGTTTTTATACGAAGATATTTCCTTTCCTACCATTCACTTCAAAGCGCTTGACGTCTCCCCCTGAAAATTCCACAAAAAGTGTTTCCAATCTGCTCCGCCTAAAGGAAGCTTCAACTCTGTGACTTGAATACCCACAACCCAAAGAAGTTACTGAGAATTCTTCTGTCTAGCATTATATGAAGAAATCCCGTTTCCAACGAAGGCCTCAAATACATCCAAATATCCAGTTGCTGACTTTACAAACTGAGTGTTTCCAAACTGCTCTATGAAAAGAAAGGTTAAACACTGTGAGTTGAACACACACGTACCAAAGTAGTTTCTGAGAATGATTCTGTCTAGTTTGCATACGAAGATATTTCCTTTTCTACCATTGGCCTCAAAGCTCTGAAATCTCCACTTGCAAATTCCACAAAAAGAGAGTTTCAAATCTGCTGTTTCTAAAGGAAAGTTCAACTCTGGGAGTTGAATACACACCAGAAAAAGCAGTTACTGAGAAGTCTTCTGTCTAGCATTATATGAAGAAATCCCATTTCCAACCGAAGACTTCAAAGAGGTCCAAATATCCACTTGCAGATTCTGCAAAAAGAGTGTTTCGAAACAACTCTATGAAAAGAAAGGTTAAACACTGTGAGTTGAACGCACACATTGCAAAGCGGTTTCTGAGAATGATTCCGTCTAATTATTATACGAAGGTATTTCCTTTTCTATCATTGGCCTCAAAGCGCTTGATACCTCCACCTGAAAATTCCACAAAAAGAGTGTTTCCAATCTACTCTGTCTAAAGGAACGTTCAACTCTGTGAGTTGAATACACACACACAGAAAGAATTCACTGAGAATTCTTCTGTCTGGCATTACATGAAGAAATCCCGTTTCCAACGAAGGCCTCAAAGAGGTCCAAATATCCACTTGCAGATTCTGCAAAAAGAGTGTTTCAAAACCGCTCCATTAAAAGGAATGTTGAACTCTGTGAGTTGAATGCAAACATCACAACTCAGTTTCTGAGAATGCTTCTGACTAGATTTTATGGTAAGATATTTCCTTTCCTACCGTAGGCTTCAATGCCCTCTGAATACACCCTTGCAAATTCTACAAAGAGACTGTTTCATAACTGCTCTATAGGAAGAAAGGTTCAACTCTGTGAGTTGAATGCAGAGATCACAACGTGGTTTCTGCGAATGATTCTTTGTAGTTTTTACATGAAGATATTTCGTTGTCAACCGTAGGCTTCAAAGCACTCAAAGTATTCACTTGGAACTTTTACAAAAAGAGTGTTAGAAAACTGCTCTTTCCAAAGTAAGGTTCAACTCTGTGAGTTGAATGCACACATAACAATCAAGAAGTTTCTGAGAATTCTTCTGTCCTGGTTTATATGAAAAAATCCCGTTTCCAACGAAGGCCTCAAAGACGGTTTAAATATCCACTTGCAGACTTCACAAACAGAGGGTTTCCAAACTGCTCTATGAAAAGAAAGGTTAAACTCTGTGAGTTGAACGCACACATCACAAAGTAGCTTCTGAGAATGATACTGTCTAGTTTTTATACGAAGATATTTCCTTTCTACCATTGGCGTCAAAGCGCTAGAATTCTCCACTTGCAAATTCCACAAAAAGAGTGTTTCCAATCTGCTCTGTCTAAAGGAAGGTTCAACTCTGTGAGTTGAATACACACACACAAAGAAGCTACTGAGAATTCTTTTGTCAAGAATTATAAGAAGAAATCCCGTTTCCAACGAAGGCCTCAAAGAGTTCCAAATATCCACTTGCACACTGCACAAACTAAGTGTTTCCAAACTGCTCTATGCAAAGAAATGTTCAACTCTGTGAGTTTAATACACACATCACAAAGCAGTTTCTGAGAATGATACTGTCTAGTTTTTATACGAAGATATTTCCTTTTGTACCATTGGCCTCATACTGCTAGAATTTTCCACTTGCAAATTCCACAAAAAGAGTGTTTCCAATCCGCTCTGTCTAAAGGAAGGTTCAACTCTCTGATTTGAATACATACATCCCAAAAGAAGTTACTGAGAATTCTTCTGTCTAGCATTATGTGAAGAAATCCCGTTTCCAACAAAAGCCTCCAAGAGGTCCAAATATCCAGTTGCAGAATTTACAAACTGACTGTTTCCAAACTCATCTATGAAAAGAAAGGTTAAACTCTGTGAGTTGAATGCACATATCACAAAGTAGTTCCTGAGAATGATTCTGTCTAGTTTTTATACGAAGATATTTCCTTTTCCACCAATGGCCTCAAAGTGCTTGAAATCTCCCCTTGCAAATTCCACAGAAAAGTGTTTCAAATCTGCACTGTCTAAAGGAAGGTTCAACCCTGTGAGTTGAATACACACACACAGAAAAAAATTCACTGAGAATTCTATTGTCTATCATTACACGAAGAAATCCCGTTTACTACGAAGGCCTCAAAGAGGTCCAAATATCCAGCTGCAGACATTACAAACTGAGTGTTTCCAAAGTGCTCTATGAAAAGAAGTGTTAAACACTGTGAGTTCAATGCACACATCCCAAAGCAGTTTCTGAGAATGATTCCGTCTATTTTTTCTACGAAGATATTTCCTTTTCTACCGTTGGCCTCAAAGCGCTTGAAATCTCCACTTGCAAATTCCACAAAAAGAGAGTTTCAAATCTGCTCTGTCTAAAGGAAGGTTCCACTCTGTGAGTTGAATACACACCACAAAAAGAAGTTACTGAGAATTCTTCTGTCTAGCATTATATGAAAAATCCCGTTTCCAACGAAGGCCCCAAAGAGGTCCAAATATCCACTTGCAGATTCTGCAAAAAGAGTGTTTCCAAACTGCTCTATGAAAAGAAACGTTAAACTCTGTGAGTTGAACGCAAACATCACAAAGTAGTTTCTGAGAATGACTCCGTCTAGTTTTTATACGAAGATATTTCCTTTTCTACCGTTGGCCTCAAAGCGCTTGAAGTCTCCCCCTGAAAATTCCACAAAAAGTGTTTCCAATCTGCTCCGCCTAAAGGAAGCTTCAACTCTGTGAGTTGAATACCCACAACACAAAGAAGTTACTGAGAATTCTTCTGTCTCGCATTATAGGAAGAAATCCCGTTTCCAACGAAGGCCTCAAATACATCCACATATCCAGTTGCTGACTTTACAAACTGAGTGTTTCCAAACTGCTCTATGAAAAGAAAGGTTAAACACTGTGAGTTGAACACACACGTACCAAAGTAGTTTCTGAGAATGATTCTGTCTAGTTTGCATACAAAGATATTTCCTTTTCTACCACTGGCCTCAAAGCTTTGAAATCTCCACTTGCAAATTCCACAAAAAGAGAGTTTCAAATCTGCTGTTCCTAAAGGAAAGTTCAACTCTGAGAGTTGAATACACACCAGAAAAAGCAGTTACTGAGAAGTCTTCTGTCTAGCATTATATGAAGAAATCCCATTTCCAACGAAGACTTCAAAGAGGTCCAAATATCCACTTGCAGATTCTGCAAAAAGAGTGTTTCGAAACAACTGTATGAAAAGAAAGGTTAAACACTGTGAGTTGAACGCACACATTGCAAAGCAGTTTCTGAGAATGATTCCGTCTAATTATTATACGAAGGTATTTCCTTTTCTATCATTGGCCTCAAAGCGCTTGATACCTCCACCTGAAAATTCCACAAAAAGAGTGTTTCCAATCTACTCTGTCTAAAGGAACGTTCAACTCTGTGAGTTGAATACACACACACAGAAAGAATTCACTGAGAATTCTTCTGTCTGGCATTACATGAAGAAATCCCGTTTCCAACAAAGGCCTCAAAGAGGTCCAAATATCCACTTGCAGATTCTGCAAAAAGAGTGTTTCAAAACCGCTCCATTAAAAGGAATGTTGAACTCTGTGAGTTGAATGCAAACATCACAACTCAGTTTCTGAGAATGCTTCTGTCTAGTTTTTATGGTCAGATATTTCCTTTTCTACCGTAGGCTTCAATGCCCTCTAAATACACCCTTGCAAATTCCACAAAAAGAGTGTTTCATAACTGCTCTATAGAAAGAAAGGTTGAACTCTGTGAGTTGCATGCACAGATCACAACGTGGTTTCTGCGAATGATTCTTTGTAGTTTTTACATGAAGATATTTCGTTGTCAACCGTAGGCTTCAAAGCACTCAAAGTATTCACTTGGAACTTTTACAAAAAGAGTGTTAGAAAACTACTCTTTCCAAAGTAAGGTTCAACTCTGTGAGTTGAATGCACACATAACAATCAAGAAGTTTCTGAGAATTCTTCTGTCCTGGTTTATATGAAAAAATCCCGTTTCCAACGAAGGCCTCAAAGACGTTTAAATATCCACTTGCAGACTTCACAAACAGAGGGTTTCCAAACTGCTCTATGAAAAGAAAGGTTAAACTCTGTGAGTTGAACGCACACATCACAAAGTAGCTTCTGAGAATGATACTGTCTAGTTTTTATACGAAGATATTTCCTTTTGTACCATTGGCCTCATACTGCTAGAATTTTCCACTTGCAAATTCCACAAAAAGAGTGTTTCCAATCTGCTCTGTCTAAAGGAAGGTTCAACTCTGTGAGTTGAGTACACACACACAAAGAAGCTACTGAGAATTCTTTGTCAAGAATTATAAGAAGAAATCCCGTTTCCAACGAAGGGCCTCAAAGAGTTCCAAATATCCACTTGCACACTGCACAAACTAAGTCTTTCCAAACTGCTCTATGCAAAGAAATGTTCAACTCTGTGAGTTTAATACACACATCACAAAGCAGTTTCTGAGAATGATACTGTCTAGTTTTTATACGAAGATATTTCCTTTTGTACCATTGGCCTCATACTGCTAGAATTTTCCACTTGCAAATTCCACAAAAAGAGTGTTTCCAATCCGCTCTGTCTAAAGGAAGGTTCAACTCTCTGATTTGAATACATACATCCCAAAAGAAGTTACTGAGAATTCTTCTGTCTAGCATTATGTGAAGAAATCCCGTTTCCAATGAAAGCCACAAAGAGGTCCAAATATCCAGTTGCAGAATTTACAAACTGACTGTTTCCAAACTCATCTATGAAAAGAAAGGTTAAACTCTGTGAGTTGAATGCACATATCACAAAGTAGTTCCTGAGAATGATTCTGTCTAGTTTTTATACGAAGATATTTCCTTTTCCACCAATGGCCTCAAAGTGCTTGAAATCTCCCCTTGCAAATTCCACAGACAAGTGTTTCAAATCTGCACTGTCTAAAGGAAGGTTCAACCCTGTGAGTTGAATACACACACACAGAAAAAAATTCACTGAGAATTCTATTGTCTATCATTACACGAAGAAATCCCGTTTACTACGAAGGCCTCAAAGAGGTCCAAATATCCAGCTGCAGACATTACAAACTGAGTGTTTCCAAAGTGCTCTATGAAAAGAAGTGTTAAACACTGTGAGTTCAATGCACACATCCCAAAGCAGTTTCTGAGAATGATTCCGTCTATTTTTTCTACGAAGATATTTCCTTTTCTACCGTTGGCCTCAAAGCGCTTGAAATCTCCACTTGCAAATTCCACAAAAAGAGAGTTTCAAATCTGCTCTGTCTAAAGGAAGGTTCAACTCTGTGAGTTGAATACACACCACAAAAAGAAGTTACTGAGAATTCTTCTGTCTAGCATTATATGAAAAATCCCGTTTCCAACGAAGGCCACAAAGAGGTCCAAATATCCACTTGCAGATTCTGCAAAAAGAGTGTTTCCAAACTGCTCTATGAAAAGAAACGTTAAACTCTGTGAGTTGAACGCAAACATCACAAAGTAGTTTCTGAGAATGACTCCGTCTAGTTTTTATACGAAGATATTTCCTTTTCTACCATTCACTTCAAAGCGCTTGAAGTCTCCCCCTGAAAATTCCACAAAAAGTGTTTCCAATCTGCTCCGCCTAAAGGAAGCTTCAACTCTGTGAGTTGAATACCCACAACCCTAAGAAGTTACTGAGAATTCTTCTGTCTAGCACTATATGAAGAAATCCCGTTTCCAACGAAGGCCTCAAATACATCCAAATATCCAGTTGCTGACTTTACAAACTGAGTGTTTCCAAACTGCTCTATGAAAAGAAAGGTTAAACACTGTGAGTTGAACACACACGTACCAAAGTAGTTTCTGAGAATGATTCTGCCTAGTTTGCATACGAAGATATTTCCTTTTCTACCATTGGCCTCAAAGCTCTGAAATCTCCACTTGCAAATTCCACAAAAAGAGAGTTTCAAATCTGCTGTTTCTAAAGGAAAGTTCAACTCTGAGAGTTGAATACACACCAGAAAAAGCAGTTACTGAGAAGTCTTCTGTCTAGCATTATATGAAGAAATCCCATTTCCAACGAAGACTTCAAAGAGGTCCAAATATCCACTTGCAGATTCTGCAAAAAGAGTGTTTCGAAACAACTGTATGAAAAGAAAGGTTAAACACTGTGAGTTGAACGCACACATTGCAAAGCAGTTTCTGAGAATGATTCCGTCTAATTATTATACGAAGGTATTTCCTTTTCTATCATTGGCCTCAAAGCGCTTGATACCTCCACCTGAAAATTCCACAAAAAGAGTGTTTCCAATCTACTCTGTCTAAAGGAACGTTCAACTCTGTGAGTTGAATACACACACACAGAAAGAATTCACTGAGAATTCTTCTGTCTGGCATTACATGAAGAAATCCCGTTTCCAACGAAGGCCTCAAAGAGGTCCAAATATCCACTTGCAGATTCTGCAAAAAGAGTGTTTCAAAACCGCTCCATTAAAAGGAATGTTGAACTCTGTGAGTTGAATGCAAACATCACAACTCAGTTGCTGAGAATGCTTCTGACTAGATTTTATGGTAAGATATTTCCTTTTCTACCGTAGGCTTCAATGCCCTCTAAATACACCCTTGCAAATTCTAGAAAGAGACTGTTTCATAACTGCTCTATAGGAAGAAAGGTTGAACTCTGTGAGTTGAATGCAGAGATCACAACGTGGTTTCTGCGAATGATTCTTTGTAGTTTTTACATGAAGATATTTCGTTGTCAACCGTAGGCTTCAAAGCACTCAAAGTATTCACTTGGAACTTTTACAAAAAGAGTGTTAGAAAACTGCTCTTTCCAAAGTAAGGTTCAACTCTGTGAGTTGAATGCACACATAACAATCAAGAAGTTTCTGAGAATTCTTCTGTCCTGGTTTATATGAAAAAATCCCGTTTCCAACGAAGGCCTCAAAGACGGTTTAAATATCCACTTGCAGACTTCACAAACAGAGGGTTTCCAAACTGCTCTATGAAAAGAAAGGTTAAACTCTGTGAGTTGAACGCACACATCACAAAGTAGCTTCTGAGAATGATACTGTCTAGTTTTTATACGAAGATATTTCCTTTCTACCATTGGTGTCAAAGCGCTAGAATTCTCCACTTGCAAATTCCACAAAAAGAGTGTTTCCAATCTGCTCTGTCTAAAGGAAGGTTCAACTCTGTGAGTTGAATACACACACACAAAGAAGCTACTGAGAATTCTTTTGTCAAGAATTATAAGAAGAAATCCCGTTTCCAACGAAGGCCTCAAAGAGTTCCAAATATCCACTTGCACACTGCACAAACTAAGTCTTTCCAAACTGCTCTATGCAAAGAAATGTTCAACTCTGTGAGTTTAATACACACATCACAAAGCAGTTTCTGAGAATGATACTGTCTAGTTTTTATACGAAGATATTTCCTTTTGTACCATTGGCCTCATACTGCTAGAATTTTCCACTTGCAAATTCCACAAAAAGAGTGTTTCCAATCCGCTCTGTCTAAAGGAAGGTTCAACTCTCTGATTTGAATACATACATCCCAAAAGAAGTTACTGAGAATTCTTCTGTCTAGCATTATGTGAAGAAATCCCGTTTCCAACGAAAGCCTCAAAGAGGTCCAAATATCCAGTTGCAGAATTTACAAACTGACTGTTTCCAAACTCATCTATGAAAAGAAAGGTTGAACTCTGGGAGTTGAATGCACATATCACAAAGTAGTTCCTGAGAATGATTCTGTCTAGTTTTCATACGAAGATATTTCCTTTTCCACCAATGGCCTCAAAGTGCTTGAAATCTCCCCTTGCAAATTCCACAGACAAGTGTTTCAAATCTGCACTGTCTAAAGGAAGGTTCAACCCTGTGAGTTGAATACACACACACAGAAAAAAATTCACTGAGAATTCTATTGTCTATCATTACACGAAGAAATCCCGTTTACTACGAAGGCCTCAAAGAGGTCCAAATATCCAGCTGCAGACATTACAAACTGAGTGTTTCCAAAGTGCTCTATGAAAAGAAGTGTTAAACACTGTGAGTTCAATGCACACATCCCAAAGCAGTTTCTGAGAATGATTCCGTCTATTTTTTCTACGAAGATATTTCCTTTTCTGCCGTTGGCCTCAAAGCGCTTGAAATCTCCACTTGCAAATTCCACAAAAAGAGAGTTTCAAATCTGCTCTGTCTAAAGGAAGGTTCAACTCTGTGAGTTGAATACACACCACAAAAAGAAGTTACTGAGAATTCTTCTGTCTAGCATTATATGAAAAATCCCGTTTCCAACGAAGGCCACAAAGAGGTCCAAATATCCACTTGCAGATTCTGCAAAAAGAGTGTTTCCAAACTGCTCTATGAAAAGAAACGTTAAACTCTGTGAGTTGAACGCAAACATCACAAAGTAGTTTCTGAGAATGACTCCGTCTAGTTTTTATACGAAGATATTTCCTTTTCTACCATTCACTTCAAAGCGCTTGAAGTCTCCCCCTGAAAATTCCAGAAAAAGTGTTTCCAATCTGCTCCGCCTAAAGGAAGCTTCAACTCTGTGAGTTGAATACCCACAACCCAAAGAAGTTACTGAGAATTCTTCTGTCTAGCACTATATGAAGAAATCCCGTTTCCAACGAAGGCCTCAAATACATCCAAATATCCAGTTGCTGACTTTACAAACTGGGTGTTTCCAAACTGCTCTATGAAAAGAAAGGTTAAACACTGTGAGTTGAACACACACGTACCAAAGTAGTTTCTGAGAATGATTCTGTCTAGTTTGCATACGAAGATATTTCCTTTTCTACCATTGGCCTCAAAGCTTTGAAATCTCCACTTGCAAATTCCACAAAAAGAGAGTTTCAACTCTGCTGTTTCTAAAGGAAAGTTCAACTCTGAGAGTTGAATACACACCAGAAAAAGCAGTTACTGAGAAGTCTTCTGTCTAGCATTATATGAAGAAATCCCATTTCCAACGAAGGCTTCAAAGAGGTCCAAATATCCACTTGCAGATTCTGCAAAAAGAGTGTTTCGAAACAAAACTGTATGAAAAGAAAGGTTAAACACTGTGAGTTGAACGCACACATTGCAAAGCAGTTTCTGAGAATGATTCCGTCTAATTATTATACGAAGGTATTTCCTTTTCTATCATTGGCCTCAAAGCGCTTGATACCTCCACCTGAAAATTCCACAAAAAGAGTGTTTCCAATCTACTCTGTCTAAAGGAACGTTCAACTCTGTGAGTTGAATACACACACACAGAAAGAATTCACTGAGAATTCTTCTGTCTGGCATTACATGAAGAAATCCCGTTTCCAACGAAGGCCTCAAAGAGGTCCAAATATCCACTTGCAGATTCTGCAAAAAGAGTGTTTCAAAACCGCTCCATTAAAAGGAATGTTGAACTCTGTGAGTTGAATGCAAACATCACAACTCAGTTTCTGAGAATGCTTCTGACTAGATTTTATGGTAAGATATTTCCTTTTCTACCGTAGGCTTCAATGCCCTCTAAATACACCCTTGCAAATTCTACAAAGAGACTGTTTCATAACTGCTCTATAGGAAGAAAGGTTCAACTCTGTGAGTTGAATGCAGAGATCACAACGTGGTTTCTGCAAATGATTCTTTGTAGTTTTTACATGAAGATATTTCGTTGTCAACCGTAGGCTTCAAAGCACTCAAAGTATTCACTTGGAACTTTTACAAAAAGAGTGTTAGAAAACTGCTCTTTCCAAAGTAAGGTTCAACTCTGTGAGTTGAATGCACACATAACAATCAAGAAGTTTCTGAGAATTCTTCTGTCCTGGTTTATATGAACAAATCCCGTTTCCAACGAAGGCCTCAAAGACGTTTAAATATCCACTTGCAGACTTCACAAACAGAGTGTTTCCAAACTGCTCTATGAAAAGAAAGGTTAAACTCTGTGAGTTGAACGCACACATCACAAAGTAGTTTCTGAGAATGATACTGTCTAGTTTTTATACGAAGATATTTCCTTTCTACCATTGGCGTCAAAGCGCTAGAATTCTCCACTTGCAAATTCCACAAAAAGAGTGTTTCCAATCTGCTCTGTCTAAAGGAAGGTTCAACTCTGTGAGTTGAATACACACACACAAAGAAGCTACTGAGAATTCTTTTGTCAAGAATTATAAGAAGAAATCCCGTTTCCAACGAAGGCCTCAAAGAGTTCCAAATATCCACTTGCACACTGCACAAACTAAGTCTTTCCAAACTGCTCTATGCAAAGAAATGTTCAACTCTGTGAGTTTAATACACACATCACAAAGCAGTTTCTGAGAATGATACTGTCTAGTTTTTATACGAAGATATTTCCTTTTGTACCATTGGCCTCATACTGCTAGAATTTTCCACTTGCAAATTCCACAAAAAGAGTGTTTCCAATCCGCTCTGTCTAAAGGAAGGTTCAACTCTCTGATTTGAATACATACATCCCAAAAGAAGTTACTGAGAATTCTTCTGTCTAGCATTATGTGAAGAAATCCCGTTTCCAACGAAAGCCTCAAAGAGGTCCAAATATCCAGTTGCAGAATTTACAAACTGACTGTTTCCAAACTCATCTATGAAAAGAAAGGTTAAACTCTGTGAGTTGAATGCACATATCACAAAGTAGTTCCTGAGAATGATTCTGTCTAGTTTTCATACGAAGATATTTCCTTTTCCACCAATGGCCTCAAAGTGCTTGAAATCTCCCCTTGCAAATTCCACAGACAAGTGTTTCAAATCTGCACTGTCTAAAGGATGGTTCAACCCTGTGAGTTGAATACACACACACAGAAAAAAATTCACTGAGAATTCTATTGTCTATCATTACACGAAGAAATCCCGTTTACTACGAAGGCCTCAAAGAGGTCCAAATATCCAGCTGCAGACATTATAAACTGAGTGTTTCCAAAGTGCTCTATGAAAAGAAGTGTTAAACACTGTGAGTTCAATGCACACATCCCAAAGCAGTTTCTGAGAATGATTCCGTCTATTTTTTCTACGAAGATATTTCCTTTTCTGCCGTTGGCCTCAAAGCGCTTGAAATCTCCACTTGCAAATTCCACAAAAAGAGAGTTTCAAATCTGCTCTGTCTAAAGGAAGGTTCAACTCTGTGAGTTGAATACACACCACAAAAAGAAGTTACTGAGAATTCTTCTGTCTAGCATTATATGAAAAATCCCGTTTCCAACGAAGGCCACAAAGAGGTCCAAATATCCACTTGCAGATTCTGCAAAAAGAGTGTTTCCAAACTGCTCTATGAAAAGAAACGTTAAACTCTGTGAGTTGAACGCAAACATCACAAAGTAGTTTCTGAGAATGACTCCGTCTAGTTTTTATACGAAGATATTTCCTTTCCTACCATTCACTTCAAAGCGCTTGAAGTCTCCCCCTGAAAATTCCACAAAAAGTGTTTCCAATCTGCTCCGCCTAAAGGAAGCTTCAACTCTGTGACTTGAATACCCACAACCCAAAGAAGTTACTGAGAATTCTTCTGTCTAGCATTATATGAAGAAATCCCGTTTCCAACGAAGGCCTCAAATACATCCAAATATCCAGTTGCTGACTTTACAAACTGAGTGTTTCCAAACTGCTCTATGAAAAGAAAGGTTAAACACTGTGAGTTGAACACACACGTACCAAAGTAGTTTCTGAGAATGATTCTGTCTAGTTTGCATACGAAGATATTTCCTTTTCTACCATTGGCCTCAAAGCTCTGAAATCTCCACTTGCAAATTCCACAAAAAGAGAGTTTCAAATCTGCTGTTTCTAAAGGAAAGTTCAACTCTGAGAGTTGAATACACACCAGAAAAAGCAGTTACTGAGAAGTCTTCTGTCTAGCATTATATGAAGAAATCCCATTTCCAACGAAGACTTCAAAGAGGTCCAAATATCCACTTGCAGATTCTGCAAAAAGAGTGTTTCGAAACAACTGTATGAAAAGAAAGGTTAAACACTGTGAGTTGAACGCACACATTGCAAAGCAGTTTCTGAGAATGATTCCGTCTAATTATTATACGAAGGTATTTCCTTTTCTATCATTGGCCTCAAAGCGCTTGATACCTCCACCTGAAAATTCCACAAAAAGAGTGTTTCCAATCTACTCTGTCTAAAAGAACGTTCAACTCTGTGAGTTGAATACACACACACAGAAAGAATTCACTGAGAATTCTTCTGTCTGGCATTACATGAAGAAATCCCGTTTCCAACGAAGGCCTCAAAGAGGTCCAAATATCCACTTGCAGATTCTGCAAAAAGAGTGTTTCAAAACCGCTCCATTAAAAGGAATGTTGAACTCTGTGAGTTGAATGCAAACATCACAACTCAGTTGCTGAGAATGCTTCTGACTAGATTTTATGGTAAGATATTTCCTTTTCTACCGTAGGCTTCAATGCCCTCTAAATACACCCTTGCAAATTCTACAAAGAGACTGTTTCATAACTGCTCTATAGGAAGAAAGGTTCAACTCTGTGAGTTGAATGCAGAGATCACAACTTGGTTTCTGCGAATGATTCTTTGTAGTTTTTACATGAAGATATTTCGTTGTCAACCGTAGGCTTCAAAGCACTCAAAGTATTCACTTGGAACTTTTACAAAAAGAGTGTTAGAAAACTGCTCTTTCCAAAGTAAGGTTCAACTCTGTGAGTTGAATGCACACATAACAATCAAGAAGTTTCTGAGAATTCTTCTGTCCTGGTTTATAGGAACAAATCCCGTTTCCAACGAAGGCCTCAAAGACGTTTAAATATCCACTTGCAGACTTCACAAACAGAGGGTTTCCAAACTGCTCTATGAAAAGAAAGGTTAAACTCTGTGAGTTGAACGCACACATCACAAAGTAGCTTCTGAGAATGATACTGTCTAGTTTTTATACGAAGATATTTCCTTTCTACCATTGGCGTCAAAGCGCTAGAATTCTCCACTTGCAAATTCCACAAAAAGAGTGTTTCCAATCTGCTCTGTCTAAAGGAAGGTTCAACTCTGTGAGTTGAATACACACACACAAAGAAGCTACTGAGAATTCTTTTGTCAAGAATTATAAGAAGAAATCCCGTTTCCAACGAAGGCCTCAAAGAGTTCCAAATATCCACTTGCACACTGCACAAACTAAGTCTTTCCAAACTGCTCTATGCAAAGAAATGTTCAACTCTGTGAGTTTAATACACACATCACAAAGCAGTTTCTGAGAATGATACTGTCTAGTTTTTATACGAAGATATTTCCTTTTGTATCATTGGCCCCATACTGCTAGAATTTTCCACTTGCAAATTCCACAAAAAGAGTGTTTCCAATCCGCTCTGTCTAAAGGAAGGTTCAACTCTCTGATTTGAATACATACATCCCAAAAGAAGTTACTGAGAATTCTTCTGTCTAGCATTATGTGAAGAAATCCCGTTTCCAACGAAAGCCTCAAAGAGGTCCAAATATCCAGTTGCAGAATTTACAAACTGACTGTTTCCAAACTCATCTATGAAAAGAAAGGTTAAACTCTGTGAGTTGAATGCACATATCACAAAGTAGTTCCTGAGAATGATTCTGTCTAGTTTTTATACGAAGATATTTCCTTTTCCACCAATGGCCTCAAAGTGCTTGAAATCTCCCCTTGCAAATTCCACAGACAACTGTTTCAAATCTGCACTGTCTAAAGGAAGGTTCAACCCTGTGAGTTGAATACACACACACAGAAAAAAATTCACTGAGAATTCTATTGTCTATCATTACACGAAGAAATCCCGTTTACTACGAAGGCCTCAAAGAGGTCCAAATATCCAGCTGCAGACATTACAAACTGAGTGTTTCCAAAGTGCTCTATGAAAAGAAGTGTTAAACACTGTGAGTTCAATGCACACATCCCAAAGCAGTTTCTGAGAATGATTCCGTCTATTTTTTCTACGAAGATATTTCCTTTTCTGCCGTTGGCCTCAAAGCGCTTGAAATCTCCACTTGCAAATTCCACAAAAAGAGAGTTTCAAATCTGCTCTGTCTAAAGGAAGGTTCAACTCTGTGAGTTGAATACACACCACAAAAAGAAGTTACTGAGAATTCTTCTGTCTAGCATTATATGAAAAATCCCGTTTCCAACGAAGGCCACAAAGGAGGTCCAAATATCCACTTGCAGATTCTGCAAAAAGAGTGTTTCCAAACTGCTCTATGAAAAGAAACGTTAAACTCTGTGAGTTGAACGCAAACATCACAAAGTAGTTTCTGAGAATGACTCCGTCTAGTTTTTATACGAAGATATTTCCTTTCCTACCATTCACTTCAAAGCGCTTGAAGTCTCCCCCTGAAAATTCCACAAAAAGTGTTTCCAATCTGCTCCGCCTAAAGGAAGCTTCAACTCTGTGACTTGAATACCCACAACCCAAAGAAGTTACTGAGAATTCTTCTGTCTAGCATTATATGAAGAAATCCCGTTTCCAACGAAGGCCTCAAATACATCCAGATATCCAGTTGCTGACTTTACAAACTGAGTGTTTCCAAATTGCTCTATGAAAGGAAAGGTTGAACACTGTGAGTTGAACACACACGTACCAAAGTAGTTTCTGAGAATGATTCTGTCTAGTTTGCATACGAAGATATTTCCTTTTCTACCATTGGCCTCAAAGCTCTGAAATCTCCACTTGCAAATTCCACAAAAAGAGAGTTTCAAATCTGCTGTTTCTAAAGGAAAGTTCAACTCTGAGAGTTGAATACACACCAGAAAAAGCAGTTACTGAGAAGTCTTCTGTCTAGCATTATATGAAGAAATCCCATTTCCAACGAAGACTTCAAAGAGGTCCAAATATCCACTTGCAGATTCTGCAAAAAGAGTGTTTCGAAACAACTGTATGAAAAGAAAGGTTAAACACTGTGAGTTGAACGCACACATTGCAAAGCAGTTTCTGAGAATGATTCCGTCTAATTATTATACGAAGGTATTTCCTTTTCTATCATTGGCCTCAAAGCGCTTGATACCTCCACCTGAAAATTCCACAAAAAGAGTGTTTCCAATCTACTCTGTCTAAAGGAACGTTCAACTCTGTGAGTTGAATACACACACACAGAAAGAATTCACTGAGAATTCTTCTGTCTGGCATTACATGAAGAAATCCCGTTTCCAACGAAGGCCTCAAAGAGGTCCAAATATCCACTTGCAGATTCTGCAAAAAGAGTGTTTCAAAACCGCTCCATTAAAAGGAATGTTGAACTCTGTGAGTTGAATGCAAACATCACAACTCAGTTGCTGAGAATGCTTCTGACTAGATTTTATGGTAAGATATTTCCTTTTCTACCGTAGGCTTCAATGCCCTCTAAATACACCCTTGCAAATTCTACAAAGAGACTGTTTCATAACTGCTCTATAGGAAGAAAGGTTCAACTCTGTGAGTTGAATGCAGAGATCACAACGTGGTTTCTGCGAATGATTCTTTGTAGTTTTTACATGAAGATATTTCGTTGTCAACCGTAGGCTTCAAAGCACTCAAAGTATTCACTTGGAACTTTTACAAAAAGAGTGTTAGAAAACTACTCTTTCCAAAGTAAGGTTCAACTCTGTGAGTTGAATGCACACATAACAATCAAGAAGTTTCTGAGAATTCTTCTGTCCTGGTTTATATGAAAAAATCCCGTTTCCAACGAAGGCCTCAAAGACGTTTAAATATCCACTTGCAGACTTCACAAACAGAGGGTTTCCAAACTGCTCTATGAAAAGAAAGGTTAAACTCTGTGAGTTGAACGCACACATCACAAAGTAGCTTCTGAGAATGATACTGTCTAGTTTTTATACGAAGATATTTCCTTTCTACCATTGGCGTCAAAGCGCTAGAATTCTCCACTTGCAAATTCCACAAAAAGAGTGTTTCCAATCTGCTCTGTCTAAAGGAAGGTTCAACTCTGTGAGTTGAATACACACACACAAAGAAGCTACTGAGAATTCTTTTGTCAAGAATTATAAGAAGAAATCCCGTTTCCAACGAAGGCCTCAAAGAGTTCCAAATATCCACTTGCACACTGCACAAACTAAGTCTTTCCAAACTGCTCTATGCAAAGAAATGTTCAACTCTGTGAGTTTAATACACACATCACAAAGCAGTTTCTGAGAATGATACTGTCTAGTTTTTATACGAAGATATTTCCTTTTGTACCATTGGCCTCATACTGCTAGAATTTTCCACTTGCAAATTCCACAAAAAGAGTGTTTCCAATCCGCTCTGTCTAAAGGAAGGTTCAACTCTCTGATTTGAATACATACATCCCAAAAGAAGTTACTGAGAATTCTTCTGTCTAGCATTATGTGAAGAAATCCCGTTTCCAACGAAAGCCTCAAAGAGGTCCAAATATCCAGTTGCAGAATTTACAAACTGACTGTTTCCAAACTCATCTATGAAAAGAAAGGTTAAACTCTGGGAGTTGAATGCACATATCACAAAGTAGTTCCTGAGAATGATTCTGTCTAGTTTTCATACGAAGATATTTCCTTTTCCACCAATGGCCTCAAAGTGCTTGAAATCTCCCCTTGCAAATTCCACAGACAAGTGTTTCAAATCTGCACTGTCTAAAGGAAGGTTCAACCCTGTGAGTTGAATACACACACACAGAAACAAATTCACTGAGAATTCTATTGTCTATCATTACACGAAGAAATCCCGTTTACTACGAAGGCCTCAAAGAGGTCCAAATATCCAGCTGCAGACATTACAAACTGAGTGTTTCCAAAGTGCTCTATGAAAAGAAGTGTTAAACACTGTGAGTTCAATGCACACATCCCAAAGCAGTTTCTGAGAATGATTCCGTCTATTTTTTCTACGAAGATATTTCCTTTTCTACCGTTGGCCTCAAAGCGCTTGAAATCTCCACTTGCAAATTCCACAAAAAGAGAGTTTCAAATCTGCTCTGTCTAAAGGAAGGTTCAACTCTGTGAGTTGAATACACACCACAAAAGGAAGTTACTGAGAATTCTTCTGTCTAGCATTATATGAAAAATCCCGTTTCCAACGAAGGCCACAAAGAGGTCCAAATATCCACTTGCAGATTCTGCAAAAAGAGTGTTTCCAAACTGCTCTATGAAAAGAAACGTTAAACTCTGTGAGTTGAACGCAAACATCACAAAGTAGTTTCTGAGAATGACTCCGTCTAGTTTTTATACGAAGATATTTCCTTTCCTACCATTCACTTTCAAAGCGCTTGAAGTCTCCCCCTGAAAATTCCACAAAAAGTGTTTCCAATCTGCTCCGCCTAAAGGAAGCTTCAACTCTGTGAGTTGAATACCCACAACCCAAAGAAGTTACTGAGAATTCTTCTGTCTAGCATTACATGAAGAAATCCCGTTTCCAACGAAGGCCTCAAATACATCCAGATATCCAGTTGCTGACTTTACAAACTGAGTGTTTCCAAACTGCTCTATGAAAGGAAAGGTTAAACACTGTGAGTTGAACACACACGTACCAAAGTAGTTTCTGAGAATGATTCTGTCTAGTTTGCATACGAAGATATTTCCTTTTCTACCATTGGCCTCAAAGCTCTGAAATCTCCACTTGCAAATTCCACAAAAAGAGAGTTTCAAATCTGCTGTTTCTAAAGGAAAGTTCAACTCTGAGAGTTGAATACACACCAGAAAAAAGCAGTTACTGAGAAGTCTTCTGTCTAGCATTATATGAAGAAATCCCATTTCCAACGAAGACTTCAAAGAGGTCCAAATATCCACTTGCAGATTCTGCAAAAAGAGTGTTTCGAAACAACTGTATGAAAAGAAAGGTTAAACACTGTGAGTTGAACGCACACATTGCAAAGCGGTTTCTGAGAATGATTCCGTGTAATTATTATACGAAGGTATTTCCTTTTCTATCATTGGCCTCAAAGCGCTTGATACCTCCACCTGAAAATTCCACAAAAAGAGTGTTTCCAATCTACTCTGTCTAAAGGAACGTTCAACTCTGTGAGTTGAATACACACACACAGAAAGAATTCACTGAGAATTCTTCTGTCTGGCATTACATGAAGAAATCCCGTTTCCAACGAAGGCCTCAAAGAGGTCCAAATATCCACTTGCAGATTCTGCAAAAAGAGTGTTTCAAAACCGCTCCATTAAAAGGAATGTTGAACTCTGTGAGTTGAATGCAAACATCACAACTCAGTTGCTGAGAATGCTTCTGACTAGATTTTATGGTAAGATATTTCCTTTTATACCGTAGGCTTCAATGCCCTCTAAATACACCCTTGCAAATTCTACAAAGAGACTGTTTCATAACTGCTCTATAGGAAGAAAGGTTCAACTCTGTGAGTTGAATGCAGAGATCACAACGTGGTTTCTGCGAATGATTCTTTGTAGTTTTTACATGAAGATATTTCGTTGTCAACCGTAGGCTTCAAAGCACTCAAAGTATTCACTTGGAACTTTTACAAAAAGAGTGTTAGAAAACTGCTCTTTCCAAAGTAAGGTTCAACTCTGTGAGTTGAATGCACACATAACAATCAAGAAGTTTCTGAGAATTCTTCTGTCCTGGTTTATATGAAAAAATCCCGTTTCCAACGAAGGCCTCAAAGACGTTTAAATATCCACTTGCAGACTTCACAAACAGAGGGTTTCCAAACTGCTCTATGAAAAGAAAGGTTAAACTCTGTGAGTTGAACGCACACATCACAAAGTAGCTTCTGAGAATGATACTGTCTAGTTTTTATACGAAGATATTTCCTTTCTACCATTGGCGTCAAAGCGCTAGAATTCTCCACTTGCAAATTCCACAAAAAGAGTGTTTCCAATCTGCTCTGTCTAAAGGAAGGTTCAACTCTGTGAGTTGAATACACACACACAAAGAAGCTACTGAGAATTCTTTTGTCAAGAAATTATAAGAAGAAATCCCGTTTCCAACGAAGGCCTCAAAGAGTTCCAAATATCCACTTGCACACTGCACAAACTAAGTCTTTCCAAACTGCTCTATGCAAAGAAATGTTCAACTCTGTGAGTTTAATACACACATCACAAAGCAGTTTCTGAGAATGATACTGTCTAGTTTTTATACGAAGATATTTCCTTTTGTACCATTGGCCTCATACTGCTAGAATTTTCCACTTGCAAATTCCACAAAAAGAGGGTTTCCAATCCGCTCTGTCTAAAGGAAGGTTCAACTCTCTGATTTGAATACATACATCCCAAAAGAAGTTACTGAGAATTCTTCTGTCTAGCATTATGTGAAGAAATCCCGTTTCCAACGAAAGCCTCAAAGAGGTCCAAATATCCAGTTGCAGAATTTACAAACTGACTGTTTCCAAACTCATCTATGAAAAGAAAGGTTGAACTCTGGGAGTTGAATGCACATATCACAAAGTAGTTCCTGAGAATGATTCTGTCTAGTTTTCATACGAAGATATTTCCTTTTCCACCAATGGCCTCAAAGTGCTTGAAATCTCCCCTTGCAAATTCCACAGACAAGTGTTTCAAATCTGCACTGTCTAAAGGAAGGTTCAACCCTGTGAGTTGAATACACACACACAGAAAAAAATTCACTGAGAATTCTATTGTCTATCATTACACGAAGAAATCCCGTTTACCACGAAGGCCTCAAAGAGGTCCAAATATCCAGCTGCAGACATTACAACCTGAGTGTTTCCAAAGTGCTCTATGAAAAGAAGTGTTAAACACTGTGAGTTCAATGCACACATCCCAAAGCAGTTTCTGAGAATGATTCCGTCTATTTTTTCTACGAAGATATTTCCTTTTCTGCCGTTGGCCTCAAAGCGCTTGAAATCTCCACTTGCAAATTCCACAAAAAGAGAGTTTCAAATCTGCTCTGTCTAAAGGAAGGTTCAACTCTGTGAGTTGAATACACACCACAAAAAGAAGTTACTGAGAATTCTTCTGTCTAGCATTATATGAAAAATCCCGTTTCCAACGAAGGCCACAAAGAGGTCCAAATATCCACTTGCAGATTCTGCAAAAAGAGTGTTTCCAAACTGCTCTATGAAAAGAAACGTTAAACTCTGTGAGTTGAACGCAAACATCACAAAGTAGTTTCTGAGAATGACTCCGTCTAGTTTTTATACGAAGATATTTCCTTTCCTACCATTCACTTCAAAGCGCTTGAAGTCTCCCCCTGAAAATTCCACAAAAAGTGTTTCCAATCTGCTCCGCCTAAAGGAAGCTTCAACTCTGTGAGTTGAATACCCACAACCCAAAGAAGTTACTGAGAATTCTTCTGTCTAGCATTATATGAAGAAATCCCGTTTCCAACGAAGGCCTCAAATACATCCAAATATCCAGTTGCTGACTTTACAAACTGAGTGTTTCCAAACTGCTCTATGAAAAGAAAAGTTAAACACTGTGAGTTGAACACACACGTACCAAAGTAGTTTCTGAGAATGATTCTGTCTAGTTTGCATACGAAGATATTTCCTTTTCTACCATTGGCCTCAAAGCTCTGAAATCTCCACTTGCAAATTCCACAAAAAGAGAGTTTCAAATCTGCTGTTTCTAAAGGAAAGTTCAACTCTGAGAGTTGAATACACACCAGAAAAAGCAGTTACTGAGAAGTCTTCTGTCTAGCATTATATGAAGAAATCCCATTTCCAACGAAGACTTCAAAGAGGTCCAAATATCCACTTGCAGATTCTGCAAAAAGAGTGTTTCGAAACAACTGTATGAAAAGAAAGTTTAAACACTGTGAGTTGAACGCACACATTGCAAAGCAGTTTCTGAGAATGATTCCGTCTAATTATTATACGAAGGTATTTCCTTTTCTATCATTGGCCTCAAAGCGCTTGATACCTCCACCTGAAAATTCCACAAAAAGAGTGTTTCCAATCTACTCTGTCTAAAGGAACGTTCAACTCTGTGAGTTGAATACACACACACAGAAAGAATTCACTGAGAATTCTTCTGTCTGGCATTACATGAAGAAATCCCGTTTCCAACGAAGGCCTCAAAGAGGTCCAAATATCCACTTGCAGATTCTGCAAAAAGAGTGTTTCAAAACCGCTCCATTAAAAGGAATGTTGAACTCTGTGAGTTGAATGCAAACATCACAACTCAGTTGCTGAGAATGCTTCTGACTAGATTTTATGGTAAGATATTTCCTTTTCTACCGTAGGCTTCAATGCCCTCTAAATACACCCTTGCAAATTCTACAAAGAGACTGTTTCATAACTGCTCTATAGGAAGAAAGGTTCAACTCTGTGAGTTGAATGCAGAGATCACAACGTGGTTTCTGCGAATGATTCTTTGTAGTTTTTACATGAAGATATTTCGTTGTCAACCGTAGGCTTCAAAGCACTCAAAGTATTCACTTGGAACTTTTACAAAAAGAGTATTAGAAAACTGCTCTTTCCAAAGTAAGGTTCAACTCTGTGAGTTGAATGCACACATAACAATCAAGAAGTTTCTGAGAATTCTTCTGTCCTGGTTTATATGAAAAAATCCCGTTTCCAACGAAGGCCTCAAAGACGTTTAAATATCCACTTGCAGACTTCACAAACAGAGGGTTTCCAAACTGCTCTATGAAAAGAAAGGTTAAACTCTGTGAGTTGAACGCACACATCACAAAGTAGCTTCTGAGAATGATACTGTCTAGTTTTTATACGAAGATATTTCCTTTCTACCATTGGCGTCAAAGCGCTAGAATTCTCCACTTGCAAATTCCACAAAAAGAGTGTTTCCAATCTGCTCTGTCTAAAGGAAGGTTCAACTCTGTGAGTTGAATACACACACACAAAGAAGCTACTGAGAATTCTTTTGTCAAGAATTATAAGAAGAAATCCCGTTTCCAACGAAGGCCTCAAAGAGTTCCAAATATCCACTTGCACACTGCACAAACTAAGTCTTTCCAAACTGCTCTATGCAAAGAAATGTTCAACTCTGTGAGTTTAATACACACATCACAAAGCAGTTTCTGAGAATGATACTGTCTAGTTTTTATACGAAGATATTTCCTTTTGTACCATTGGCCTCATACTGCTAGAATTTTCCACTTGCAAATTCCACAAAAAGAGTGTTTCCAATCCGCTCTGTCTGAAGGAAGGTTCAACTCTCTGATTTGAATACATACATCCCAAAAGAAGTTACTGAGAATTCTTCTGTCTAGCATTATGTGAAGAAATCCCGTTTCCAACGAAAGCCTCAAAGAGGTCCAAATATCCAGTTGCAGAATTTACAAACTGACTGTTTCCAAACTCATCTATGAAAAGAAAGGTTAAACTCTGTGAGTTGAATGCACATATCACAAAGTAGTTCCTGAGAATGATTCTGTCTAGTTTTTATACGAAGATATTTCCTTTTCCACCAATGGCCTCAAAGTGCTTGAAATCTCCCCTTGCAAATTCCACAGACAAGTGTCTCAAATCTGCACTGTCTAAAGGAAGGTTCAACCCTGTGAGTTGAATACACACACACAGAAAAAAATTCACTGAGAATTCTATTGTCTATCATTACACGAAGAAATCCCGTTTACTACGAAGGCCTCAAAGAGGTCCAAATATCCAGCTGTAGACATTACAAACTGAGTGTTTCCAAAGTGCTCTATGAAAAGAAGTGTTAAACACTGTGAGTTCAATGCACACATCCCAAAGCAGTTTCTGAGAATGATTCCGTCTATTTTTCTACGAAGATATTTCCTTTTCTGCCGTTGGCCTCAAAGCGCTTGAAATCTCCACTTGCAAATTCCACAAAAAGAGAGTTTCAAATCTGCTCTGTCTAAAGGAAGGTTCAACTCTGTGAGTTGAATACACACCACAAAAAGAAGTTACTGAGAATTCTTCTGTCTAGCATTATATGAAAAATCCCGTTTCCAACGAAGGCCACAAAGAGGTCCAAATATCCACTTGCAGATTCTGCAAAAAGAGTGTTTCCAAACTGCTCTATGAAAAGAAACGTTAAACTCTGTGAGTTGAACGCAAACATCACAAAGTAGTTTCTGAGAATGACTCCGTCTAGTTTTTATACGAAGATATTTCCTTTCCTACCATTCACTTCAAAGCGCTTGAAGTCTCCCCCTGAAAATTCCACAAAAAGTGTTTCCAATCTGCTCCGCCTAAAGGAAGCTTCAACTCTGTGACTTGAATACCCACAACCCAAAGAAGTTACTGAGAATTCTTCTGTCTAGCATTATATGAAGAAATCCCGTTTCCAACGAAGGCCTCAAATACATCCAAATATCCAGTTGCTGACTTTACAAACTGAGTGTTTCCAAACTGCTCTATGAAAAGAAAGGTTAAACACTGTGAGTTGAACACACACGTACCAAAGTAGTTTCTGAGAATGATTCTGTCTAGTTTGCATACGAAGATATTTCCTTTTCTACCATTGGCCTCAAAGCTCTGAAATCTCCACTTGCAAATTCCACAAAAAGAGAGTTTCAAATCTGCTGTTTCTAAAGGAAAGTTCAACTCTGAGAGTTGAATACACACCAGAAAAAGCAGTTACTGAGAAGTCTTCTGTCTAGCATTATATGAAGAAATCCCATTTCCAACGAAGACTTCAAAGAGGTCCAAATATCCACTTGCAGATTCTGCAAAAAGAGTGTTTCGAAACAACTGTATGAAAAGAAAGGTTAAACACTGTGAGTTGAACGCACACATTGCAAAGCAGTTTCTGAGAATGATTCCGTCTAATTATTATACGAAGGTATTTCCTTTTCTATCATTGGCCTCAAAACGCTTGATACCTCCACCTGAAAATTCCACAAAAAGAGTGTTTCCAATCTACTCTGTCTAAAGGAACGTTCAACTCTGTGAGTTGAATACACACACACAGAAAGAATTCACTGAGAATTCTTCTGTCTGGCATTACATGAAGAAATCCCGTTTCCAACGAAGGCCTCAAAGAGGTCCAAATATCCACTTGCAGATTCTGCAAAAAGAGTGTTTCAAAACCGCTCCATTAAAAGGAATGTTGAACTCTGTGAGTTGAATGCAAACATCACAACTCAGTTTCTGAGAATGCTTTTGACTAGATTTTATGGTAAGATATTTCCTTTTCTACCGTAGGCTTCAATGCCCTCTAAATACACCCTTGCAAATTCTACAAAGAGACTGTTTCATAACTGCTCTATAGGAAGAAAGGTTGAACTCTGTGAGTTGAATGCAGAGATCACAACGTGGTTTCTGCGAATGATTCTTTGTAGTTTTTACATGAAGATATTTCGTTGTCAACCGTAGGCTTCAAAGCACTCAAAGTATTCACTTGGAACTTTTACAAAAAGAGTATTAGAAAACTGCTCTTTCCAAAGTAAGGTTCAACTCTGTGAGTTGAATGCACACATAACAATCAAGAAGTTTCTGAGAATTCTTCTGTCCTGGTTTATATGAAAAAATCCCGTTTCCAACGAAGGCCTCAAAGACGTTTAAATATCCACTTGCAGACTTCACAAACAGAGTGTTTCCAAACTGCTCTATGAAAAGAAAGGTTAAACTCTGTGAGTTGAACGCACACATCACAAAGTAGCTTCTGAGAATGATACTGTCTAGTTTTTATACGAAGATATTTCCTTTCTACCATTGGCGTCAAAGCGCTAGAATTCTCCACTTGCAAATTCCACAAAAAGAGTGTTTCCAATCTGCTCTGTCTAAAGGAAGGTTCAACTCTGTGAGTTGAATACACATACACAAAGAAGCTACTGAGAATTCTTTTGTCAAGAATTATAAGAAGAAATCCCGTTTCCAACGAAGGCCTCAAAGAGTTCCAAATATCCACTTGCACACTGCACAAACTAAGTCTTTCCAAACTGCTCTATGCAAAGAAATGTTCAACTCTGTGAGTTTAATACACACATCACAAAGCAGTTTCTGAGAACGATACTGTCTAGTTTTTATACGAAGATATTTCCTTTTGTACCATTGGCCTCATACTGCTAGAATTTTCCACTTGCAAATTCCACAAAAAGAGTGTTTCCAATCCGCTCTGTCTAAAGGAAGGTTCAACTCTCTGATTTGAATACATACATCCCAAAAGAAGTTACTGAGAATTCTTCTGTCTAGCATTATGTGAAGAAATCCCGTTTCCAACGAAAGCCTCAAAGAGGTCCAAATATCCAGTTGCAGAATTTACAAACTGACTGTTTCCAAACTCATCTATGAAAAGAAAGGTTAAACTCTGGGAGTTGAATGCACATATCACAAAGTAGTTCCTGAGAATGATTCTGTCTAGTTTTCATACGAAGATATTTCCTTTTCCACCAATGGCCTCAAAGTGCTTGAAATCTCCCCTTGCAAATTCCACAGACAAGTGTTTCAAATCTGCACTGTCTAAAGGAAGGTTCAACCCTGTGAGTTGAATACACACACACAGAAAAAAATTCACTGAGAATTCTATTGTCTATCATTACACGAAGAAATCCCGTTTACCACGAAGGCCTCAAAGAGGTCCAAATATCCAGCTGCAGACATTACAAACTGAGTGTTTCCAAAGTGCTCTATGAAAAGAAGTGTTAAACACTGTGAGTTCAATGCACACATCCCAAAGCAGTTTCTGAGAATGATTCCGTCTATTTTTTCTACGAAGATATTTCCTTTTCTGCCGTTGGCCTCAAAGCGCTTGAAATCTCCACTTGCAAATTCCACAAAAAGAGAGTTTCAAATCTGCTCTGTCTAAAGGAAGGTTCAACTCTGTGAGTTGAATACACACCACAAAAAGAAGTTACTGAGAATTCTTCTGTCTAGCATTATATGAAAAATCCCGTTTCCAACGAAGGCCACAAAGAGGTCCAAATATCCACTTGCAGATTCTGCAAAAAGAGTGTTTCCAAACTGCTCTATGAAAAGAAACGTTAAACTCTGTGAGTTGAACGCAAACATCACAAAGTAGTTTCTGAGAATGACTCCGTCTAGTTTTTATACGAAGATATTTCCTTTCCTACCATTCACTTCAAAGCGCTTGAAGTCTCCCCCTGAAAATTCCACAAAAAGTGTTTCCAATCTGCTCCGCCTAAAGGAAGCTTCAACTCTGTGACTTGAATACCCACAACCCAAAGAAGTTACTGAGAATTCTTCTGTCTAGCATTATATGAAGAAATCCCGTTTCCAACGAAGGCCTCAAATACATCCAAATATCCAGTTGCTGACTTTACAAACTGAGTGTTTCCAAACTGCTCTATGAAAAGAAAGGTTAAACACTGTGAGTTGAACACACACGTACCAAAGTAGTTTCTGAGAATGATTCTGTCTAGTTTGCATACGAAGATATTTCCTTTTCTACCATTGGCCTCAAAGCTCTGAAATCTCCACTTGCAAATTCCACAAAAAGAGAGTTTCAAATCTGCTGTTTCTAAAGGAAAGTTCAACTCTGAGAGTTGAATACACACCAGAAAAAGCAGTTACTGAGAAGTCTTCTGTCTAGCATTATATGAAGAAATCCCATTTCCAACGAAGACTTCAAAGAGGTCCAAATATCCACTTGCAGATTCTGCAAAAAGAGTGTTTCGAAACAACTGTATGAAAAGAAAGGTTAAACACTGTGAGTTGAACGCACACATTGCAAAGCAGTTTCTGAGAATGATTCCGTCTAATTATTATACCGAAGGTATTTCCTTTTCTATCATTGGCCTCAAAGCGCTTGATACCTCCACCTGAAAATTCCACAAAAAGAGTGTTTCCAATCTACTCTGTCTAAAGGAACGTTCAACTCTGTGAGTTGAATACACACACACAGAAAGAATTCACTGAGAATTCTTCTGTCTGGCATTACATGAAGAAATCCCGTTTCCAACGAAGGCCTCAAAGAGGTCCAAATATCCACTTGCAGATTCTGCAAAAAGAGTGTTTCAAAACCGCTCCATTAAAAGGAATGTTGAACTCTGTGAGTTGAATGCAAACATCACAACTCAGTTTCTGAGAATGCTTCTGACTAGATTTTATGGTAAGATATTTCCTTTTCTACCGTAGGCTTCAATGCCCTCTAAATACACCCTTGCAAATTCTACAAAGAGACTGTTTCATAACTGCTCTATAGGAAGAAAGGTTGAACTCTGTGAGTTGAATGCAGAGATCACAACGTGGTTTCTGCGAATGATTCTTTGTAGTTTTTACATGAAGATATTTCGTTGTCAACCGTAGGCTTCAAAGCACTCAAAGTATTCACTTGGAACTTTTACAAAAAGAGTGTTAGAAAACTGCTCTTTCCAAAGTAAGGTTCAACTCTGTGAGTTGAATGCACACATAACAATCAAGAAGTTTCTGAGAATTCTTCTGTCCTGGTTTATATGAAAAAATCCCGTTTCCAACGAAGGCCTCAAAGACGTTTAAATATCCACTTGCAGACTTCACAAACAGAGGGTTTCCAAACTGCTCTATGAAAAGAAAGGTTAAACTCTGTGAGTTTAATACACACATCACAAAGGAGTTTCTAAGAATGATACTGTCTAGTTTTTATACGGAGATATTTCCTTTCCTTCCATTTGCGTCAAAGCGCTAGAATTCTCCACTTGCAAATTCCACAAAAAGAGTGTTTCCAATCTGCTCTGTCTAAAGGAAGGTTCAACTCTGTGAGTTGAATACACACACACAAAGAAGCTACTGAGAATTCTTTTGTCAAGAATTATAAGAAGAAATCCCATTTCCAACGAAGGCCTCAAAGAGTTCCAAATATCCACTTGCACACTGTACAAACTAAGTCTTTCCAAACTGCTCTATGCAAAGAAATGTTCAACTCTGTGAGTTTAATGCACACATCACAAAGCAGTTTCTGAGAATGATTCCGTCTAGTTTTTATACGAAGATAGCCTTTTCTACCATTGGCCTCAAGGCTCTTGAAATCTCCACCTGAAAATTCCGCAAAAAGCGTGTTTCCAATCCGCTCTGTCTAAAGGAAGGTTCAACTCTTTATGTTGAATACATACATCCCAAAAGAAGTTACTGCGAATTCTTCTGTCTAGCATTATGTGAAGAAATCCCGTTTCCAACGAAAGCCTCCAAGAGGTCCAAATATCCAGTTGCAGAATTTACAAACTGACTGTTTCCAAACTCATCTATGAAAAGAAAGGTTAAACTCTGTGAGTTGAATGCACATATCACAAAGTAGTTCCTGAGAATGATTCTGTCTAGTTTTTATACGAAGATATTTCCTTTTCCACCAATGGCCTCAAAGTGCTTGAAATCTCCCCTTGCAAATTCCACAGAAAAGTGTTTCAAATCTGCACTGTCTAAAGGAAGGTTCAACCCTGTGAGTTGAATACACACACACAGAAAAAAATTCACTGAGAATTCTATTGTCTATCATTACACGAAGAAATCCCGTTTACTACGAAGGCCTCAAAGAGGTCCAAATATCCAGCTGCAGACATTACAAACTGAGTGTTTCCAAAGTGCTCTATGAAAAGAAGGGTTAAACACTGTGAGTTCAATGCACACATCCCAAAGCAGTTTCTGAGAATGATTCCGTCTATTTTTTCTACGAAGATATTTCCTTTTCTACAGTTGACCTCAAAGCGCCTGAAATCTCCACTTGCAAATTCCACGAAAAGAGAGTTTCAAATCTGCTCTGTCTAAAGGAAGGTTCCACTCTGTGAGTTGAATACACACCACAAAAAGAAGTTACTGAGAATTCTTCTGTCTAGCATTATATGAAAAATCCCGTTCCCAACGAAGGCCACAAAGAGGTCCAAATATCCACTTGCAGATTCTGCAAAAAGAGTGTTTCCAAACTGCTCTATGAAAAGAAACGTTAAACTCTGTGAGTTGAACGCAAACATCACAAAGTAGTTTCTGAGAATGACTCCGTCTAGTTTTTATACGAAGATATTTCCTTTTCTACCGTTGGCCTCAAAGCGCTTGAAGTCTCCCCCTGAAAATTCCACAAAAAGTGTTTCCAATCTGCTCCGCCTAAAGGAAGCTTCAACTCTGTGAGTTGAATACCCACAACACAAAGAAGTTACTGAGAATTCTTCTGTCTCGCATTATATGAAGAAATCCCGTTTCCAACGAAGGCCTCAAATACATCCACATATCCAGTTGCTGACTTTACAAACTGAGTGTTTCCAAACTGCTCTATGAAAAGAAAGGTTAAACACTGTGAGTTGAACACACACGTACCAAAGTAGTTTCTGAGAATGATTCTGTCTAGTTTGCATACAAAGATATTTCCTTTTCTACCACTGGCCTCAAAGCTTTGAAATCTCCACTTGCAAATTCCACAAAAAGAGAGTTTCAAATCTGCTGTTTCTAAAGGAAAGTTCAACTCTGAGAGTTGAATACACACCAGAAAAAGCAGTTACTGAGAAGTCTTCTGTCTAGCATTATATGAAGAAATCCCATTTCCAAAGAAGACTTCAAACAGGTCCAAATATCCACTTGCAGATTCTGCAAAAAGAGTGTTTCGAAACAACTGTATGAAAAGAAAGGTTAAACACTGTGAGTTGAACGCACCCATTGCAAAGCATTTTCTGAGAATGATTCCGTCTAATTATTATACGAAGGTATTTCCTTTTCTATCATGGGCCTCAAAGCGCTTGATACCTCCACCTGAAAATTCCACAAAAAGAGTGTTTCCAATCTACTCTGTCTAAATGAACGTTCAACTCTGTGAGTTGAATACACACACACAGAAAGAATTCACTGAGAATTCTTCTGTCTGGCATTACATGAAGAAATCCCGTTTCCAACGAAGGCCTCAAAGAGGTCCAAATATCCACTTGCAGATTCTGCAAAAAGAGTGTTTCAAAACCGCTCTATTAAAAGGAATGTTGAACTCTGTGAGTTGAATGCAAACATCACAACTCAGTTTCTGAGAATGCTTCTGACTAGATTTTATGGTAAGATATTTCCTTTTCTACCGTAGGCTTCAATGCCCTCTAAATACACCCTTGCAAATTCTACAAAGAGACTGTTTAATAACTGCTCTATAGGAAGAAAGGTTGAACTCTGTGAGTTGAATGCAGAGATCACAACGTGGTTTCTGCGAATGATTCTTTGTAGTTTTTACATGAAGATATTTCGTTGTCTACCGTAGGCTTCAAAGCACTCAAAGTATTCACTTGGAACTTTTACAAAAAGAGTGTTAGAAAACTGCTCTTTCCAAAGTAAGGTTCAACTCTGTGAGTTGAATGCACACATAACAAACAAGAAGTTTCTGAGAATCCTTCTGTCCTGGTTTATAGGAAAAAATCCCGTTTCCAACGAAGGCCTCAAAGACGTTTAAATATCCACTTGCAGACTTCACAAACAGAGTGTTTCCAAACTGCTCTATGAAAAGAAAGGTTAAACTCTGTGAGTTGAACGCACACATCACAAAGTAGTTTCTGAGAATGATACTGTCTAGTTTTTATACGGAGATATTTCCTTTCCTTCCATTGGCGTCAAAGCGCTAGAATTCTCCACTTGCAAATTCCACAAAAAGAGTGTTTCCAATCTGCTCTGTCTAAAGGAAGGTTCAACTCTGTGAGTTGAATACACACACACAAAGAAGCTACTGAGAATTCTTTTGTCAAGAATTATAAGAAGAAATCCCGTTTCCAACGAAGGCCTCAAAGAGTTCCAAATATCCACTTGCACACTGTACAAACTAAGTCTTTCCAAACTGCTCTATGCAAAGAAATGTTCAACTCTGTGAGTTTAATGCACACATCACAAAGCAGTTTCTGAGAATGATTCCGTCTAGTTTTTATACGAAGTTAGCCTTTTCTACCATTGGCCTCAAGGCTCTTGAAATCTCCACCTGAAAATTCCGCAAAAAGCGTGTTTCCAATCCGCTCTGTCTAAAGGAAGGTTCAACTCTCTGAGTTGAATACATACATCCCAAAAGAAGTTACTGCGAATTCTTCTGTCTAGCATTATGTGAAGAAATCCCGTTTCCAACGAAAGCCTCCAAGAGGTCCAAATATCCAGTTGCAGAATTTACAAACTGACTGTTTCCAAACTCATCTATGAAAAGGAAGGTTAAACTCTGTGAGTTGAATGCACATATCACAAAGTAGTTCCTGAGAATGATTCTGTCTAGTTTTTATACGAAGATATTTCCTTTTCCACCAATGGCCTCAAAGTGCTTGAAATCTCCCCTTGCAAATTCCACAGAAAAGTGTTTCAAATCTGCACTGTCTAAAGGAAGGTTCAACCCTGTGAGTTGAATACACACACACAGAAAAAAATTCACTGAGAATTCTATTGTCTATCATTACACGAAGAAATCCCGTTTACTACGAAGGCCTCAAAGAGGTCCAAATATCCAGCTGCAGACATTACAAACTGAGTGTTTCCAAAGTGCTCTATGAAAAGAAGTGTTAAACACTGTGAGTTCAATGCACACATCCCAAAGCAGTTTCTGAGAATGATTCCGTCTATTTTTTCTACGAAGATATTTCCTTTTCTACCGTTGGCCTCAAAGCGCTTGAAATCTCCACTTGCAAATTCCACGAAAAGAGAGTTTCAAATCTGCTCTGTCTAAAGGAAGGTTCCACTCTGTGAGTTGAATACACACCACAAAAAGAAGTTACTGAGAATTCTTCTGTCTAGCATTATATGAAAAATCCCGTTTCCAACGAAGGCCCCAAAGAGGTCCAAATATCCACTTGCAGATTCTGCAAAAAGAGTGTCTCCAAACTGCTCTATGAAAAGAAACGTTAAACTCTGTGAGTTGAACGCAAACATCACAAAGTAGTTTCTGAGAATGACTCCGTCTAGTTTTTATACGAAGATATTTCCTTTTCTACCGTTGGCCTCAAAGCGCTTGAAGTCTCCCCCTGAAAATTCCACAAAAAGTGTTTCCAATCTGCTCCGCCTAAAGGAAGCTTCAACTCTGTGAGTTGAATACCCACAACACAAAGAAGTTACTGAGAATTCTTCTGTCTCGCATTATAGGAAGAAATCCCGTTTCCAACGAAGGCCTCAAATACATCCACATATCCAGTGGCTGACTTTACAAACTGAGTGTTTCCAAACTGCTCTATGAAAAGAAAGGTTAAACACTGTGAGTTGAACACACACGTACCAAAGTAGTTTCTGAGAATGATTCTGTCTAGTTTGCATACAAAGATATTTCCTTTTCTACCACTGGCCTCAAAGCTTTGAAATCTCCACTTGCAAATTCCACAAAAAGAGAGTTTCAAATCTGCTGTTCCTAAAGGAAAGTTCAACTCTGAGAGTTGAATACACACCAGAAAAAGCAGTTACTGAGAAGTCTTCTGTCTAGCATTATATGAAGAAATCCCATTTCCAAAGAAGACTTCAAACAGGTCCAAATATCCACTTGCAGATTCTGCAAAAAGAGTGTTTCGAAACAACTGTATGAAAAGAAAGGTTAAACACTGTGAGTTGAACGCACCCATTGCAAAGCATTTTCTGAGAATGATTCCGTCTAATTATTATACGAAGGTATTTCCTTTTCTATCATGGGCCTCAAAGCGCTTGATACCTCCACCTGAAAATTCCACAAAAAGAGTGTTTCCAATCTACTCTGTCTAAAGGAACGTTCAACTCTGTGAGTTGAATACACACACACAGAAAGAATTCACTGAGAATTCTTCTGTCTGGCATTACATGAAGAAATCCCGTTTCCAACGAAGGCCTCAAAGAGGTCCAAATATCCACTTGCAGATTCTGCAAAAAGAGTGTTTCAAAACCGCTCTATTAAAAGGAATGTTGAACTCTGTGAGTTGAATGCAAACATCACAACTCAGTTTCTGAGAATGCTTCTGACTAGATTTTATGGTAAGATATTTCCTTTTCTACCGTAGGCTTCAATGCCCTCTAAATACACCCTTGCAAATTCTACAAAGAGACTGTTTAATAACTGCTCTATAGGAAGAAAGGTTGAACTCTGTGAGTTGAATGCAGAGATCACAACGTGGTTTCTGCGAATGATTCTTTGTAGTTTTTACATGAAGATATTTCGTTGTCTACCGTAGGCTTCAAAGCACTCAAAGTATTCACTTGGAACTTTTACAAAAAGAGTGTTAGAAAACTGCTCTTTCCAAAGTAAGGTTCAACTCTGTGAGTTGAATGCACACATAACAAACAAGAAGTTTCTGAGAATCCTTCTGTCCTGGTTTATATGAAAAAATCCCGTTTCCAACGAAGGCCTCAAAGACGTTTAAATATCCACTTGCAGACTTCACAAACAGAGTGTTTCCAAACTGCTCTATGAAAAGAAAGGTTAAACTCTGTGAGTTGAACGCACACATCACAAAGTAGTTTCTGAGAATGATACTGTCTAGTTTTTATACGAAGATATTTCCTTTCCTACCATTGGCGTCAAAGCGCTAGAATTCTCCACTTGCAAATTCCACAAAAAGAGAGTTTCCAATCTGCTCTGTCTAAAGGAAGGTTCAACTCTGTGAGTTGAATACACACACACAAAGAAGCTACTGAGAATTCTTTTGTCAAGAATTATAAGAAGAAATCCCGTTTCCAACGAAGGCCTCAAAGAGTTCCAAATATCCACTTGCACACTGTACAAACTAAGTCTTTCCAAACTGCTCTATGCAAAGAAATGTTCAACTCTGTGAGTTTAATGCACACATCACAAAGCAGTTTCTGAGAATGATTCCGTCTAGTTTTTATACGAAGATAGCCTTTTCTACCATTGGCCTCAAGGCTCTTGAAATCTCCACCTGAAAATTCCGCAAAAAGCGTGTTTCCAATCCGCTCTGTCTAAAGGAAGGTTCAACTCTCTGAGTTGAATACATACATCCCAAAAGAAGTTACTGCGAATTCTTCTGTCTAGCATTATGTGAAGAAATCCCGTTTCCAACGAAAGCCTCCAAGAGGTCCAAATATCCAGTTGCAGAATTTACAAACTGACTGTTTCCAAACTCATCTATGAAAAGAAAGGTTAAACTCTGTGAGTTGAATGCACATATCACAAAGTAGTTCCTGAGAATGATTCTGTCTAGTTTTTATACGAAGATATTTCCTTTTCCACCAATGGCCTCAAAGTGCTTGAAATCTCCCCTTGCAAATTCCACAGAAAAGTGTTTCAAATCTGCACTGTCTAAAGGAAGGTTCAACCCTGTGAGTTGAATACACACACACAGAAAAAAATTCACTGAGAATTCTATTGTCTATCATTACACGAAGAAATCCCGTTTACTACGAAGGCCTCAAAGAGGTCCAAATATCCAGCTGCAGACATTACAAACTGAGTGTTTCCAAAGTGCTCTATGAAAAGAAGTGTTAAACACTGTGAGTTCAATGCACACATCCCAAAGCAGTTTCTGAGAATGATTCCGTCTATTTTTTCTACGAAGATATTTCCTTTTCTACCGTTGGCCTCAAAGCGCTTGAAATCTCCACTTGCAAATTCCACGAAAAGAGAGTTTCAAATCTGCTCTGTCTAAAGGAAGGTTCCACTCTGTGAGTTGAATACACACCACAAAAAGAAGTTACTGAGAATTCTTCTGTCTAGCATTATATGAAAAATCCCGTTTCCAACGAAGGCCACAAAGAGGTCCAAATATCCACTTGCAGATTCTGCAAAAAGAGTGTCTCCAAACTGCTCTATGAAAAGAAACGTTAAACTCTGTGAGTTGAACGCAAACATCACAAAGTAGTTTCTGAGAATGACTCCGTCTAGTTTTTATACGAAGATATTTCCTTTTCTACCGTTGGCCTCAAAGCGCTTGAAGTCTCCCCCTGAAAATTCCACAAAAAGTGTTTCCAATCTGCTCCGCCTAAAGGAAGCTTCAACTCTGTGAGTTGAATACCCACAACACAAAGAAGTTACTGAGAATTCTTCTGTCTAGCATTATATGAAGAAATCCCGTTTCCAACGAAGGCCTCAAATACATCCAAATATCCAGTGGCTGACTTTACAAACTGAGTGTTTCCAAACTGCTCTATGAAAGGAAAGGTTAAACACTGTGAGTTGAACACACACGTACCAAAGTAGTTTCTGAGAATGATTCTGTCTAGTTGGCATACGAAGATATTTCCTTTTCTACCATTGGCCTCAATGCTTTGAAATCTCCACTTGCAAATTCCACAAAAAGAGAGTTTCATATCTGCTGTTTCTAAAGGAAAGTTCAACTCTGAGAGTTGAATACACACCAGAAAAACCAGTTACTGAGAAGTCTTCTGTCTAGCATTATATGAAGAAATCCCATTTCCAACGAAGACTTCAAAGAGGTCCAAATATCCACTTCCAGATTCCGCAAAAAGGGTGTTTCGAAACAACTGTATGAAAAGAAAGGTTAAACACTGTGAGTTGAAGGCACACATTGCAAAGCAGTTTCTGAGAATGATTCCGTCTAATTATTATACGAAGGTATTTCCTTTTCTATCATGGGCTTCAAAGCGCTTGATACCTCCACCTGAAAATTCCACAAAAAGAGTGTTTCCAATCTACTCTGTCTAAAGGAACGTTCAACTCTGTGAGTTGAATACACACACACAGAAAGAATTCACTGAGAGTTCTTTGTCTGGCATTACATGAAGAAATCCCGTTTCCAACGAAGGCCTCAAAGAGGTCCAAATATCCACTTGCAGATTCTGCAAAAAGAGTGTTTCAAAACCGCTCCATGAAAAGGAATGTTGAACTCTGTGAGTTGAATGCAAACATCACAACTCAGTTTCTGAGAATGCTTCTGACTAGATTTTATGGTCAGATATTTCCTTTTCTACCGTAGGCTTCAATGCCCTCTAAATACACCCTTGCAAATTCTACAAAGAGACTGTTTAATAACTGCTCTATAGGAAGAAAGGTTGAACTCTGTGAGTTGAATGCAGAGATCACAACGTGGTTTCGGCGAATGATTCTTCGGAGTTTTTACATGAAGATATTTCGTTGTCTACCGTAGGCTTCAAAGCACTCAATGTATTCACTTGGAACTTTTACAAAAAGAGTGTTAGAAAACTGCTCTTTCCAAAGTAAGGTTCAACTCTGTGAGTTGAATGCACACATAACAAACAAGAAGTTTCTGAGAATTCTTCTGTCCTGGTTTATATGAAGAAATCCCGTTTCCAACGAAGGCCTCAAAGACGTTTAAATATCCACTTGCAGACTTCACAAACAGAGTGTTTCCAAACTGCTCTATGAAAAGAAAGGGTAAACACTGTGAGTTGAACGCACACATCACAAAGTAGTTTCTGAGAATGATACTGTCTAGTTTTTATACGAAGATATTTCCTTTTGTACCATTGGCCTCATACTGCTAGAATTTTCCACTTGCAAATTCCACAAAAAGAGTGTTTCCAATCTGCTCTGTCTAAAGGAAGGTTCAACTCTGTGAGTTGAGTACACACACACAAAGAAGCTACTGAGAATTCTTTTGTCAAGAATTATAAGAAGAAATCCCGTTTCCAACCAAGGCCTCAAAGAGTTCCAAATATCCACTTGCACACTGCACAAACTAAGTCTTTCCATACTGCTCTATGCAAAGAAATGTTCAAATCTGTGAGTTTAATACACACATCACAAAGCAGTTTCTGAGAATGATACTGTCTAGTTTTTATACGAAGATATTTCCTTTTGTACCATTGGCCTCATACTGCTAGAATTTTCCACTTGCAAATTCCACAAAAAGAGTGTTTCCAATCCGCTCTGTCTAAAGGAAGGTTCAACTCTCTGATTTGAATACATACATCCCAAAAGAAGTTACTGAGAATTCTTCTGTCTAGCATTATGTGAAGAAATCCCGTTTCCAACGAAAGCCTCAAAGAGGCCCAAATATCCAGTTGCAGCATTTACAAACTGACTGTTTCCAAACTCATCTATGAAAAGAAAGGTTAAACTCTGTGAGTTGAATGCACATATCACAAAGTAGTTCCTGAGAATGATTCTGTCTAGTTTTTATACGAAGATATTTCCTTTTCCACCAATGGCCTCAAAGTGCTTGAAATCTCCCCTTGCAAATTCCACAGACAAGTGTCTCAAATCTGCACTGTCTAAAGGAAGGTTCAACCCTGTGAGTTGAATACACACACACAGAAAAAAATTCACTGAGAATTCTATTGTCTATCATTACACGAAGAAATCCCGTTTACTACGAAGGCCTCAAAGAGGTCCAAATATCCAGCTGCAGACATTACAAACTGAGTGTTTCCAAAGTGCTCTATGAAAAGAAGTGTTAAACACTGTGAGTTCAATGCACACATCCCAAAGCAGTTTCTGAGAATGATTCCGTCTATTTTTTCTACGAAGATATTTCCTTTTCTGCCGTTGGCCTCAAAGCGCTTGAAATCTCCACTTGCAAATTCCACAAAAAGAGAGTTTCAAATCTGCTCTGTCTAAAGGAAGGTTCAACTCTGTGAGTTGAATACACACCACAAAAAGAAGTTACTGAGAATTCTTCTGTCTAGCATTATATGAAAAATCCCGTTTCCAACGAAGGCCACAAAGAGGTCCAAATATCCACTTGCAGATTCTGCAAAAAGAGTGTTTCCAAACTGCTCTATGAAAAGAAACGTTAAACTCTGTGAGTTGAACGCAAACATCACAAAGTAGTTTCTGAGAATGACTCCGTCTAGTTTTTATACGAAGATATTTCCTTTCCTACCATTCACTTCAAAGCGCTTGAAGTCTCCCCCTGAAAATTCCACAAAAAGTGTTTCCAATCTGCTCCGCCTAAAGGAAGCTTCAACTCTGTGAGTTGAATACCCACAACCCAAAGAAGTTACTGAGAATTCTTCTGTCTAGCATTATATGAAGAAATCCCGTTTCCAACGAAGGCCTCAAATACATCCAAATATCCAGTTGCTGACTTTACAAACTGAGTGTTTCCAAACTGCTCTATGAAAAGAAAGGTTAAACACTGTGAGTTGAACACACACGTACCAAAGTAGTTTCTGAGAATGATTCTGTCTAGTTTGCATACGAAGATATTTCCTTTTCTACCATTGGCCTCAAAGCTCTGAAATCTCCACTTGCAAATTCCACAAAAAGAGAGTTTCAAATCTGCTGTTTCTAAAGGAAAGTTCAACTCTGAGAGTTGAATACACACCAGAAAAAGCAGTTACTGAGAAGTCTTCTGTCTAGCATTATATGAAGAAATCCCATTTCCAACGAAGACTTCAAAGAGGTCCAAATATCCACTTGCAGATTCTGCAAAAAGAGTGTTTCGAAACAACTGTATGAAAAGAAAGGTTAAACACTGTGAGTTGAACGCACACATTGCAAAGCAGTTTCTGAGAATGATTCCGTCTAATTATTATACGAAGGTATTTCCTTTTCTATCATTGGCCTCAAAGCGCTTGATACCTCCACCTGAAAATTCCACAAAAAGAGTGTTTCCAATCTACTCTGTCTAAAGGAACGTTCAACTCTGTGAGTTGAATACACACACAGAGAAAGAATTCACTGAGAATTCTTCTGTCTGGCATTACATGAAGAAATCCCGTTTCCAACGAAGGCCTCAAAGAGGTCCAAATATCCACTTGCAGATTCTGCAAAAAGAGTGTTTCAAAACCGCTCCATTAAAAGGAATGTTGAACTCTGTGAGTTGAATGGAAACATCACAACTCAGTTGCTGAGAATGCTTCTGACTAGATTTTATGGTAAGATATTTCCTTTTCTACCGTAGGCTTCAATGCCCTCTAAATACACCCTTGCAAATTCTACAAAGAGACTGTTTCATAACTGCTCTATAGGAAGAAAGGTTGAACTCTGTGAGTTGAATGCAGAGATCACAACGTGGTTTCTGCGAATGATTCTTTGTAGTTTTTACATGAAGATATTTCGTTGTCAACCGTAGGCTTCAAAGCACTCAAAGTATTCACTTGGAACTTTTACAAAAAGAGTGTTAGAAAACTGCTCTTTCCAAAGTAAGGTTCAACTCTGTGAGTTGAATGCACACATAACAATCAAGAAGTTTCTGAGAATTCTTCTGTCCTGGTTTATATGAAAAAATCCCGTTTCCAACGAAGGCCTCAAAGACGTTTAAATATCCACTTGCAGACTTCACAAACAGAGGGTTTCCAAACTGCTCTATGAAAAGAAAGGTTAAACTCTGTGAGTTGAACGCACACATCACAAAGTAGCTTCTGAGAATGATACTGTCTAGTATTTATACGAAGATATTTCCTTTCTACCATTGGCGTCAAAGCGCTAGAATTCTCCACTTGCAAATTCCACAAAAAGAGTGTTTCCAATCTGCTCTGTCTAAAGGAAGGTTCAACTCTGTGAGTTGAATACACACACACAAAGAAGCTACTGAGATTTCTTTTTTCAAGAAATTATAAGAAGAAATCCCGTTTCCAACGAAGGCCTCAAAGAGTTCCAAATATCCACTTGCACACTGCACAAACTAAGTCTTTCCAAACTGCTCTATGCAAAGAAATGTTCAACTCTGTGAGTTTAATACACACATCACAAAGCAGTTTCTGAGAATGATACTGTCTAGTTTTTATACGAAGATATTTCCTTTTGTACCATTGGCCTCATACTGCTAGAATTTTCCACTTGCAAATTCCACAAAAAGAGTGTTTCCAATCCGCTCTGTCTAAAGGAAGGTTCAACTCTCTGATTTGAATACATACATCCCAAAAGAAGTTACTGAGAATTCTTCTGTCTAGCATTATGTGAAGAAATCCCGTTTCCAACGAAAGCCTCAAAGAGGTCCAAATATCCAGTTGCAGAATTTACAAACTGACTGTTTCCAAACTCATCTATGAAAAGAAAGGTTAAACTCTGGGAGTTGAATGCACATATCACAAAGTAGTTCCTGAGAATGATTCTGTCTAGTTTTCATACGAAGATATTTCCTTTTCCACCAATGGCCTCAAAGTGCTTGAAATCTCCCCTTGCAAATTCCACAGACAAGTGTTTCAAATCTGCACTGTCTAAAGGAAGGTTCAACCCTGTGAGTTGAATACACACACACAGAAAAAAATTCACTGAGAATTCTATTGTCTATCATTACACGAAGAAATCCCGTTTACCACGAAGGCCTCAAAGAGGTCCAAATATCCAGCTGCAGACATTACAACCTGAGTGTTTCCAAAGTGCTCTATGAAAAGAAGTGTTAAACACTGTGAGTTCAATGCACACATCCCAAAGCAGTTTCTGAGAATGATTCCGTCTATTTTCTCTACGAAGATATTTCCTTTTCTGCCGTTGGCCTCAAAGCGCTTGAAATCTCCACTTGCAAATTCCACAAAAAGAGAGTTTCAAATCTGCTCTGTCTAAAGGAAGGTTCAACTCTGTGAGTTGAATACACACCACAAAAAGAAGTTACTGAGAATTCTTCTGTCTAGCATTATATGAAAAATCCCGTTTCCAACGAAGGCCACAAAGAGGTCCAAATATCCACTTGCAGATTCTGCAAAAAGAGTGTTTCCAAACTGCTCTATGAAAAGAAACGTTAAACTCTGTGAGTTGAACGCAAACATCACAAAGTAGTTTCTGAGAATGACTCCGTCTAGTTTTTATACGAAGATATTTCCTTTCCTACCATTCACTTCAAAGCGCTTGAAGTCTCCCCCTGAAAATTCCACAAAAAGTGTTTCCAATCTGCTCCGCCTAAAGGAAGCTTCAACTCTGTGACTTGAATACCCACAACCCAAAGAAGTTACTGAGAATTCTTCTGTCTAGCATTATATGAAGAAATCCCGTTTCCAACGAAGGCCTCAAATACATCCAAATATCCAGTTGCTGACTTTACAAACTGAGTGTTTCCAAACTGCTCTATGAAAAGAAAGGTTAAACACTGTGAGTTGAACACACACGTACCAAAGTAGTTTCTGAGAATGATTCTGTCTAGTTTGCATACGAAGATATTTCCTTTTCTACCATTGGCCTCAAAGCTCTGAAATCTCCACTTGCAAATTCCACAAAAAGAGAGTTTCAAATCTGCTGTTTCTAAAGGAAAGTTCAACTCTGAGAGTTGAATACACACCAGAAAAAGCAGTTACTGAGAAGTCTTCTGTCTAGCATTATATGAAGAAATCCCATTTCCAACGAAGACTTCAAAGAGGTCCAAATATCCACTTGCAGATTCTGCAAAAAGAGTGTTTCGAAACAACTGTATGAAAAGAAAGGTTAAACACTGTGAGTTGAACGCACACATTGCAAAGCAGTTTCTGAGAATGATTCCGTCTAATTATTATATGAAGGTATTTCCTTTTCTATCATTGGCCTCAAAGCGCTTGATACCTCCACCTGAAAATTCCACAAAAAGAGTGTTTCCAATCTACTCTGTCTAAAGGAACGTTCAACTCTGTGAGTTGAATACACACACACAGAAAGAATTCACTGAGAATTCTTCTGTCTGGCATTACATGAAGAAATCCCGTTTCCAACGAAGGCCTCAAAGAGGTCCAAATATCCACTTGCAGATTCTGCAAAAAGAGTGTTTCAAAACCGCTCCATTAAAAGGAATGTTGAACTCTGTGAGTTGAATGCAAACATCACAACTCAGTTTCTGAGAATGCTTCTGACTAGATTTTATGGTAAGATATTTCCTTTTCTACCGTAGGCTTCAATGCCCTGTAAATACACCCTTGCAAATTCTACAAAGAGACTGCTTCATAACTGCTCTATAGGAGGAAAGGTTCAACTCTGTGAGTTGAATGCAGAGATCACAACGTGGTTTCTGCGAATGATTCTTTGTAGTTTTTACATGAAGATATTTCGTTGTCTACCGTAAGGCTTCAAAGCACTCAAAGTATTCACTTGGAACTTTTACAAAAAGAGTGTTAGAAAACTGCTCTTTCCAAAGTAAGGTTCAACTCTGTGAGTTGAATGCACACATAACAAACAAGAAGTTTCTGAGAGTTCTTCTGTCCTGGTTTATATGAAGAAATCCCGTTTCCAACGAAGGCCTCAAAGACGTTTAAATATCCACTTGCAGACTTCACAAACAGAGTGTTTCCAAACTGCTCTATGAAAAGAAAGGGTAAACACTGTGAGTTGAACGCACACCTCACAAAGTAGTTTCTGAGAATGATACTGTCTAGTTTTTATACGAAGATATTTCCTTTTGTACCATTGGCCTCATACTGCTAGAATTTTCCACTTGCAAATTCCACAAAAAGAGTGTTTCCAATCTGCTCTGTCTAAAGGAAGGTTCAACTCTGTGAGTTGAGTACACACACACAAAGAAGCTACTGAGAATTCTTTTGTCAAGAATTATAAGAAGAAATCCCGTTTCCAACCAAGGCCTCAAAGAGTTCCAAATGTCCACTTGCACACTGCACAAACTAAGTCTTTCCATACTGCTCTATGCAAAGAAATGTTCAACTCTGTGAGTTTAATACACACATCACAAAGCAGTTTCTGAGAATGATACTGTCTAGTTTTTATACGAAGATATTTCCTTTTGTACCATTGGCCTCATACTGCTAGAATTTTCCACTTGCAAATTCCACAAAAAGAGTGTTTCCAATCCGCTCTGTCTAAAGGAAGGTTCAACTCTCTGATTTGAATACATACATCCCAAAAGAAGTTACTGAGAATTCTTCTGTCTAGCATTATGTGAAGAAATCCCGTTTCCAACGAAAGCCTCAAAGAGGCCCAAATATCCAGTTGCAGCATTTACAAACTGACTGTTTCCAAACTCATCTATGAAAAGAAAGGTTAAACTCTGTGAGTTGAATGCACATATCACAAAGTAGTTCCTGAGAATGATTCTGTCTAGTTTTTATACGAAGATATTTCCTTTTCCACCAATGGCCTCAAAGTGCTTGAAATCTCCCCTTGCAAATTCCACAGACAAGTGTCTCAAATCTGCACTGTCTAAAGGAAGGTTCAACCCTGTGAGTTGAATACACACACACAGAAAAAAATTCACTGAGAATTCTATTGTCTATCATTACACGAAGAAATCCCGTTTACTACGAAGGCCTCAAAGAGGTCCAAATATCCAGCTGCAGACATTACAAACTGAGTGTTTCCAAAGTGCTCTATGAAAAGAAGTGTTAAACACTGTGAGTTCAATGCACACATCCCAAAGCAGTTTCTGAGAATGATTCCGTCTATTTTTTCTACGAAGATATTTCCTTTTCTACCGTTGGCCTCAAAGCGCTTGAAATCTCCACTTGCAAATTCCACAAAAAGAGAGTTTCAAATCTGCTCTGTCTAAAGGAAGGTTCAACTCTGTGAGTTGAATACACACCACAAAAAGAAGTTACTGAGAATTCTTCCTGTCTAGCATTATATGAAAAATCCCGTTTCCAACGAAGGCCACAAAGAGGTCCAAATATCCACTTGCAGATTCTGCAAAAAGAGTGTTTCCAAACTGCTCTATGAAAAGAAACGTTAAACTCTGTGAGTTGAACGCAAACATCACAAAGTAGTTTCTGAGAATGACTCCGTCTAGTTTTTATACGAAGATATTTCCTTTCCTACCATTCACTTCAAAGCGCTTGAAGTCTCCCCCTGAAAATTCCACAAAAAGTGTTTCCAATCTGCTCCGCCTAAAGGAAGCTTCAACTCTGTGACTTGAATACCCACAACCCAAAGAAGTTACTGAGAATTCTTCTGTCTAGCATTATATGAAGAAATCCCGTTTCCAACGAAGGCCTCAAATACATCCAAATATCCAGTTGCTGACTTTACAAACTGAGTGTTTCCAAACTGCTCTATGAAAAGAAAGGTTAAACACTGTGAGTTGAACACACACGTACCAAAGTAGTTTCTGAGAATGATTCTGTCTAGTTTGCATACGAAGATATTTCCTTTTCTACCATTGGCCTCAAAGCTCTGAAATCTCCACTTGCAAATTCCACAAAAAGAGAGTTTCAAATCTGCTGCTTCTAAAGGAAAGTTCAACTCTGAGAGTTGAATACACACCAGAAAAAGCAGTTACTGAGAAGTCTTCTGTCTAGCATTATATGAAGAAATCCCATTTCCAACGAAGACTTCAAAGAGGTCCAAATATCCACTTGCAGATTCTGCAAAAAGAGTGTTTCGAAACAACTGTATGAAAAGAAAGGTTAAACACTGTGAGTTGAACGCACACATTGCAAAGCAGTTTCTGAGAATGATTCCGTCTAATTATTATACGAAGGTATTTCCTTTTCTATCATTGGCCTCAAAGCGCTTGATACCTCCACCTGAAAATTCCACAAAAAGAGTGTTTCCAATCTACTCTGTCTAAAGGAACGTTCAACTCTGTGAGTTGAATACACACACACAGAAAGAATTCACTGAGAATTCTTCTGTCTGGCATTACATGAAGAAATCCCGTTTCCAACGAAGGCCTCAAAGAGGTCCAAATATCCACTTGCAGATTCTGCAAAAAGAGTGTTTCAAAACCGCTCCATTAAAAGGAATGTTGAACTCTGTGAGTTGAATGCAAACATCACAACTCAGTTTCTGAGAATGCTTCTGACTAGATTTTATGGTCAGATATTTCCTTTTCTACCGTAGGCCTCAATGCCCTCTAAATACACCCTTGCAAATTCTACAAAGAGACTGTTTAATAACTGCTCTATAGGAAGAAAGGTTGAACTCTGTGAGTTGAATGCAGAGATCACATCGTGGTTTCGGCGAATGATTCTTTGTAGTTTTTACATGAAGATATTTCGTTGTCAACCGTAGGCTTCAAAGCACTCAAAGTATTCACTTGGAACTTTTACAAAAAGAGTGTTAGAAAACTGCTCTTTCCAAAGTAAGGTTCAACTCTGTGAGTTGAATGCACACATAACAATCAAGAAGTTTCTGAGAATTCTTCTGTCCTGGTTTATATGAAAAAATCCCGTTTCCAACGAAGGCCTCAAAGACGTTTAAATATCCACTTGCAGACTTCACAAACAGAGGGTTTCCAAACTGCTCTATGAAAAGAAAGGTTAAACTCTGTGAGTTGAACGCACACATCACAAAGTAGCTTCTGAGAATGATACTGTCTAGTTTTTATACGAAGATATTTCCTTTCTACCATTGGCGTCAAAGCGCTAGAATTCTCCACTTGCAAATTCCACAAAAAGAGTGTTTCCAATCTGCTCTGTCTAAAGGAAGGTTCAACTCTGTGAGTTGAATACACACACACAAAGAAGCTACTGAGAATTCTTTTGTCAAGAATTATAAGAAGAAATCCCGTTTCCAACGAAGGCCTCAAAGAGTTCCAAATATCCACTTGCACACTGCACAAACTAAGTCTTTCCAAACTGCTCTATGCAAAGAAATGTTCAACTCTGTGAGTTTAATACACACATCACAAAGCAGTTTCTGAGAATGATACTGTCTAGTTTTTATACGAAGATATTTCCTTTTGTACCATTGGCCTCATACTGCTAGAATTTTCCACTTGCAAATTCCACAAAAAGAGTGTTTCCAATCCGCTCTGTCTAAAGAAAGGTTCAACTCTCTGATTTGAATACATACATCCCAAAAGAAGTTACTGAGAATTCTTCTGTCTAGCATTATGTGAAGAAATCCCGTTTCCAATGAAAGCCACAAAGAGGTCCAAATATCCAGTTGCAGAATTTACAAACTGACTGTTTCCAAACTCATCTATGAAAAGAAAGGTTAAACTCTGTGAGTTGAATGCACATATCACAAAGTAGTTCCTGAGAATGATTCTGTCTAGTTTTTATACGAAGATATTTCCTTTTCCACCAATGGCCTCAAAGTGCTTGAAATCTCCCCTTGCAAATTCCACAGACAAGTGTTTCAAATCTGCACTGTCTAAAGGAAGGTTCAACCCTGTGAGTTGAATACACACACACAGAAAAAAATTCACTGAGAATTCTTATTGTCTATCATTACACGAAGAAATCCCGTTTACTACGAAGGCCTCAAAGAGGTCCAAATATCCAGCTGCAGACATTACAAACTGAGTGTTTCCAAAGTGCTCTATGAAAAGAAGTGTTAAACACTGTGAGTTCAATGCACACATCCCAAAGCAGTTTCTGAGAATGATTCCGTCTGTTTTTTCTACGAAGATATTTCCTTTTCTACCGTTGGCCTCAAAGCGCTTGAAATCTCCACTTGCAAATTCCACAAAAAGAGAGTTTCAAATCTGCTCTGTCTAAAGGAAGGTTCAACTCTGTGAGTTGAATACACACCACAAAAAGAAGTTACTGAGAATTCTTCTGTCTAGCATTATATGAAAAATCCCGTTTCCAACGAAGGCCACAAAGAGGTCCAAATATCCACTTGCAGATTCTGCAAAAAGAGTGTTTCCAAACTGCTCTATGAAAAGAAACGTTAAACTCTGTGAGTTGAACGCAAACATCACAAAGTAGTTTCTGAGAATGACTCCGTCTAGTTTTTATACGAAGATATTTCCTTTCCTACCATTCACTTCAAAGCGCTTGAAGTCTCCCCCTGAAAATTCCACAAAAAGTGTTTCCAATCTGCTCCGCCTAAAGGAAGCTTCAACTCTGTGACTTGAATACCCACAACCCAAAGAAGTTACTGAGAATTCTTCTGTCTAGCATTATATGAAGAAATCCCGTTTCCAACGAAGGCCTCAAATACATCCAAATATCCAGTTGCTGACTTTACAAACTGAGTGTTTCCAAACTGCTCTATGAAAAGAAAGGTTAAACACTGTGAGTTGAACACACACGTACCAAAGTAGTTTCTGAGAATGATTCTGTCTAGTTTGCATACAAAGATATTTCCTTTTCTACCACTGGCCTCAAAGCTTTGAAATCTCCACTTGCAAATTCCACAAAAAGAGAGTTTCAAATCTGCTGTTCCTAAAGGAAAGTTCAACTCTGAGAGTTGAATACACACCAGAAAAAGCAGTTACTGAGAAGTCTTCTGTCTAGCATTATATGAAGAAATCCCATTTCCAACGAAGACTTCAAAGAGGTCCAAATATCCACTTGCAGATTCTGCAAAAAGAGTGTTTCGAAACAACTGTATGAAAAGAAAGGTTAAACACTGTGAGTTGAACGCACACATTGCAAAGCAGTTTCTGAGAATGATTCCGTCTAATTATTATACAAAGGTATTTCTTTTTCTATCATTGGCCTCAAAGCGCTTGATACCTCCATCTGAAAATTCCACAAAAAGAGTGTTTCCAATCTACTCTGTCTAAAGGAACGTTCAACTCTGTGAGTTGAATACACACACACAGAAAGAATTCACTGAGAATTCTTCTGTCTGGCATTACATGAAGAAATCCCGTTTCCAACGAAGGCCTCAAAGAGGTCCAAATATCCACTTGCAGATTCTGCAAAAAGAGTGTTTCAAAACCGCTCCATTAAAAGGAATGTTGAACTCTGTGAGTTGAATGCAAACATCACAACTCAGTTGCTGAGAATGCTTCTGACTAGATTTTATGGTAAGATATTTCCTTTTATACCGTAGGCTTCAATGCCCTCTAAATACACCCTTGCAAATTCTACAAAGAGACTGTTTCATAACTGCTCTATAGGAAGAAAGGTTCAACTCTGTGAGTTGAATGCAGAGATCACAACGTGGTTTCTGCGAATGATTCTTTGTAGTTTTTACATGAAGATATTTCGTTGTCAACCGTAGGCTTCAAAGCACTCAAAGTATTCACTTGGAACTTTTACAAAAAGAGTGTTAGAAAACTGCTCTTTCCAAAGTAAGGTTCAACTCTGTGAGTTGAATGCACACATAACAATCAAGAAGTTTCTGAGAATTCTTCTGTCCTGGTTTATATGAAAAAATCCCGTTTCCAACGAAGGCCTCAAAGACGTTTAAATATCCACTTGCAGACTTCACAAACAGAGGGTTTCCAAACTGCTCTATGAAAAGAAAGGTTAAACTCTGTGAGTTTAATACACACATCACAAAGCAGTTTCTGAGAATGATACTGTCTAGTTTTTATACGAAGATATTTCCTTTTGTACCATTGGCCTCATACTGCTAGAATTTTCCACTTGCAAATTCCACAAAAAGAGTGTTTCCAATCCGCTCTGTCTAAAGGAAGGTTCAACTCTCTGATTTGAATACATACATCCCAAAAGAAGTTACTGAGAATTCTTCTGTCTAGCATTATGTGAAGAAATCCCGTTTCCAACGAAAGCCTCAAAGAGGTCCAAATATCCAGTTGCAGAATTTACAAACTGACTGTTTCCAAACTCATCTATGAAAAGAAAGGTTAAACTCTGGGAGTTGAATGCACATATCACAAAGTAGTTCCTGAGAATGATTCTGTCTAGTTTTCATACGAAGATATTTCCTTTTCCACCAATGGCCTCAAAGTGCTTGAAATCTCCCCTTGCAAATTCCACAGACAAGTGTTTCAAATCTGCACTGTCTAAAGGAAGGTTCAACCCTGTGAGTTGAATACACACACACAGAAAAAAATTCACTGAGAATTCTATTGTCTATCATTACACGAAGAAATCCCGTTTACTACGAAGGCCTCAAAGAGGTCCAAATATCCAGCTGCAGACATTACAAACTGAGTGTTTCCAAAGTGCTCTATGAAAAGAAGTGTTAAACACTGTGAGTTCAATGCACACATCCCAAAGCAGTTTCTGAGAATGATTCCGTCTATTTTTTCTACGAAGATATTTCCTTTTCTGCCGTTGGCCTCAAAGCGCTTGAAATCTCCACTTGCAAATTCCACAAAAAGAGAGTTTCAAATCTGCTCTGTCTAAAGGAAGGTTCAACTCTGTGAGTTGAATACACACCACAAAAAGAAGTTACTGAGAATTCTTCTGTCTAGCATTATATGAAAAATCCCGTTTCCAACGAAGGCCACAAAGAGGTCCAAATATCCACTTGCAGATTCTGCAAAAAGAGTGTTTCCAAACTGCTCTATGAAAAGAAACGTTAAACTCTGTGAGTTGAACGCAAACATCACAAAGTAGTTTCTGAGAATGACTCCGTCTAGTTTTTATACGAAGATATTTCCTTTCCTACCATTCACTTCAAAGCGCTTGAAGTCTCCCCCTGAAAATTCCACAAAAAGTGTTTCCAATCTGCTCCGCCTAAAGGAAGCTTCAACTCTGTGACTTGAATACCCACAACCCAAAGAAGTTACTGAGAATTCTTCTGTCTAGCATTATCTGAAGAAATCCCGTTTCCAACGAAGGCCTCAAATACATCCAAATATCCAGTTGCTGACTTTACAAACTGAGTGTTTCCAAACTGCTCTATGAAAAGAAAGGTTAAACACTGTGAGTTGAACACACACGTACCAAAGTAGTTTCTGAGAATGATTCTGTCTAGTTTGCATACGAAGATATTTCCTTTTCTACCATTGGCCTCAAAGCTTTGAAATCTCCACTTGCAAATTCCACAAAAAGAGAGTTTCAACTCTGCTGTTTCTAAAGGAAAGTTCAACTCTGAGAGTTGAATACACACCAGAAAAAGCAGTTACTGAGAAGTCTTCTGTCTAGCATTATATGAAGAAATCCCATTTCCAACGAAGACTTCAAAGAGGTCCAAATATCCACTTGCAGATTCTGCAAAAAGAGTGTTTCGAAACAACTGTATGAAAAGAAAGGTTAAACACTGTGAGTTGAACGCACACATTGCAAAGCAGTTTCTGAGAATGATTCCGTCTAATTATTATACGAAGGTATTTCCTTTTCTATCATTGGCCTCAAAGCGCTTGATACCTCCACCTGAAAATTCCACAAAAAGAGTGTTTCCAATCTACTCTGTCTAAAGGAACGTTCAACTCCGTGAGTTGAATACACACACACAGAAAGAATTCACTGAGAATTCTTCTGTCTGGCATTACATGAAGAAATCCCGTTTCCAACGAAGGCCTCAAAGAGGTCCAAATATCCACTTGCAGATTCTGCAAAAAGAGTGTTTCAAAACCGCTCCATTAAAAGGAATGTTGAACTCTGTGAGTTGAATGCAAACATCACAACTCAGTTTCTGAGAATGCTTCTGACTAGATTTTATGGTAAGATATTTCCTTTTCTACCGTAGGCTTCAATGCCCTGTAAATACTCCCTTGCAAATTCTACAAAGAGACTGTTTCATAACTGCTCTACAGGAGGAAAGGTTCAACTCTGTGAGTTGAATGCAGAGATCACAACGTGGTTTCTGCGAATGATTCTTTGTAGTTTTTACATGAAGATATTTCGTTGTCTACCGTAGGCTTCAAAGCACTCAAAGTATTCACTTGGAACTTTTACAAAAAGAGTGTTAGAAAACTGCTCTTTCCAAAGTAAGGTTCAACTCTGTGAGTTGAATGCACACATAACAAACAAGAAGTTTCTGAGAATTCTTCTGTCCTGGTTTATATGAAGAAATCCCGTTTCCAACGAAGGCCTCAAAGACGTTTAAATATCCACTTGCAGACTTCACAAACAGAGTGTTTCCAAACTGCTCTATGAAAAGAAAGGGTAAACACTGTGAGTTGAACGCACACCTCACAAAGTAGTTTCTGACAATGATACTGTCTAGTTTTTATACGAAGATATTTCCTTTTGTACCATTGGCCTCATACTGCTAGAATTTTCCACTTGCAAATTCCACAAAAAGAGTGTTTCCAATCTGCTCTGTCTAAAGGAAGGTTCAACTCTGTGAGTTGAGTACACACACACAAAGAAGCTACTGAGAATTCTTTTGTCAAGAATTATAAGAAGAAATACCGTTTCCAACCAAGGCCTCAAAGAGTTCCAAATATCCACTTGCACACTGCACAAACTAAGTCTTTCCATATTGCTCTATGCAAAGAAATGTTCAAATCTGTGAGTTTAATACACACATCACAAAGCAGTTTCTGAGAATGATACTGTCTAGTTTTTATACGAAGATATTTCCTTTTGTACCATTGGCCTCATACTGCTAGAATTTTCCACTTGCAAATTCCACAAAAAGAGTGTTTCCAATCCGCTCTGTCTAAAGGAAGGTTCAACTCTCTGATTTGAATACATACATCCCAAAAGAAGTTACTGAGAATTCTTCTGTCTAGCATTATGTGAAGAAATCCCGTTTCCAACGAAAGCCTCAAAGAGGCCCAAATATCCAGTTGCAGCATTTACAAACTGACTGTTTCCAAACTCATCTATGAAAAGAAAGGTTAAACTCTGTGAGTTGAATGCACATATCACAAAGTAGTTCCTGAGAATGATTCTGTCTAGTTTTTATACGAAGATATTTCCTTTTCCACCAATGGCCTCAAAGTGCTTGAAATCTCCCCTTGCAAATTCCACAGACAAGTGTCTCAAATCTGCACTGTCTAAAGGAAGGTTCAACCCTGTGAGTTGAATACACACACACAGAAAAAAATTCACTGAGAATTCTATTGTCTATCATTACACGAAGAAATCCCGTTTACTACGAAGGCCTCAAAGAGGTCCAAATATCCAGCTGCAGACATTACAAACTGAGTGTTTCCAAAGTGCTCTATGAAAAGAAGTGTTAAACACTGTGAGTTCAATGCACACATCCCAAAGCAGTTTCTGAGAATGATCCGTCTATTTTTTCTACGAAGATATTTCCTTTTCTGCCGTTGGCCTCAAAGCGCTTGAAATCTCCACTTGCAAATTCCACAAAAAGAGAGTTTCAAATCTGCTCTGTCTAAAGGAAGGTTCAACTCTGTGAGTTGAATACACACCACAAAAAGAAGTTACTGAGAATTCTTCTGTCTAGCATTATATGAAAAATCCCGTTTCCAACGAAGGCCACAAAGAGGTCCAAATATCCACTTGCAGATTCTGCAAAAAGAGTGTTTCCAAACTGCTCTATGAAAAGAAACGTTAAACTCTGTGAGTTGAACGCAAACATCACAAAGTAGTTTCTGAGAATGACTCCGTCTAGTTTTTATACGAAGATATTTCCTTTCCTACCATTCACTTCAAAGCGCTTGAAGTCTCCCCCTGAAAATTCCACAAAAAGTGTTTCCAATCTGCTCCGCCTAAAGGAAGCTTCAACTCTGTGAGTTGAATACCCACAACCCAAAGAAGTTACTGAGAATTCTTCTGTCTAGCACTATATGAAGAAATCCCGTTTCCAACGAAGGCCTCAAATACATCCAAATATCCAGTTGCTGACTTTACAAACTGAGTGTTTCCAAACTGCTCTATGAAAAGAAAGGTTAAACACTGTGAGTTGAACACACACGTACCAAAGTAGTTTCTGAGAATGATTCTGTCTAGTTTGCATACGAAGATATTTCCTTTTCTACCATTGGCCTCAAAGCTCTGAAATCTCCACTTGCAAATTCCACAAAAAGAGAGTTTCAACTCTGCTGTTTCTAAAGGAAAGTTCAACTCTGAGAGTTGAATACACACCAGAAAAAGCAGTTACTGAGAAGTCTTCTGTCTAGCATTATATGAAGAAATCCCATTTCCAACGAAGACTTCAAAGAGGTCCAAATATCCACTTGCAGATTCTGCAAAAAGAGTGTTTCGAAACAACTGTATGAAAAGAAAGGTTAAACACTGTGAGTTGAACGCACACATTGCAAAGCAGTTTCTGAGAATGATTCCGTCTAATTATTATACGAAGGTATTTCCTTTTCTATCATTGGCCTCAAAGCGCTTGATACCTCCACCTGAAAATTCCACAAAAAGAGTGTTTCCAATCTACTCTGTCTAAAGGAACGTTCAACTCTGTGAGTTGAATACACACACACAGAAAGAATTCACTGAGAATTCTTCTGTCTGGCATTACATGAAGAAATCCCGTTTCCAACGAAGGCCTCAAAGAGGTCCAAATATCCACTTGCAGATTCTGCAAAAAGAGTGTTTCAAAACCGCTCCATTAAAAGGAATGTTGAACTCTGTGAGTTGAATGCAAACATCACAACTCAGTTGCTGAGAATGCTTCTGACTAGATTTTATGGTAAGATATTTCCTTTTCTACCGTAGGCTTCAATGCCCTCTAAATACACCCTTGCAAATTCTACAAAGAGACTGTTTCATAACTGCTCTACAGGAAGAAAGGTTCAACTCTGTGAGTTGAATGCAGAGATCACAACGTGGTTTCAGCGAATGATTCTTTGTAGTTTTTACATGAAGATATTTCGTTGTCAACCGTAGGCTTCAAAGCACTCAAAGTATTCACTTGGAACTTTTACAAAAAGAGTGTTAGAAAACTGCTCTTTCCAAAGTAAGGTTCAACTCTGTGAGTTGAATGCACACATAACAATTAAGAAGTTTCTGAGAATTCTTCTGTCCTGGTTTATATGAAAAAATCCCGTTTCCAACAAAGGCCACAAAGACGTTTAAATATCCACTTGCAGACTTCACAAACAGAGTGTTTCCAAACTGCTCTATGAAAAGAAAGGTTAAACTCTGTGAGTTGAACGCACACATCACAAAGTAGCTTCTGAGAATGATACTGTCTAGTTTTTATACGAAGATATTTCCTTTCTACCATTGGCGTCAAAGCGCTAGAATTCTCCACTTGCAAATTCCACAAAAAGAGTGTTTCCAATCTGCTCTGTCTAAAGGAAGGTTCAACTCTGTGAGTTGAATACACACACACAAAGAAGCTACTGAGAATTCTTTTGTCAAGAATTATAAGAAGAAATCCCGTTTCCAACGAAGGCCTCAAAGAGTTCCAAATATCCACTTGCACACTGCACAAACTAAGTCTTTCCAAACTGCTCTATGCAAAGAAATGTTCAACTCTGTGAGTTTAATACACACATCACAAAGCAGTTTCTGAGAATGATACTGTCTAGTTTTTATACGAAGATATTTCCTTTTGTACCATTGGCCTCATACTGCTAGAATTTTCCACTTGCAAATTCCACAAAAAGAGTGTTTCCAATCCGCTCTGTCTAAAGGAAGGTTCAACTCTCTGATTTGAATACATACATCCCAAAAGAAGTTACTGAGAATTCTTCTGTCTAGCATTATGTGAAGAAATCCCGTTTCCAACGAAAGCCTCAAAGAGGTCCAAATATCCAGTTGCAGAATTTACAAACTGACTGTTTCCAAACTCATCTATGAAAAGGAAGGTTAAACTCTGTGAGTTGAATGCACATATCACAAAGTAGTTCCTGAGAATGATTCTGTCTAGTTTTCATACGAAGATATTTCCTTTTCCACCAATGGCCTCAAAGTGCTTGAAATCTCCCCTTGCAAATTCCACAGACAAGTGTTTCAAATCTGCACTGTCTAAAGGAAGGTTCAACCCTGTGAGTTGAATACACACACACAGAAAAAAATTCACTGAGAATTCTATTGTCTATCATTACACGAAGAAATCCCGTTTACTACGAAGGCCTCAAAGAGGTCCAAATATCCAGCTGCAGACATTACAAACTGAGTGTTTCCAAAGTGCTCTATGAAAAGAAGTGTTAAACACTGTGAGTTCAATGCACACATCCCAAAGCAGTTTCTGAGAATGATTACGTCTATTTTTTCTACGAAGATATTTCCTTTTCTGCCGTTGGCCTCAAAGCGCTTGAAATCTCCACTTGCAAATTCCACAAAAAGAGAGTTTCAAATCTGCTCTGTCTAAAGGAAGGTTCAACTCTGTGAGTTGAATACACACCACAAAAAGAAGTTACTGAGAATTCTTCTGTCTAGCATTATATGAAAAATCCCGTTTCCAACGAAGGCCACAAAGAGGTCCAAATATCCACTTGCAGATTCTGCAAAAAGAGTGTTTCCAAACTGCTCTATGAAAAGAAACGTTAAACTCTGTGAGTTGAACGCAAACATCACAAAGTAGTTTCTGAGAATGACTCCGTCTAGTTTTTATACGAAGATATTTCCTTTCCTACCATTCACTTCAAAGCGCTTGAAGTCTCCCCCTGAAAATTCCACAAAAAGTGTTTCCAATCTGCTCCGCCTAAAGGAAGCTTCAACTCTGTGACTTGAATACCCACAACCCAAAGAAGTTACTGAGAATTCTTCTGTCTAGCATTATATGAAGAAATCCCGTTTCCAACGAAGGCCTCAAATACATCCAAATATCCAGTTGCTGACTTTACAAACTGAGTGTTTCCAAACTGCTCTATGAAAAGAAAGGTTAAACACTGTGAGTTGAACACACACGTACCAAAGTAGTTTCTGAGAATGATTCTGTCTAGTTTGCATACGAAGATATTTCCTTTTCTACCATTGGCCTCAAAGCTCTGAAATCTCCACTTGCAAATTCCACAAAAAGAGAGTTTCAAATCTGCTGTTTCTAAAGGAAAGTTCAACTCTGAGAGTTGAATACACACCAGAAAAAGCAGTTACTGAGAAGTCTTCTGTCTAGCATTATATGAAGAAATCCCATTTCCAACGAAGACTTCAAAGAGGTCCAAATATCCACTTGCAGATTCTGCAAAAAGAGTGTTTCGAAACAACTGTATGAAAAGAAAGGTTAAACACTGTGAGTTGAACGCACACATTGCAAAGCAGTTTCTGAGAATGATTCCGTCTAATTATTATACGAAGGTATTTCCTTTTCTATCATTGGCCTCAAAGCGCTTGATACCTCCACCTGAAAATTCCACAAAAAGAGTGTTTCCAATCTACTCTGTCTAAAGGAACGTTCAACTCTGTGAGTTGAATACACACACACAGAAAGAATTCACTGAGAATTCTTCTGTCTGGCATTACATGAAGAAATCCCGTTTCCAACGAAGGCCTCAAAGAGGTCCAAATATCCACTTGCAGATTCTGCAAAAAGAGTGTTTCAAAACCGCTCCATTAAAAGGAATGTTGAACTCTGTGAGTTGAATGCAAACATCACAACTCAGTTTCTGAGAATGCTTCTGACTAGATTTTATGGTAAGATATTTCCTTTTCTACCGTAGGCTTCAATGCCCTGTAAATACACCCTTGCAAATTCTACAAAGAGACTGTTTCATAACTGCTCTATAGGAGGAAAGGTTCAACTCTGTGAGTTGAATGCAGAGATCACAACGTGGTTTCTGCGAATGATTCTTTGTAGTTTTTACATGAAGATATTTCGTTGTCTACCGTAGGCTTCAAAGCACTCAAAGTATTCACTTGGAACTTTTACAAAAAGAGTGTTAGAAAACTGCTCTTTCCAAAGTAAGGTTCAACTCTGTGAGTTGAATGCACACATAACAAACAAGAAGTTTCTGAGAATTCTTCTGTCCTGGTTTATATGAAGAAATCCCGTTTCCAACGAAGGCCTCAAAGACGTTTAAATATCCACTTGCAGACTTCACAAACAGAGTGTTTCCAAACTGCTCTATGAAAAGAAAGGGTAAACACTGTGAGTTGAACGCACACATCACAAAGTAGTTTCTGAGAATGATACTGTCTAGTTTTTATACGAAGATATTTCCTTTTGTACCATTGGCCTCATACTGCTAGAATTTTCCACTTGCAAATTCCACAAAAAGAGTGTTTCCAATCTGCTCTGTCTAAAGGAAGGTTCAACTCTGTGAGTTGGGTACACACACACAAAGAAGCTACTGAGAATTCTTTTGTCAAGAATTATAAGAAGAAATCCCGTTTCCAACCAAGGCCTCAAAGAGTTCCAAATATCCACTTGCACACTGCACAAACTAAGTCTTTCCATACTGCTCTATGCAAAGAAATGTTCAAATCTGTGAGTTTAATACACACATCACAAAGCAGTTTCTGAGAATGATACTGTCTAGTTTTTATACGAAGATATTTCCTTTTGTACCATTGACCTCATACTGCTAGAATTTTCCACTTGCAAATTCCACAAAAAGAGTGTTTCCAATCCGCTCTGTCTAAAGGAAGGTTCAACTCTCTGATTTGAATACATACATCCCAAAAGAAGTTACTGAGAATTCTTCTGTCTAGCATTATGTGAAGAAATCCCGTTTCCAACGAAAGCCTCAAAGAGGCCCAAATATCCAGTTGCAGCATTTACAAACTGACTGTTTCCAAACTCATCTATGAAAAGAAAGGTTAAACTCTGTGAGTTGAATGCACATATCACAAAGTAGTTCCTGAGAATGATTCTGTCTAGTTTTTATACGAAGATATTTCCTTTTCCACCAATGGCCTCAAAGTGCTTGAAATCTCCCCTTGCAAATTCCACAGACAAGTGTCTCAAATCTGCACTGTCTAAAGGAAGGTTCAACCCTGTGAGTTGAATACACACACACAGAAAAAAATTCACTGAGAATTCTATTGTCTATCATTACACGAAGAAATCCCGTTTACTACGAAGGCCTCAAAGAGGTCCAAATAACCAGCTGCAGACATTACAAACTGAGTGTTTCCAAAGTGCTCTATGAAAAGAAGTGTTAAACACTGTGAGTTCAATGCACACATCCCAAAGCAGTTTCTGAGAATGATTCCGTCTATTTTTTCTACGAAGATATTTCCTTTTCTACCGTTGGCCTCAAAGCGCTTGAAATCTCCACTTGCAAATTCCACAAAAAGAGAGTTTCAAATCTGCTCTGTCTAAAGGAAGGTTCAACTCTGTGAGTTGAATACACACCACAAAAAGAAGTTACTGAGAATTCTTCTGTCTAGCATTATATGAAAAATCCCGTTTCCAACGAAGGCCACAAAGAGGTCCAAATATCCACTTGCAGATTCTGCAAAGAGTGTTTCCAAACTGCTCTATGAAAAGAAACGTTAAACTCTGTGAGTTGAACGCAAACATCGCAAAGTAGTTTCTGAGAATGACTCCGTCTAGTTTTTATACGAAGATATTTCCTTTTCTACCATTCACTTCAAAGCGCTTGAAGTCTCCCCCTGAAAATTCCACAAAAAGTGTTTCCAATCTGCTCCGCCTAAAGGAAGCTTCAACTCTGTGAGTTGAATACCCACAACCCAAAGAAGTTACTGAGAATTCTTCTGTCTAGCACTATATGAAGAAATCCCGTTTCCAACGAAGGCCTCAAATACATCCAAATATCCAGTTGCTGACTTTACAAACTGAGTGTTTCCAAACTGCTCTATGAAAAGAAAGGTTAAACACTGTGAGTTGAACACACACGTACCAAAGTAGTTTCTGAGAATGATTCTGTCTAGTTTGCATACGAAGATATTTCCTTTTCTACCATTGGCCTCAAAGCTCTGAAATCTCCACTTGCAAATTCCACAAAAAGAGAGTTTCAAATCTGCTGTTTCTAAAGGAAAGTTCAACTCTGAGAGTTGAATACACACCAGAAAAAGCAGTTACTGAGAAGTCTTCTGTCTAGCATTATATGAAGAAATCCCATTTCCAACGAAGACTTCAAAGAGGTCCAAATATCCACTTGCAGATTCTGCAAAAAGAGTGTTTCGAAACAACTGTATGAAAAGAAAGGTTAAACACTGTGAGTTGAACGCACACATTGCAAAGCGGTTTCTGAGAATGATTCCGTCTAATTATTATACGAAGGTATTTCCTTTTCTATCATTGGCCTCAAAGCGCTTGATACCTCCACCTGAAAATTCCACAAAAAGAGTGTTTCCAATCTACTCTGTCTAAAGGAACGTTCAACTCTGTGAGTTGAATACACACACACAGAAAGAATTCACTGAGAATTCTTCTGTCTGGCATTACATGAAGAAATCCCGTTTCCAACGAAGGCCTCAAAGAGGTCCAAATATCCACTTGCAGATTCTGCAAAAAGAGTGTTTCAAAACCGCTCCATTAAAAGGAATGTTGAACTCTGTGAGTTGAATGCAAACATCACAACTCAGTTTCTGAGAATGCTTCTGACTAGATTTTATGGTAAGATATTTCCTTTTCTACCGTAGGCTTCAATGCCCTCTAAATACACCCTTGCAAATTCTACAAAGAGACTGTTTCATAACTGCTCTATAGGAAGAAAGGTTGAACTCTGTGAGTTGAATGCAGAGATCACAACGTGGTTTCTGCGAATGATTCTTTGTAGTTTTTACATGAAGATATTTCGTTGTCAACCGTAGGCTTCAAAGCACTCAAAGTATTCACTTGGAACTTTTACAAAAAGAGTGTTAGAAAACTGCTCTTTCCAAAGTAAGGTTCAACTCTGTGAGTTGAATGCACACATAACAATCAAGAAGTTTCTGAGAATTCTTCTGTCCTGGTTTATATGAAAAAATCCCGTTTCCAACGAAGGCCTCAAAGACGTTTAAATATCCACTTGCAGACTTCACAAACAGAGGGTTTCCAAACTGCTCTATGAAAAGAAAGGTTAAACTCTGTGAGTTGAACGCACACATCACAAAGTAGCTTCTGAGAATGATACTGTCTAGTTTTTATACGAAGATATTTCCTTTCTACCATTGGCGTCAAAGCGCTAGAATTCTCCACTTGCAAATTCCACAAAAAGAGTGTTTCCAATCTGCTCTGTCTAAAGGAAGGTTCAACTCTGTGAGTTGAATACACACACACAAAGAAGCTACTGAGAATTCTTTTGTCAAGAATTATAAGAAGAAATCCCGTTTCCAACGAAGGCCTCAAAGAGTTCCAAATATCCACTTGCACACTGCACAAACTAAGTCTTTCCAAACTGCTCTATGCAAAGAAATGTTCAACTCTGTGAGTTTAATACGCACATCACAAAGCAGTTTCTGAGAATGATTACTGTCTAGTTTTTATACGAAGAATATTTCCTTTTGTACCATTGGCCTCATACTGCTAGAATTTTCCACTTGCAAATTCCACAAAAAGAGTGTTTCCAATCCGCTCTGTCTAAAGGAAGGTTCAACTCTCTGATTTGAATACATACATCCCAAAAGAAGTTACTGAGAATTCTTCTGTCTAGCATTATGTGAAGTAAATCCCGTTTCCAACGAAAGCCTCAAAGAGGTCCAAATATCCAGTTGCAGAATTTACAAACTGACTGTTTCCAAACTCATCTATGAAAAGAAAGGTTAAACTCTGGGAGTTGAATGCACATATCACAAAGTAGTTCCTGAGAATGATTCTGTCTAGTTTTCATACGAAGATATTTCCTTTTCCACCAATGGCCTCAAAGTGCTTGAAATCTCCCCTTGCAAATTCCACAGACAAGTGTTTCAAATCTGCACTGTCTAAAGGAAGGTTCAACCCTGTGAGTTGAATACACACACACAGAAAAAAATTCACTGAGAATTCTATTGTCTATCATTACACGAAGAAATCCCGTTTACTACGAAGGCCTCAAAGAGGTCCAAATATCCAGCTGCAGACATTACAAACTGAGTGTTTCCAAAGTGCTCTATGAAAAGAAGTGTTAAACACTGTGAGTTCAATGTACACATCCCAAAGCTGTTTACTGAGAATGATTCCGTCTATTTTTTCTACGAAGATATTTCCTTTTCTGCCGTTGGCCTCAAAGCGCTTGAAATCTCCACTTGCAAATTCCACAAAAAGAGAGTTTCAAATCTGCTCTGTCTAAAGGAAGGTTCAACTCTGTGAGTTGAATACACACCACAAAAAGAAGTTACTGAGAATTCTTCTGTCTAGCATTATATGAAAAATCCCGTTTCCAACGAAGGCCACAAAGAGGTCCAAATATCCACTTGCAGATTCTGCAAAAAGAGTGTTTCCAAACTGCTCTATGAAAAGAAACGTTAAACTCTGTGAGTTGAACGCAAACATCACAAAGTAGTTTCTGAGAATGACTCCGTCTAGTTTTTATACGAAGATATTTCCTTTCCTACCATTCACTTCAAAGCGCTTGAAGTCTCCCCCTGAAAATTCCACAAAAAGTGTTTCCAATCTGCTCCGCCTAAAGGAAGCTTCAACTCTGTGACTTGAATACCCACAACCCAAAGAAGTTACTGAGAATTCTTCTGTCTAGCATTATATGAAGAAATCCCGTTTCCAACGACGGCCTCAAATACATCCAAATATCCAGTTGCTGACTTTACAAACTGAGTGTTTCCAAACTGCTCTATGAAAAGAAAGGTTAAACACTGTGAGTTGAACACACACGTACCAAAGTAGTTTCTGAGACTGATTCTGTCTAGTTTGCATACGAAGATATTTCCTTTTCTACCATTGGCCTCAAAGCTCTGAAATCTCCACTTGCAAATTCCACAAAAAGAGAGTTTCAAATCTGCTGTTTCTAAAGGAAAGTTCAACTCTGAGCGTTGAATACACACCAGAAAAAGCAGTTACTGAGAAGTCTTCTGTCTAGCATTATATGAAGAAATCCCATTTCCAACGAAGACTTCAAAGAGGTCCAAATATCCACTTGCAGATTCTGCAAAAAGAGTGTTTCGAAACAACTGTATGAAAAGAAAGGTTAAACACTGTGAGTTGAACGCACACATTGCAAAGCAGTTTCTGAGAATGATTCCGTCTAATTATTATACGAAGGTATTTCCTTTTCTATCATTGGCCTCAAAGCGCTTGATACCTCCACCTGAAAATTCCACAAAAAGAGTGTTTCCAATCTACTCTGTCTAAAGGAACGTTCAACTCTGTGAGTTGAATACACACACACAGAAAGAATTCACTGAGAATTCTTCTGTCTGGCATTACATGAAGAAATCCCGTTTCCAACGAAGGCCTCAAAGAGGTCCAAATATCCACTTGCAGATTCTGCAAAAAGAGTGTTTCAAAACCGCTCCATTAAAAGGAATGTTGAACTCTGTGAGTTGAATGCAAACATCACAACTCAGTTGCTGAGAATGCTTCTGACTAGATTTTATGGTAAGATATTTCCTTTTCTACCGTAGGCTTCAATGCCCTCTAAATACACCCTTGCAAATTCTACAAAGAGACTGTTTCATAACTGCTCTATAGGAAGAAAGGTTCAACTCTGTGAGTTGAATGCAGAGATCACAACGTGGTTTCTGCGAATGATTCTTTGTAGTTTTTACATGAAGATATTTCGTTGTCAACCGTAGGCTTCAAAGCACTCAAAGTATTCACTTGGAACTTTTACAAAAAGAGTGTTAGAAAACTGCTCTTTCCAAAGTAAGGTTCAACTCTGTGAGTTGAATGCACACATAACAATCAAGAAGTTTCTGAGAATTCTTCTGTCCTGGTTTATATGAAAAAATCCCGTTTCCAACGAAGGCCTCAAAGACGTTTAAATATCCACTTGCAGACTTCACAAACAGAGGGTTTCCAAACTGCTCTATGAAAAGAAAGGTTAAACTCTGTGAGTTTAATACACACATCACAAAGCAGTTTCTGAGAATGATACTGTCTAGTTTTTATACGAAGATATTTCCTTTTGTACCATTGGCCTCATACTGCTAGAATTTTCCACTTGCAAATTCCACAAAAAGAGTGTTTCCAATCCGCTCTGTCTAAAGGAAGGTTCAACTCTCTGATTTGAATACATACATCCCAAAAGAAGTTACTGAGAATTCTTCTGTCTAGCATTATGTGAAGTAAATCCCGTTTCCAACGAAAGCCTCAAAGAGGTCCAAATATCCAGTTGCAGAATTTACAAACTGACTGTTTCCAAACTCATCTATGAAAAGAAAGGTTAAACTCTGGGAGTTGAATGCACATATCACAAAGTAGTTCCTGAGAATGATTCTGTCTAGTTTTTATACGAAGATATTTCCTTTTCCACCAATGGCCTCAAAGTGCTTGAAATCTCCCCTTGCAAATTCCACAGACAAGTGTTTCAAATCTGCACTGTCTAAAGGAAGGTTCAACCCTGTGAGTTGAATACACACACACAGAAAAAAATTCACTGAGAATTCTATTGTCTATCATTACACGAAGAAATCCCGTTTACTACGAAGGCCTCAAAGAGGTCCAAATATCCAGCTGCAGACATTACAAACTGAGTGTTTCCAAAGTGCTCTATGAAAAGAAGTGTTAAACACTGTGAGTTCAATGCACACATCCCAAAGCAGTTTCTGAGAATGATTCCGTCTATTTTTTCTACGAAGATATTTCCTTTTCTGCCGTTGGCCTCAAAGCGCTTGAAATCTCCACTTGCAAATTCCACAAAAAGAGAGTTTCAAATCTGCTCTGTCTAAAGGAAGGTTCAACTCTGTGAGTTGAATACACACCACAAAAAGAAGTTACTGAGAATTCTTCTGTCTAGCATTATATGAAAAATCCCGTTTCCAACGAAGGCCACAAAGAGGTCCAAATATCCACTTGCAGATTCTGCAAAAAGAGTGTTTCCAAACTGCTCTATGAAAAGAAACGTTAAACTCTGTGAGTTGAACGCAAACATCACAAAGTAGTTTCTGAGAATGACTCCGTCTAGTTTTTATACGAAGATATTTCCTTTTCTACCGTTGGCCTCAAAGCGCTTGAAGTCTCCCCCTGAAAATTCCACAAAAAGTGTTTCCAATCTGCTCCGCCTAAAGGAAGCTTCAACTCTGTGAGTTGAATACCCACAACACAAAGAAGTTACTGAGAATTCTTCTGTCTCGCATTATAGGAAGAAATCCCGTTTCCAACGAAGGCCTCAAATACATCCACATATCCAGTTGCTGACTTTACAAACTGAGTGTTTCCAAACTGCTCTATGAAAAGAAAGGTTAAACACTGTGAGTTGAACACACACGTACCAAAGTAGTTTCTGAGAATGATTCTGTCTAGTTTGCATACAAAGATATTTCCTTTTCTACCACTGGCCTCAAAGCTTTGAAATCTCCACTTGCAAATTCCACAAAAAGAGAGTTTCAAATCTGCTGTTCCTAAAGGAAAGTTCAACTCTGAGAGTTGAATACACACCAGAAAAAGCAGTTACTGAGAAGTCTTCTGTCTAGCATTATATGAAGAAATCCCATTTCCAACGAAGACTTCAAAGAGGTCCAAATATCCACTTGCAGATTCTGCAAAAAGAGTGTTTCGAAACAACTGTATGAAAAGAAAGGTTAAACACTGTGAGTTGAACGCACACATTGCAAAGCGGTTTCTGAGAATGATTCCGTCTAATTATTATACGAAGGTATTTCCTTTTCTATCATTGGCCTCAAAGCGCTTGATACCTCCACCTGAAAATTCCACAAAAAGAGTGTTTCCAATCTACTCTGTCTAAAGGAACGTTCAACTCTGTGAGTTGAATACACACACACAGAAAGAATTCACTGAGAATTCTTCTGTCTGGCATTACATGAAGAAATCCCGTTTCCAACGAAGGCCTCAAAGAGGTCCAAATATCCACTTGCAGATTCTGCAAAAAGAGTGTTTCAAAACCGCTCCATTAAAAGGAATGTTGAACTCTGTGAGTTGAATGCAAACATCACAACTCAGTTTCTGAGAATGCTTCTGACTAGATTTTATGGTAAGATATTTCCTTTTCTACCGTAGGCTTCAATGCCCTCTAAATACACCCTTGCAAATTCTACAAAGAGACTGTTTCATAACTGCTCTATAGGAAGAAAGGTTCAACTCTTGTGAGTTGAATGCAGAGATCACAACGTGGTTTCTGCAAATGATTCTTTGTAGTTTTTACATGAAGATATGTCGTTGTCAACCGTAGGCTTCAAAGCACTCAAAGTATTCACTTGGAACTTTTACAAAAAGAGTGTTAGAAAACTGCTCTTTCCAAAGTAAGGTTCAACTCTGTGAGTTGAATGCACACATAACAATCAAGACGTTTCTGAGAATTCTTCTGTCCTGGTTTATATGAAAAAATCCCGTTTCCAACGAAGGCCTCAAAGACGTTTAAATATCCACTTGCAGACTTCACAAAGAGGGTTTCCAAACTGCTCTATGAAAAGAAAGGTTAAACTCTGTGAGTTGAACGCACACATCACAAAGTAGCTTCTGAGAATGATACTGTCTAGTTTTTATACGAAGATATTTCCTTTCTACCATTGGCGTCAAAGCGCTAGAATTCTCCACTTGCAAATTCCACAAAAAGAGTGTTTCCAATCTGCTCTGTCTAAAGGAAGGTTCAACTCTGTGAGTTGAATACACACACACAAAGAAGCTACTGAGAATTCTTTTGTCAAGAATTATAAGAAGAAATCCCGTTTCCAACGAAGGCCTCAAAGAGTTCCAAATATCCACTTGCACACTGCACAAACTAAGTCTTTCCAAACTGCTCTATGCAAAGAAATGTTCAACTCTGTGAGTTTAATACACACATCACAAAGCAGTTTCTGAGAATGATACTGTCTAGTTTTTATACGAAGATATTTCCTTTTGTACCATTGGCCTCATACTGCTAGAATTTTCCACTTGCAAATTCCACAAAAAGAGTGTTTCCAATCCGCTCTGTCTAAAGGAAGGTTCAACTCTCTGATTTGAATACATACATCCCAAAAGAAGTTACTGAGAATTCTTCTGTCTAGCATTATGTGAAGAAATCCCGTTTCCAACGAAAGCCTCAAAGAGGTCCAAATATCCAGTTGCAGAATTTACAAACTGACTGTTTCCAAACTCATCTATGAAAAGGAAGGTTAAACTCTGTGAGTTGAATGCACATATCACAAAGTAGTTCCTGAGAATGATTCTGTCTAGTTTTCATACGAAGATATTTCCTTTTCCACCAATGGCCTCAAAGTGCTTGAAATCTCCCCTTGCAAATTCCACAGACAAGTGTTTCAAATCTGCACTGTCTAAAGGAAGGTTCAACCCTGTGAGTTGAATACACACACACAGAAAAAAATTCACTGAGAATTCTATTGTCTATCATTACACGAAGAAATCCCGTTTACTACGAAGGCCTCAAAGAGGTCCAAATATCCAGCTGCAGACATTACAAACTGAGTGTTTCCAAAGTGCTCTATGAAAAGAAGTGTTAAACACTGTGAGTTCAATGCACACATCCCAAAGCAGTTTCTGAGAATGATTCCGTCTATTTTTTCAACGAAGATATTTCCTTTTCTGCCGTTGGCCTCAAAGCGCTTGAAATCTCCACTTGCAAATTCCACAAAAAGAGAGTTTCAAATCTGCTCTGTCTAAAGGAAGGTTCAACTCTGTGAGTTGAATACACACCACAAAAAGAAGTTACTGAGAATTCTTCTGTCTAGCATTATATGAAAAATCCCGTTTCCAACGAAGGCCACAAAGAGGTCCAAATATCCACTTGCAGATTCTGCAAAAAGAGTGTTTCCAAACTGCTCTATGAAAAGAAACGTTAAACTCTGTGAGTTGAACGCAAACATCACAAAGTAGTTTCTGAGAATGACTCCGTCTAGTTTTTATACGAAGATATTTCCTTTCCTACCATTCACTTCAAAGCGCTTGAAGTCTCCCCCTGAAAATTCCACAAAAAGTGTTTCCAATCTGCTCCGCCTAAAGGAAGCTTCAACTCTGTGACTTGAATACCCACAACCCAAAGAAGTTACTGAGAATTCTTCTGTCTAGCACTATATGAAGAAATCCCGTTTCCAACGAAGGCCTCAAATACATCCAAATATCCAGTTGCTGACTTTACAAACTGAGTGTTTCCAAACTGCTCTATGAAAAGAAAGGTTAAACACTGTGAGTTGAACACACACGTACCAAAGTAGTTTCTGAGAATGATTCTGTCTAGTTTGCATACGAAGATATTTCCTTTTCTACCATTGGCCTCAAAGCTCTGAAATCTCCACTTGCAAATTCCACAAAAAGAGAGTTTCAAATCTGCTGTTTCTAAAGGAAAGTTCAACTCTGAGAGTTGAATACACACCAGAAAAAGCAGTTACTGAGAAGTCTTCTGTCTAGCATTATATGAAGAAATCCCATTTCCAACGAAGACTTCAAAGAGGTCCAAATATCCACTTGCAGATTCTGCAAAAAGAGTGTTTCGAAACAACTGTATGAAAAGAAAGGTTAAACACTGTGAGTTGAACGCACACATTGCAAAGCAGTTTCTGAGAATGATTCCGTCTAATTATTATACGAAGGTATTTCCTTTTCTATCATTGGCCTCAAAGCGCTTGATACCTCCACCTGAAAATTCCACAAAAAGAGTGTTTCCAATCTACTCTGTCTAAAGGAACGTTCAACTCTGTGAGTTGAATACACACACACAGAAAGAATTCACTGAGAATTCTTCTGTCTGGCATTACATGAAGAAATCCCGTTTCCAACGAAGGCCTCAAAGAGGTCCAAATATCCACTTGCAGATTCTGCAAAAAGAGTGTTTCAAAACCGCTCCATTAAAAGGAATGTTGAACTCTGTGAGTTGAATGCAAACATCACAACTCAGTTGCTGAGAATGCTTCTGACTAGATTTTATGGTAAGATATTTCCTTTTCTACCGTAGGCTTCAATGCCCTCTAAATACACCCTTGCAAATTCTACAAAGAGACTGTTTCATAACTGCTCTATAGGAAGAAAGGTTGAACTCTGTGAGTTGAATGCAGAGATCACAACGTGGTTTCTGCGAATGATTCTTTGTAGTTTTTACATGAAGATATTTCGTTGTCAACCGTAGGCTTCAAAGCACTCAAAGTATTCACTTGGAACTTTTACAAAAAGAGTGTTAGAAAACTGCTCTTTCCGAAGTAAGGTTCAACTCTGTGAGTTGAATGCACACATAACAATCAAGAAGTTTCTGAGAATTCTTCTGTCCTGGTTTATATGAAAAAATCCCGTTTCCAACGAAGGCCTCAAAGACGTTTAAATATCCACTTGCAGACTTCACAAACAGAGGGTTTCCAAACTGCTCTATGAAAAGAAAGGTTAAACTCTGTGAGTTGAACGCACACATCACAAAGTAGCTTCTGAGAATGATACTGTCTAGTTTTTATACGAAGATATTTCCTTTCTACCATTGGCGTCAAAGCGCTAGAATTCTCCACTTGCAAATTCCACAAAAAGAGTGTTTCCAATCTGCTCTGTCTAAAGGAAGGTTCAACTCTGTGAGTTGAATACACACACACAAAGAAGCTACTGAGAATTCTTTTGTCAAGAATTATAAGAAGAAATCCCGTTTCCAACGAAGGCCTCAAAGAGTTCCAAATATCCACTTGCACACTGCAAAAACTAAGTCTTTCCAAACTGCTCTATGCAAAGAAATGTTCAACTCTGTGAGTTTAATTCACACATCACAAAGCAGTTTCTGAGAATGATACTGTCTAGTTTTTATACGAAGATATTTCCTTTTGTACCATTGGCCTCATACTGCTAGAATTTTCCACTTGCAAATTCCACAAAAAGAGTGTTTCCAATCCGCTCTGTCTAAAGGAAGGTTCAACTCTCTGATTTGAATACATACATCCCAAAAGAAGTTACTGAGAATTCTTCTGTCTAGCATTATGTGAAGAAATCCCGTTTCCAACGAAAGCCTCAAAGAGGTCCAAATATCCAGTTGCAGAATTTACAAACTGACTGTTTCCAAACTCATCTATGAAAAGAAAGGTTAAACTCTGGGAGTTGAATGCCCATATCACAAAGTAGTTCCTGAGAATGATTCTGTATAGTTTTCATACGAAGATATTTCCTTTTCCACCAATGGCCTCAAAGTGCTTGAAATCTCCCCTTGCAAATTCCACAGACAAGTGTTTCAAATCTGCACTGTCTAAAGGATGGTTCAACCCTGTGAGTTGAATACACACACACAGAAAAAAATTCACTGAGAATTCTATTGTCTATCATTACACGAAGAAATCCCGTTTACTACGAAGGCCTCAAAGAGGTCCAAATATCCAGCTGCAGACATTATAAACTGAGTGTTTCCAAAGTGCTCTATGAAAAGAAGTGTTAAACACTGTGAGTTCAATGCACACATCCCAAAGCAGTTTCTGAGAATGATTCCGTCTATTTTTTCTACGAAGATATTTCCTTTTCTGCCGTTGGCCTCAAAGCGCTTGAAATCTCCACTTGCAAATTCCACAAAAAGAGAGTTTCAAATCTGCTCTGTCTAAAGGAAGGTTCAACTCTGTGAGTTGAATACACACCACCAAAAGAAGTTACTGAGAATTCTTCTGTCTAGCATTATATGAAAAATCCCGTTTCCAACGAAGGCCACAAAGAGGTCCAAATATCCACTTGCAGATTCTGCAAAAAGAGTGTTTCCAAACTGCTCTATGAAAAGAAACGTTAAACTCTGTGAGTTGAACGCAAACATCACAAAGTAGTTTCTGAGAATGACTCCGTCTAGTTTTTATACGAAGATATTTCCTTTCCTACCATTCACTTCAAAGCGCTTGAAGTCTCCCCCTGAAAATTCCACAAAAAGTGTTTCCAATCTGCTCCGCCTAAAGGAAGCTTCAACTCTGTGACTTGAATACCCACAACCCAAAGAAGTTACTGAGAATTCTTCTGTCTAGCATTATATGAAGAAATCCCGTTTCCAACGAAGGCCTCAAATACATCCAAATACCCAGTTGCTGACTTTACAAACTGAGTGTTTCCAAACTGCTCTATGAAAAGAAAGGTTAAACACTGTGAGTTGAACACACACGTACCAAAGTAGTTTCTGAGAATGATTCTGTCTAGTTTGCATACGAAGATATTTCCTTTTCTACCAGTGGCCTCAAAGCTCTGAAATCTCCACTTGCAAATTCCACAAAAAGAGAGTTTCAAATCTGCTGTTTCTAAAGGAAAGTTCAACTCTGAGAGTTGAATACACACCAGAAAAAGCAGTTACTGAGAAGTCTTCTGTCTAGCATTATATGAAGAAATCCCATTTCCAACGAAGACTTCAAAGAGGTCCAAATATCCACTTGCAGATTCTGCAAAAAGAGTGTTTCGAAACAACTGTATGAAAAGAAAGGTTAAACACTGTGAGTTGAACGCACACGTTGAAAAGCAGTTTCTGAGAATGATTCCGTCTAATTATTATACGAAGGTATTTCCTTTTCTATCATTGGCCTCAAAGCGCTTGATACCTCCACCTGAAAATTCCACAAAAAGAGTGTTTCCAATCTACTCTGTCTAAAGGAACGTTCAACTCTGTGAGTTGAATACACACACACAGAAAGAATTCACTGAGAATTCTTCTGTCTGGCATTACATGAAGAAATCCCGTTTCCAACGAAGGCCTCAAAGAGGTCCAAATATCCACTTGCAGATTCTGCAAAAAGAGTGTTTCAAAACCGCTCCATTAAAAGGAATGTTGAACTCTGTGAGTTGAATGCAAACATCACAACTCAGTTTCTGAGAATGCTTCTGACTAGATTTTATGGTAAGATATTTCCTTTTATACCGTAGGCTTCAATGCCCTCTAAATACACCCTTGCAAATTCTACAAAGAGACTGTTTCATAACTGCTCTATAGGAAGAAAGGTTCAACTCTGTGAGTTGAATGCAGAGATCACAACGTGGTTTCTGCGAATGATTCTTTGTAGTTTTTACATGAAGATATTTCGTTGTCAACCGTAGGCTTCAAAGCACTCAAAGTATTCACTTGGAACTTTTACAAAAAGAGTGTTAGAAAACTGCTCTTTCCAAAGTAAGGTTCAACTCTGTGAGTTGAATGCACACATAACAATCAAGAAGTTTCTGAGAATTCTTCTGTCCTGGTTTATATGAAAAAATCCCGTTTCCAACGAAGGCCTCAAAGACGTTTAAATATCCACTTGCAGACTTCACAAACAGAGGGTTTCCAAACTGCTCTATGAAAAGAAAGGTTAAACTCTGTGAGTTGAACGCACACATCACAAAGTAGTTTTTGAGAATGATACTGTCTAGTTTTTATACGAAGATATTTCCTTTCTACCATTGGCATCAAAGCGCTAGAATTCTCCACTTGCAAATTCCACAAAAAGAGTGTTTCCAATCTGCTCTGTCTAAAGGAAGGTTCAACTCTGTGAGTTGAATACACACACACAAAGAAGCTACTGAGAATTCTTTTGTCAAGAATTATAAGAAGAAATCCCGTTTCCAACGAAGGCCTCAAAGAGTTCCAAATATCCACTTGCACACTGCACAAACTAAGTCTTTCCAAACTGCTCTATGCAAAGAAATGTTCAACTCTGTGAGTTTAATACACACATCACAAAGCAGTTTCTGAGAATGATACTGTCTAGTTTTTATACGAAGATATTTCCTTTTGTACCATTGGCCTCATACTGCTAGAATTTTCCACTTGCAAATTCCACAAAAAGAGTGTTTCCAATCCGCTCTGTCTAAAGGAAGGTTCAACTCTCTGATTTGAATACATACATCCCAAAAGAAGTTACTGAGAATTCTTCTGTCTAGCATTATGTGAAGAAATCCCGTTTCCAACGAAAGCCTCAAAGAGGTCCAAATATCCAGTTGCAGAATTTACAAACTGACTGTTTCCAAACTCATCTATGAAAAGAAAGGTTAAACTCTGTGAGTTGAATGCACATATCACAAAGTAGTTCCTGAGAATGATTCTGTCTAGTTTTTATACGAAGATATTTCCTTTTCCACCAATGGCCTCAAAGTGCTTGAAATCTCCCCTTGCAAATTCCACAGACAAGTGTTTCAAATCTACACTGTCTAAAGGAAGGTTCAACCCTGTGAGTTGAATACACACACACAGAAAAAAATTCACTGAGAATTCTATTGTCTATCATTACACGAAGAAATCCCGTTTACTACGAAGGCCTCAAAGAGGTCCAAATATCCAGCTGCAGACATTACAACCTGAGTGTTTCCAAAGTGCTCTATGAAAAGAAGTGTTAAACACTGTGAGTTCAATGCACACATCCCAAAGCAGTTTCTGAGAATGATTCCGTCTATTTTTTCTACGAAGATATTTACTTTTCTACCGTTGGCCTCAAAGCGCTTGAAATCTCCACTTGCAAATTCCACAAAAAGAGAGTTTCAAATCTGCTCTGTCTAAAGGAAGGTTCAACTCTGTGAGTTGAATACACACCACAAAAAGAAGTTACTGAGAATTCTTCTGTCTAGCATTATATGAAAAATCCCGTTTCCAACGAAGGCCACAAAGAGGTCCAAATATCCACTTGCAGATTCTGCAAAAAGAGTGTTTCCAAACTGCTCTATGAAAAGAAACGTTAAACTCTGTGAGTTGAACGCAAACATCACAAAGTAGTTTCTGAGAATGACTCCGTCTAGTTTTTATACGAAGATATTTCCTTTCCTACCATTCACTTCAAAGCGCTTGAAGTCTCCCCCTGAAAATTCCACAAAAAGTGTTTCCAATCTGCTCCGCCTAAAGGAAGCTTCAACTCTGTGAGTTGAATACCCACAACCCAAAGAAGTTACTGAGAATTCTTCTGTCTAGCATTATATGAAGAAATCCCGTTTCCAACGAAGGCCTCAAATACATCCAAATATCCAGTTGCTGACTTTACAAACTGAGTGTTTCCAAACTGCTCTATGAAAAGAAAGGTTAAACACTGTGAGTTGAACACACACGTACCAAAGTAGTTTCTGAGAATGATTCTGTCTAGTTTGCATACGAAGATATTTCCTTTTCTACCATTGGCCTCAAAGCTCTGAAATCTCCACTTGCAAATTCCACAAAAAGAGAGTTTCAAATCTGCTGTTTCTAAAGGAAAGTTCAACTCTGAGAGTTGAATACACACCAGAAAAAGCAGTTACTGAGAAGTCTTCTGTCTAGCATTATATGAAGAAATCCCATTTCCAACGAAGACTTCAAAGAGGTCCAAATATCCACTTGCAGATTCTGCAAAAAGAGTGTTTCGAAACAACTGTATGAAAAGAAAGGTTAAACACTGTGAGTTGAACGCACACATTGCAAAGCGGTTTCTGAGAATGATTCCGTCTAATTATTATACGAAGGTATTTCCTTTTCTATCATTGGCCTCAAAGCGCTTGATACCTCCACCTGAAAATTCCACAAAAAGAGTGTTTCCAATCTACTCTGTCTAAAGGAACGTTCAACTCTGTGAGTTGAATACACACACACAGAAAGAATTCACTGAGAATTCTTCTGTCTGGCATTACATGAAGAAATCCCGTTTCCAACGAAGGCCTCAAAGAGGTCCAAATATCCACTTGCAGATTCTGCAAAAAGAGTGTTTCAAAACCGCTCCATTAAAAGGAATGTTGAACTCTGTGAGTTGAATGCAAACATCACAACTCAGTTTCTGAGAATGCTTCTGACTAGATTTTATGGTAAGATATTTCCTTTTCTACCGTAGGCTTCAATGCCCTCTAAATACACCCTTGCAAATTCTACAAAGAGACTGTTTCATAACTGCTCTATAGGAAGAAAGGTTCAACTCTGTGAGTTGAATGCAGAGATCACAACGTGGTTTCTCCGAATGATTCTTTGTAGTTTTTACATGAAGATATTTCGTTGTCAACCGTAGGCTTCAAAGCACTCAAAGTATTCACTTGGAACTTTTACAAAAAGAGTGTTAGAAAACTGCTCTTTCCAAAGTAAGGTTCAACTCTGTGAGTTGAATGCACACATAACAATCAAGAAGTTTCTGAGAATTCTTCTGTCCTGGTTTATATGAAAAAATCCCGTTTCCAACGAAGGCCTCAAAGACGTTTAAATATCCACTTGCAGACTTCACAAACAGAGGGTTTCCAAACTGCTCTATGAAAAGAAAGGTTAAACTCTGTGAGTTGAACGCACACATCACAAAGTAGCTTCTGAGAATGATACTGTCTAGTTTTTATACGAAGATATTTCCTTTCTACCATTGGCGTCAAAGCGCTAGAATTCTCCACTTGCAAATTCCACAAAAAGAGTGTTTCCAATCTGCTCTGTCTAAAGGAAGGTTCAACTCTGTGAGTTGAATACACACACACAAAGAAGCTACTGAGAATTCTTTTTTCAAGAAATTATAAGAAGAAATCCCGTTTCCAACGAAGGCCTCAAAGAGTTCCAAATATCCACTTGCACACTGCACAAACTAAGTCTTTCCAAACTGCTCTATGCAAAGAAATGTTCAACTCTGTGAGTTTAATACACACATCACAAAGCAGTTTCTGAGAATGGTACTGTCTAGTTTTTATACGAAGATATTTCCTTTTGTACCATTGGCCTCATACTGCTAGAATTTTCCACTTGCAAATTCCACAAAAAGAGTGTTTCCAATCCGCTCTGTCTAAAGGAAGGTTCAACTCTCTGATTTGAATACATACATCCCAAAAGAAGTTACTGAGAATTCTTCTGTCTAGCATTATGTGAAGAAATCCCGTTTCCAACGAAAGCCTCAAAGAGGTCCAAATATCCAGTTGCAGAATTTACAAACTGACTGTTTCCAAACTCATCTATGAAAAGAAAGGTTAAACTCTGGGAGTTGAATGCACATATCACAAAGTAGTTCCTGAGAATGATTCTGTCTAGTTTTTATACGAAGATATTTCCTTTTCCACCAATGGCCTCAAAGTGCTTGAAATCTCCCCTTGCAAATTCCACAGACAAGTGTTTCAAATCTACACTGTCTAAAGGAAGGTTCAACCCTGTGAGTTGAATACACACACACAGAAAAAAATTCACTGAGAATTCTATTGTCTATCATTACACGAAGAAATCCCGTTTACTACGAAGGCCTCAAAGAGGTCCAAATATCCAGCTGCAGACATTACAACCTGAGTGTTTCCAAAGTGCTCTATGAAAAGAAGTGTTAAACACTGTGAGTTCAATGCACACATCCCAAAGCAGTTTCTGAGAATGATGCCGTCTATTTTTTCTACGAAGATATTTCCTTTTCTGCCGTTGGCCTCAAAGCGCTTGAAATCTCCACTTGCAAATTCCACAAAAAGAGAGTTTCAAATCTGCTCTGTCTAAAGGAAGGTTCAACTCTGTGAGTTGAATACACACCACAAAAAGAAGTTACTGAGAATTCTTCTGTCTAGCATTATATGAAAAATCCCGTTTCCAACGAAGGCCACAAAGAGGTCCAAATATCCACTTGCAGATTCTGCAAAAAGAGTGTTTCCAAACTGCTCTATGAAAAGAAACGTTAAACTCTGTGAGTTGAACGCAAACATCACAAAGTAGTTTCTGAGAATGACTCCGTCTAGTTTTTATACGAAGATATTTCCTTTCCTACCATTCACTTCAAAGCGCTTGAAGTCTCCCCCTGAAAATTCCACAAAAAGTGTTTCCAATCTGCTCCGCCTAAAGGAAGCTTCAACTCTGTGAGTTGAATACCCACAACCCAAAGAAGTTACTGAGAATTCTTCTGTCTAGCACTATATGAAGAAATCCCGTTTCCAACGAAGGCCTCAAATACATCCAAATATCCAGTTGCTGACTTTACAAACTGAGTGTTTCCAAACTGCTCTATGAAAAGAAAGGTTAAACACTGTGACTTGAACACACACGTACCAAAGTAGTTTCTGAGAATGATTCTGTCTAGTTTGCATACGAAGATATTTCCTTTTCTACCATTGGCCTCAAAGCTTTGAAATCTCCACTTGCAAATTCCACAAAAAGAGAGTTTCAACTCTGCTGTTTCTAAAGGAAAGTTCAACTCTGAGAGTTGAATACACACCAGAAAAAGCAGTTACTGAGAAGTCTTCTGTCTAGCATTATATGAAGAAATCCCATTTCCAACGAAGACTTCAAAGAGGTCCAAATATCCACTTGCAGATTCTGCAAAAAGAGTGTTTCGAAACAACTGTATGAAAAGAAAGGTTAAACACTGTGAGTTGAACGCACACATTGCAAAGCAGTTTCTGAGAATGATTCCGTCTAATTATTATACGAAGGTATTTCCTTTTCTATCATTGGCCTCAAAGCGCTTGATACCTCCACCTGAAAATTCCACAAAAAGAGTGTTTCCAATCTACTCTGTCTAAAGGAACGTTCAACTCCGTGAGTTGAATACACACACACAGAAAGAATTCACTGAGAATTCTTCTGTCTGGCATTACATGAAGAAATCCCGTTTCCAACGAAGGCCTCAAAGAGGTCCAAATATCCACTTGCAGATTCTGCAAAAAGAGTGTTTCAAAACCGCTCCATTAAAAGGAATGTTGAACTCTGTGAGTTGAATGCAAACATCACAACTCAGTTTCTGAGAATGCTTCTGACTAGTATTTTATGGTAAGATATTTCCTTTTCTACCGTAGGCTTCAATGCCCTCTAAATACACCCTTGCAAATTCTACAAAGAGACTGTTTCATAACTGCTCTATAGGAAGAAAGGTTCAACTCTGTGAGTTGAATGCAGAGATCACAACGTGGTTTCTGCGAATGATTCTTTGTAGTTTTTACATGAAGATATTTCGTTGTCAACCGTAGGCTTCAAAGCACTCAAAGTATTCACTTGGAACTTTTACAAAAAGAGTGTTAGAAAACTGCTCTTTCCAAAGTAAGGTTCAAGTCTGTGAGTTGAATGCACACATAACAATCAGGAAGTTTCTGAGAATTCTTCTGTCCTGGTTTATATGAAAAAATCCCGTTTCCAACGAAGGCCTCAAAGATGTTTAAATATCCACTTGCAGACTTCACAAACAGAGTGTTTCCAAACTGCTCTATGAAAAGAAAGGTTAAACTCTGTGAGTTGAACGCACACATCACAAAGTAGTTTCTGAGAATGATACTGTCTAGTTTTTATACGAAGATATTTCCTTTCTACCATTGGCGTCAAAGCGCTAGAATTCTCCACTTGCAAATTCCACAAAAAGAGTGTTTCCAATCTGCTCTGTCTAAAGGAAGGTTCAACTCTGTGAGTTGAATACACACACACAAAGAAGCTACTGAGAATTCTTTTGTCAAGAATTATAAGAAGAAATCCCGTTTCCAACGAAGGCCTCAAAGAGTTCCAAATATCCACTTGCACACTGCACAAACTAAGTCTTTCCAAACTGCTCTATGCAAAGAAATGTTCAACTCTGTGAGTTTAATACACACATCACAAAGCAGTTTCTGAGAATGATACTGTCTAGTTTTTATACGAACATATTTCCTTTTGTACCATTGGCCTCATACTGCTAGAATTTTCCACTTGCAAATTCCACAAAACGAGTGTTTCCAATCCGCTCTGTCTAAAGGAAGGTTCAACTCTCTGATTTGAATACATACATCCCAAAAGAAGTTACTGAGAATTCTTCTGTCTAGCATTATGTGAAGAAATCCCGTTTCCAACGAAAGCCTCAAAGAGGTCCAAATATCCAGTTGCAGAATTTACAAACTGACTGTTTCCAAACTCATGTATGAAAAGAAAGGTTAAACTCTGTGAGTTGAATGCACATATCACAAAGTAGTTCCTGAGAATGATTCTGTCTAGCTTTTATACGAAGATATTTCCTTTTCCACCAATGGCCTCAAAGTGCTTGAAATCTCCCCTTGCAAATTCCACAGACAAGTGTTTCAAATCTGCACTGTCTAAAGGAAGGTTCAACCCTGTGAGTTGAATACACACACACAGAAAAAAATTCACTGAGAATTCTATTGTCTATCATTACACGAAGAAATCCCGTTTACTACGAAGGCCTCAAAGAGGTCCAAATATCCAGCTGCAGACATTACAAACTGAGTGTTTCCAAAGTGCTCTATGAAAAGAAGTGTTAAACACTGTGAGTTCAATGCACACATCCCAAAGCAGTTTCTGAGAATGATTACGTCTATTTTTTCTACGAAGATATTTCCTTTTCTGCCGTTGGCCTCAAAGCGCTTGAAATCTCCACTTGCAAATTCCACAAAAAGAGAGTTTCAAATCTGCTCTGTCTAAAGGAAGGTTCAACTCTGTGAGTTGAATACACACCACAAAAAGAAGTTACTGAGAATTCTTCTGTCTAGCATTATATGAAAAATCCCGTTTCCAACGAAGGCCACAAAGAGGACCAAATATCCACTTGCAGATTCTGCAAAAAGAGTGTTTCCAAACTGCTCTATGAAAAGAAACGTTAAACTCTGTGAGTTGAACGCAAACATCACAAAGTAGTTTCTGAGAATGACTCCGTCTAGTTTTTATACGAAGATATTTCCTTTCCTACCATTCACTTCAAAGCGCTTGAAGTCTCCCCCTGAAAATTCCACAAAAAGTGTTTCCAATCTGCTCCGCCTAAAGGAAGCTTCAACTCTGTGACTTGAATACCCACAACCCAAAGAAGTTACTGAGAATTCTTCTGTCTAGCACTATATGAAGAAATCCCGTTTCCAACGAAGGCCTCAAATACATCCAAATATCCAGTTGCTGACTTTACAAACTGAGTGTTTCCAAACTGCTCTATGAAAAGAAAGGTTAAACACTGTGAGTTGAACACACACGTACCAAAGTAGTTTCTGAGAATGATTCTGTCTAGTTTGCATACGAAGATATTTCCTTTTCTACCATTGGCCTCAAAGCTCTGAAATCTCCACTTGCAAATTCCACAAAAAGAGAGTTTCAAATCTGCTGTTTCTAAAGGAAAGTTCAACTCTGAGAGTTGAATACACACCAGAAAAAGCAGTTACTGAGAAGTCTTCTGTCTAGCATTATATGAAGAAATCCCATTTCCAACGAAGACTTCAAAGAGGTCCAAATATCCACTTGCAGATTCTGCAAAAAGAGTGTTTCGAAACAACTGTATGAAAAGAAAGGTTAAACACTGTGAGTTGAACGCACACATTGCAAAGCAGTTTCTGAGAATGATTCCGTCTAATTATTATACGAAGGTATTTCCTTTTCTATCATTGGCCTCAAAGCGCTTGATACCTCCACCTGAAAATTCCACAAAAAGAGTGTTTCCAATCTACTCTGTCTAAAGGAACGTTCAACTCTGTGAGTTGAATACACACACACAGAAAGAATTCACTGAGAATTCTTCTGTCTGGCATTACATGAAGAAATCCCGTTTCCAACGAAGGCCTCAAAGAGGTCCAAATATCCACTTGCAGATTCTGCAAAAAGAGTGTTTCAAAACCGCTCCATTAAAAGGAATGTTGAACTCTGTGAGTTGAATGCAAACATCACAACTCAGTTGCTGAGAATGCTTCTGACTAGATTTTATGGTAAGATATTTCCTTTTCTACCGTAGGCTTCAATGCCCTCTAAATACACCCTTGCAAATTCTACAAAGAGACTGTTTCATAACTGCTCTATAGGAAGAAAGGTTCAACTCTGTGAGTTGAATGCAGAGATCACAACGTGGTTTCTGCGAATGATTCTTTGTAGTTTTTACATGAAGATATTTCGTTGTCAACCGTAGGCTTCAAAGCACTCAAAGTATTCACTTGGAACTTTTACAAAAAGAGTGTTAGAAAACTGCTCTTTCCAAAGTAAGGTTCAACTCTGTGAGTTGAATGCACACATAACAATCAAGAAGTTTCTGAGAATTCTTCTGTCCTGGTTTATATGAAGAAATCCCGTTTCCAACGAAGGCCTCAAAGACGTTTAAATATCCACTTGCAGACTTCACAAACAGAGGGTTTCCAAACTGCTCTATGAAAAGAAAGGTTAAACTCTGTGAGTTGAACGCACACATCACAAAGTAGCTTCTGAGAATGATACTGTCTAGTTTTTATACGAAGATATTTCCTTTCTACCATTGGCGTCAAAGCGCTAGAATTCTCCACTTGCAAATTCCACAAAAAGAGTGTTTCCAATCTGCTCTGTCTAAAGGAAGGTTCAACTCTGTGAGTTGAATACACACACACAAAGAAGCTACTGAGAATTCTTTTGTCAAGAATTACAAGAAGAAATCCCGTTTCCAACGAAGGCCTCAAAGAGTTCCAAATATCCACTTGCACACTGCACAAACTAAGTCTTTCCAAACTGCTCTATGCAAAGAAATGTTCAACTCTGTGAGTTTAATACGCACATCACAAAGCAGTTTCTGAGAATGATACTGTCTAGTTTTTATACGAAGATATTTCCTTTTGTACCATTGGCCTCATACTGCTAGAATTTTCCACTTGCAAATTCCACAAAAAGAGTGTTTCCAATCCGCTCTGTCTAAAGGAAGGTTCAACTCTCTGATTTGAATACATACATCCCAAAAGAAGTTCCTGAGAATTCTTCTGTCTAGCATTATGTGAAGAAATCCCGTTTCCAACGAAAGCCTCAAAGAGGTCCAAATATCCAGTTGCAGAATTTACAAACTGACTGTTTCCAAACTCATCTATGAAAAGAAAGGTTAAACTCTGGGAGTTGAATGCACATATCACAAAGTAGTTCCTGAGAATGATTCTGTCTAGTTTTCATACGAAGATATTTCCTTTTCCACCAATGGCCTCAAAGTGCTTGAAATCTCCCCTTGCAAATTCCACAGACAAGTGTTTCAAATCTGCACTGTCTAAAGGAAGGTTCAACCCTGTGAGTTGAATACACACACACAGAAAAAAATTCACTGAGAATTCTATTGTCTATCATTACACGAAGAAATCCCGTTTACTACGAAGGCCTCAAAGAGGTCCAAATATCCAGCTGCAGACATTACAAACTGAGTGTTTCCAAAGTGCTCTATGAAAAGAAGTGTTAAACACTGTGAGTTCAATGCACACATCCCAAAGCAGTTTCTGAGAATGATTCCGTCTATTTTTTCTACGAAGATATTTCCTTTTCTGCCGTTGGCCTCAAAGCGCTTGAAATCTCCACTTGCAAATTCCACAAAAAGAGAGTTTCAAATCTGCTCTGTCTAAAGGAAGGTTCAACTCTGTGAGTTGAATACACACCACAAAAAGAAGTTACTGAGAATTCTTCTGTCTAGCATTATATGAAAAATCCCGTTTCCAACGAAGGCCACAAAGAGGTCCAAATATCCACTTGCAGATTCTGCAAAAAGAGTGTTTCCAAACTGCTCTATGAAAAGAAACGTTAAACTCTGTGAGTTGAACGCAAACATCACAAAGTAGTTTCTGAAAATGACTCCATCTAGTTTTTATACGAAGATATTTCCTTTCCTACCATTCACTTCAAAGCGCTTGAAGTCTCCCCCTGAAAATTCCACAAAAAGTGTTTCCAATCTGCTCCGCCTAAAGGAAGCTTCAACTCTGTGACTTGAATACCCACAACCCAAAGAAGTTACTGAGAATTCTTCTGTCTAGCATTATATGAAGAAATCCCGTTTCCAACGAAGGCCTCAAATACATCCAAATATCCAGTTGCTGACTTTACAAACTGAGTGTTTCCAAACTGCTCTATGAAAAGAAAGGTTAAACACTGTGAGTTGAACACACACGTACCAAAGTAGTTTCTGAGAATGATTCTGTCTAGTTTGCATACGAAGATATTTCCTTTTCTACCATTGGCCTCAAAGCTCTGAAATCTCCACTTGCAAATTCCACAAAAAGAGAGTTTCAAATCTGCTGTTTCTAAAGGAAAGTTCAACTCTGAGAGTTGAATACACACCAGAAAAAGCAGTTACTGAGAAGTCTTCTGTCTAGCATTATATGAAGAAATCCCATTTCCAACGAAGACTTCAAAGAGGTCCAAATATCCACTTGCAGATTCTGCAAAAAGAGTGTTTCGAAACAACTGTATGAAAAGAAAGGTTAAACACTGTGAGTTGAACGCACACATTGCAAAGCAGTTTCTGAGAATGATTCCGTCTAATTATTATACGAAGGTATTTCCTTTTCTATCATTGGCCTCAAAGCGCTTGATACCTCCACCTGAAAATTCCACAAAAAGAGTGTTTCCAATCTACTCTGTCTAAAGGAACGTTCAACTCTGTGAGTTGAATACACACACACAGAAAGAATTCACTGAGAATTCTTCTGTCTGGCATTACATGAAGAAATCCCGTTTCCAACGAAGGCCTCAAAGAGGTCCAAATATCCACTTGCAGATTCTGCAAAAAGAGTGTTTCAAAACCGCTCCATTAAAAGGAATGTTGAACTCTGTGAGTGGAATGGAAACATCACAACTCAGTTGCTGAGAATGCTTCTGACTAGATTTTATGGTAAGATATTTCCTTTTCTACCGTAGGCTTCAATGCCCTCTAAATACACCCTTGCAAATTCTACAAAGAGACTGTTTCATAACTGCTCTATAGGAAGAAAGGTTGAACTCTGTGAGTTGAATGCAGAGATCACAACGTGGTTTCTGCGAATGATTCTTTGTAGTTTTTACAGGAAGATATTTCGTTGTCAACCGTAGGCTTCAAAGCACTCAAAGTATTCACTTGGAACTTTTACAAAAAGAGTGTTAGAAAACTGCTCTTTCCAAAGTAAGGTTCAACTCTGTGAGTTGAATGCACACATAACAATCAAGAAGTTTCTGAGAATTCTTCTGTCCTGGTTTATATGAAAAAATCCCGTTTCCAACGAAGGCCTCAAAGACGTTTATATATCCACTTGCAGACTTCACAAACAGAGGGTTTCCAAACTGCTCTATGAAAAGAAAGGTTAAACTCTGTGAGTTGAACGCACACATCACAAAGTAGCTTTCTGAGAATGATAACTGTCTAGTTTTTATACGAAGATATTTCCTTTCTACCATTGGCGTCAAAGCGCTAGAATTCTCCACTTGCAAATTCCACAAAAAGAGTGTTTCCAATCTGCTCTGTCTAAAGGAAGGTTCAACTCTGTGAGTTGAATACACACACACAAAGAAGCTACTGAGAATTCTTTTGTCAAGAATTATAAGAAGAAATCCCGTTTCCAACGAAGGCCTCAAAGAGTTCCAAATATCCACTTGCACACTGCACAAACTAAGTCTTTCCAAACTGCTCTATGCAAAGAAATGTTCAACTCTGTGAGTTTAATACACACATCACAAAGCAGTTTCTGAGAATGATACTGTCTAGTTTTTATACGAAGATATTTCCTTTTGTACCATTGGCCTCATACTGCTAGAATTTTCCACTTGCAAATTCCACAAAAAGAGTGTTTCCAATCCGCTCTGTCTAAAGGAAGGTTCAACACTCTGATTTGAATACATACATCCCAAAAGAAGTTACTGAGAATTCTTCTGTCTAGCATTATGTGAAGAAATCCCGTTTCCAACGAAAGCCTCAAAGAGGTCCAAATATCCAGTTGCAGAATTTACAAACTGACTGTTTCCAAACTCATCTATGAAAAGAAAGGTTAAACTCTGGGAGTTGAATGCACATATCACAAAGTAGTTCCTGAGAATGATTCTGTCTAGTTTTTATACGAAGATATTTCCTTTTCCACCAATGCCCTCAAAGTGCTTGAAATCTCCCCTTGCAAATTCCACAGACAAGTGTTTCAAATCTGCACTGTCTAAAGGAAGGTTCAACCCTGTGAGTTGAATACACACACACAGAAAAAAATTCACTGAGAATTCTATTGTCTATCATTACACGAAGAAATCCCGTTTACTACGAAGGCCTCAAAGAGGTCCAAATATCCAGCTGCAGACATTACAAACTGAGTGTTTCCAAAGTGCTCTATGAAAAGAAGTGTTAAACACTGTGAGTTCAATGCACACATCCCAAAGCAGTTTCTGAGAATGATTCCGTCTATTTTTTCTACGAAGATATTTCCTTTTCTACCGTTGGCCTCAAAGCGCTTGAAATCTCCACTTGCAAATTCCACGAAAAGAGAGTTTCAAATCTGCTCTGTCTAAAGGAAGGTTCAACTCTGTGAGTTGAATACACACCACAAAAAGAAGTTACTGAGAATTTTTCTGTCTAGCATTATATGAAAAATCCCGTTTCCAACGAAGGCCACAAAGAGGTCCAAATATCCACTTGCAGATTCTGCAAAAAAAGTGTTTCCAAACTGCTCTATGAAAAGAAACGTTAAACTCTGTGAGTTGAACGCAAACATCACAAAGTAGTTTCTGAGAATGACTCCGTCTAGTTTTTATACGAAGATATTTCCTTTTCTACCATTCACTTCAAAGCGCTTGAAGTCTCCCCTGAAAATTCCACAAAAAGTGTTTCCAATCTGCTCCGCCTAAAGGAAGCTTCAACTCTGTGAGTTGAATACCCACAACCCAAAGAAGTTACTGAGAATTCTTCTGTCTAGCATTATATGAAGAAATCCCGTTTCCAACGAAGGCCTCAAATACATCCAAATATCCAGTTGCTGACTTTACAAACTGAGTGTTTCCAAACTGCTCTATGAAAAGAAAGGTTAAACACTGTGAGTTGAACACACACGTACCAAAGTAGTTTCTGAGAATGATTCTGTCTAGTTTGCATACGAAGATATTTCCTTTTCTACCATTGGCCTCAAAGCTCTGAAATCTCCACTTGCAAATTCCACAAAAAGAGAGTTTCAAATCTGCTGTTTCTAAAGGAAAGTTCAACTCTGAGAGTTGAATACACACCAGAAAAAGCAGTTACTGAGAAGTCTTCTGTCTAGCATTATATGAAGAAATCCCGTTTCCAACGAAGACTTCAAAGAGGTCCAAATATCCACTTGCAGATTCTGCAAAAAGAGTGTTTCGAAACAACTGTATGAAAAGAAAGGTTAAACGCTGTGAGTTGAAGGCACACATTGCAAAGCAGTTTCTGAGAATGATTCCGTCTAATTATTATACGAAGGTATTTCCTTTTCTATCATGGGCCTCAAAGCGCTTGATACCTCCACCTGAAAATTCCACTAAAAGAGTGTTTCCAATCTACTCTGTCTAAAGGAACGTTCAACTCTGTGAGTTGAATACACACACACAGAAAGAATTCACTGAGTATTCTTCTGTCTGGCATTACATGAAGAAATCCCGTTTCCAACGAAGGCCTCAAAGAGGTCCAAATATCCACTTGCAGATTCTGCAAAAAGAGTGTTTCAAAACCGCTCCATGAAAAGGAATGTTGAACTCTGTGAGTTGAATGCAAACATCACAACTCAGTTTCTGAGAATGCTTCTGACTAGATTTTATGGTCAGATATTTCCTTTTCTACCATACGCTTCAATACCCTCTAAATACACCCTTGCAAATTCTACAAAGAGACTGTTTAATAACTGCTCTATAGGAAGAAAGGTTGAACTCTGTGAGTTGAATGCAGAGATCACAACGTGGTTTCTGCGAATGATTCTTTGTAGTTTTTACATGAAGATATTTCGTTGTCAACCGTAGGCTTCAAAACACTCAAAGTATTCACTTGGAACTTTTACAAAAAGAGTGTTAGAAAACTGCTCTTTCCAAAGTAAGGTTCAACTCTGTGAGTTGAATGCACACATAACAATCAAGAAGTTTCTGAGAATTCTTCTGTCCTGGTTTATATGAAGAAATCCCGTTTCCAACGCAGGCCTCAACGACGTTTAAATATCCACTTGCAGACTTCACAAACAGAGGGTTTCCAAACTGCTCTATGAAAAGAAAGGTTAAACTCTGTGAGTTGAACGCACACATCACAAAGTAGCTTCTGAGAATGATACTGTCTAGTTTTTATACGAAGATATTTCCTTTCTACCATTGGCGTCAAAGCGCTAGAATTCTCCACTTGCAAATTCCACAAAAAGAGTGTTTCCAATCTGCTCTGTCTAAAGGAAGGTTCAACTCTGTGAGTTGAATACACACACACAAAGAAGCTACTGAGAATTCTTTTGTCAAGAATTATAAGAAGAAATCCCGTTTCCAACGAAGGCCTCAAAGAGTTCCAAATATCCACTTGCACACTGCACAAACTAAGTCTTTCCAAACTGCTCTATGCAAAGAAATGTTCAACTCTGTGAGTTTAATACACACATCACAAAGCAGTTTCTGAGAATGATACTGTCTAGTTTTTATACGAAGATATTTCCTTTTGTACCATTGGCCTCATACTGCTAGAATTTTCCACTTGCAAATTCCACAAAAAGAGTGTTTCCAATCCGCTCTGTCTAAAGGAAGGTTCAACTCTCTGATTTGAATACATACATCCCAAAAGAAGTTACTGAGAATTCTTCTGTCTAGCATTATGTGAAGAAATCCCGTTTCCAACGAAAGCCTCAAAGAGGTCCAAATATCCAGTTGCAGAATTTACAAACTGACTGTTTCCAAACTCATCTATGAAAAGAAAGGTTAAACTCTGTGAGTTGAATGCACATATCACAAAGTAGTTCCTGAGAATGATTCTGTCTAGTTTTTATACGAAGATATTTCCTTTTCCACCAATGGCCTCAAAGTGCTTGAAATCTCCCCTTGCAAATTCCACAGACAAGTGTTTCAAATCTGCACTGTCTAAAGGAAGGTTCAACCCTGTGAGTTGAATACACACACACAGAAAAAAATTCACTGAGAATTCTATTGTCTATCATTACACGAAGAAATCCCGTTTACTACGAAGGCCTCAAAGAGGTCCAAATATCCAGCTGCAGACATTACAAACTGAGTGTTTCCAAAGTGCTCTATGAAAAGAAGTGTTAAACACTGTGAGTTCAATGCACACATCCCAAAGCAGTTTCTGAGAATGATTCCGTCTATTTTTTCTACGAAGATATTTCCTTTTCTGCCGTTGGCCTCAAAGCGCTTGAAATCTCCACTTGCAAATTCCACAAAAAGAGAGTTTCAAATCTGCTCTGTCTAAAGGAAGGTTCAACTCTGTGAGTTGAATACACACCACAAAAAGAAGTTACTGAGAATTCTTCTGTCTAGCATTATATGAAAAATCCCGTTTCCAACGAAGGCCACAAAGAGGTCCAAATATCCACTTGCAGATTCTGCAAAAAGAGTGTTTCCAAACTGCTCTATGAAAAGAAACGTTAAACTCTGTGAGTTGAACGCAAACATCACAAAGTAGTTTCTGAGAATGACTCCGTCTAGTTTTTATACGAAGATATTTCCTTTTCTACCATTCACTTCAAAGCGCTTGAAGTCTCCCCCTGAAAATTCCACAAAAAGTGTTTCCAATCTGCTCCGCCTAAAGGAAGCTTCAACTCTGTGAGTTGAATACCCACAACCCAAAGAAGTTACTGAGAATTCTTCTGTCTAGCACTATATGAAGAAATCCCGTTTCCAACGAAGGCCTCAAATACATCCAAATATCCAGTTGCTGACTTTACAAACTGAGTGTTTCCAAACTGCTCTATGAAAAGAAAGGTTAAACACTGTGAGTTGAACACACACGTACCAAAGTAGTTTCTGAGAATGATTCTGTCTAGTTTGCATACGAAGATATTTCCTTTTCTACCATTGGCCTCAAAGCTCTGAAATCTCCACTTGCAAATTCCACAAAAAGAGAGTTTCAAATCTGCTGTTTCTAAAGGAAAGTTCAACTCTGAGAGTTGAATACACACCAGAAAAAGCAGTTACTGAGAAGTCTTCTGTCTAGCATTATATGAAGAAATCCCATTTCCAACGAAGACTTCAAAGAGGTCCAAATATCCACTTGCAGATTCTGCAAAAAGAGTGTTTCGAAACAACTGTATGAAAAGAAAGGTTAAACACTGTGAGTTGAACGCACACATTGCAAAGCGGTTTCTGAGAATGATTCCGTCTAATTATTATACGAAGGTATTTCCTTTTCTATCATTGGCCTCAAAGCGCTTGATACCTCCACCTGAAAATTCCACAAAAAGAGTGTTTCCAATCTACTCTGTCTAAAGGAACGTTCAACTCTGTGAGTTGAATACACACACACAGAAAGAATTCACTGAGAATTCTTCTGTCTGGCATTACATGAAGAAATCCCGTTTCCAACGAAGGCCTCAAAGAGGTCCAAATATCCACTTGCAGATTCTGCAAAAAGAGTGTTTCAAAACCGCTCCATTAAAAGGAATGTTGAACTCTGTGAGTTGAATGCAAACATCACAACTCAGTTTCTGAGAATGCTTCTGACTAGATTTTATGGTAAGATATTTCCTTTTCTACCGTAGGCTTCAATGCCCTCTAAATACACCCTTGCAAATTCTACAAAGAGACTGTTTCATAACTGCTCTATAGGAAGAAAGGTTGAACTCTGTGAGTTGAATGCAGAGATCACAACTTGGTTTCTGCGAATGATTCTTTGCAGTTTTTACATGAAGCTATTTCGTTGTCTACCGTAGGCTTCAAAAGCACTCAAAGTATTCACTTGGAACTTTTACAAAAAGAGTGTTAGAAAACTGCTCTTTCCGAAGTAAGGTTCAACTCTGTGAGTTGAATGCACACATAACAAACAAGAAGTTTCTGAGAATTCTTCTGTCCTGGTTTATATGAACAAATCCCGTTTCCAACGAAGGCCTCAAAGACGTTTAAATATCCACTTGCAGACTTCACAAACAGAGTGTTTCCAAACTGCTCTATGAAAAGAAAGGTTAAACTTCTGTGAGTTGAACGCACACATCACAAAGTAGTTTCTGAGAATGATAACTGTCTAGTTTTTATACGAAGATATTTCCTTTCTACCATTGGCGTCAAAGCGCTAGAATTCTCCACTTGCAAATTCCACAAAAAGAGTGTTTCCAACCTGCTCTGTCTAAAGGAAGGTTCAACTCTGTGAGTTGAATACACACACACAAAGAAGCTACTGAGAATTCTTTTTTCAAGAAATTATAAGAAGAAATCCCGTTTCCAACGAAGGCCTCAAAGAGTTCCAAATATCCACTTGCACACTGCACAAACTAAGTCTTTCCAAACTGCTCTATGCAAAGAAATGTTCAACTCTGTGAGTTTAATACACACATCACAAAGCAGTTTCTGAGAATGATACTGTCTAGTTTTTATACGAAGATATTTCCTTTTGTACCATTGGCCTCATACTGCTAGGAATTTTCCACTTGCAAATTCCACAAAAAGAGTGTTTCCAATCCGCTCTGTCTAAAGGAAGGTTCAACTCTCTGATTTGAATACATACATCCCAAAAGAAGTTACTGAGAATTCTTCTGTCTAGCATTATGTGAAGAAATCCCGTTTCCAACGAAAGCCTCAAAGAGGTCCAAATATCCAGTTGCAGAATTTACAAACTGACTGTTTCCAAACTCATCTATGAAAAGAAAGGTTAAACTCTGTGAGTTGAATGCACATATCACAAAGTAGTTCCTGAGAATGATTCTGTCTAGTTTTCATACGAAGATATTTCCTTTTCCACCAATGGCCTCAAAGTGCTTGAAATCTCCCCTTGCAAATTCCACAGACAAGTGTTTCAAATCTGCACTGTCTAAAGGAAGGTTCAACCCTGTGAGTTGAATACACACACACAGAAAAAAATTCACTGAGAATTCTATTGTCTATCATTACACGAAGAAATCCCGTTTACTACGAAGGCCTCAAAGAGGTCCAAATATCCAGCTGCAGACATTACAAACTGAGTGTTTCCAAAGTGCTCTATGAAAAGAAGTGTTAAACACTGTGAGTTCAATGCACACATCCCAAAGCAGTTTCTGAGAATGATTCCGTCTATTTTTTCTACGAAGTTATTTCCTTTTCTGCCGTTGGCCTCAAAGCGCTTGAAATCTCCACTTGCAAATTCCACAAAAAGAGAGTTTCAAATCTGCTCTGTCTAAAGGAAGGTTCAACTCTGTGAGTTGAATACACACCACAAAAAGAAGTTACTGAGAATTCTTCTGTCTAGCATTATATGAAAAATCCCGTTTCCAACGAAGGCCACAAAGAGGTCCAAATATCCACTTGCAGATTCTGCAAAAAGAGTGTTTCCAAACTGCTCTATGAAAAGAAACGTTAAACTCTGTGAGTTGAACGCAAACATCACAAAGTAGTTTCTGAGAATGACTCCGTCTAGTTTTTATACGAAGATATTTCCTTTCCTACCATTCACTTCAAAGCGCTTGAAGTCTCCCCCTGAAAATTCCACAAAAAGTGTTTCCAATCTGCTCCGCCTAAAGGAAGCTTCAACTCTGTGACTTGAATACCCACAACCCAAAGAAGTTACTGAGAATTCTTCTGTCTAGCATTATATGAAGAAATCCCGTTTCCAACGAAGGCCTCAAATACATCCAAATATCCAGTTGCTGACTTTACAAACTGAGTGTTTCCAAACTGCTCTATGAAAAGAAAGGTTAAACACTGTGAGTTGAACACACACGTACCAAAGTAGTTTCTGAGAATGATTCTGTCTAGTTTGCATACGAAGATATTTCCTTTTCTACCATTGGCCTCAAAGCTCTGAAATCTCCACTTGCAAATTCCACAAAAAGAGAGTTTCAAATCTGCTGTTTCTAAAGGAAAGTTCAACTCTGAGAGTTGAATACACACCAGAAAAAGCAGTTACTGAGAAGTCTTCTGTCTAGCATTATATGAAGAAATCCCATTTCCAACGAAGACTTCAAAGAGGTCCAAATATCCACTTGCAGATTCTGCAAAAAGAGTGTTTCGAAACAACTGTATGAAAAGAAAGGTTAAACACTGTGAGTTGAACGCACACATTGCAAAGCGGTTTCTGAGAATGATTCCGTCTAATTATTATACGAAGGTATTTCCTTTTCTATCATTGGCCTCAAAGCGCTTGATACCTCCACCTGAAAATTCCACAAAAAGAGTGTTTCCAATCTACTCTGTCTAAAGGAACGTTCAACTCTGTGAGTTGAATACACACACACAGAAAGAATTCACTGAGAATTCTTCTGTCTGGCATTACATGAAGAAATCCCGTTTCCAACGAAGGCCTCAAAGAGGTCCAAATATCCACTTGCAGATTCTGCAAAAAAGAGTGTTTCAAAACCGCTCCATTAAAAGGAATGTTGAACTCTGTGAGTTGAATGCAAACATCACAACTCAGTTTCTGAGAATGCTTCTGACTAGATTTTATGGTAAGATATTTCCTTTTCTACCGTAGGCTTCAATGCCCTCTAAATACACCCTTGCAAATTCTACAAAGAGACTGTTTCATAACTGCTCTATAGGAAGAAAGGTTGAACTCTGTGAGTTGAATGCAGAGATCACAACGTGGTTTCTGCGAATGATTCTTTGTAGTTTTTACATGAAGATATTTCGTTGTCAACCGTAGGCTTCAAAGCACTCAAAGTATTCACTTGGAACTTTTACAAAACGAGTGTTAGGAAACTGCTCTTTCCAAAGTAAGGTTCAACTCTGTGAGTTGAATGCACACATAACAATCAAGAAGTTTCTGAGAATTCTTCTGTCCTGGTTTATATGAAAAAATCCCGTTTCCAACGAAGGCCTCAAAGACGTTTAAATATCCACTTGCAGACTTCACAAACAGAGGGTTTCCAAACTGCTCTATGAAAAGAAAGGTTAAACTCTGTGAGTTGAACGCACACATCACAAAGTAGCTTCTGAGAATGATACTGTCTAGTGTTTATACGAAGATATTTCCTTTCTACCATTGGCGTCAAAGCGCTAGAATTCTCCACTTGCAAATTCCACAAAAAGAGTGTTTCCAATCTGCTCTGTCTAAAGGAAGGTTCAACTCTGTGAGTTGAATACACACACACAAAGAAGCTACTGAGAATTCTTTTGTCAAGAATTATAAGAAGAAATCCCGTTTCCAACGAAGGCCTCAAAGAGTTCCAAATATCCACTTGCACACTGCACAAACTAAGTCTTTCCAAACTGCTCTATGCAAAGAAATGTTCAACTCTGTGAGTTTAATACACACATCACAAAGCAGTTTCTGAGAATGATACTGTCTAGTTTTTATACGAAGATATTTCCTTTTGTACCATTGGCCTCATACTGCTAGAATTTTCCACTTGCAAATTCCACAAAAAGAGTGTTTCCAATCCGCTCTGTCTAAAGGAAGGTTCAACTCTCTGATTTGAATACATACATCCCAAAAGAAGTTACTGAGAATTCTTCTGTCTAGCATTATGTGAAGAAATCCCGTTTCCAACGAAAGCCTCAAAGAGGTCCAAATATCCAGTTGCAGAATTTACAAACTGACTGTTTCCAAACTCATCTATGAAAAGAAAGGTTAAACTCTGGGAGTTGAATGCACATATCACAAAGTAGTTCCTGAGAATGATTCTGTCTAGTTTTCATACGAAGATATTTCCTTTTCCACCAATGGCCTCAAAGTGCTTGAAATCTCCCCTTGCAAATTCCACAGACAAGTGTCTCAAATCTGCACTGTCTAAAGGAAGGTTCAACCCTGTGAGTTGAATACACACACACTGAAAAAAATTCACTGAGAATTCTATTGTCTATCATTACACGAAGAAATCCCGTTTACTACGAAGGCCTCAAAGAGGTCCAAATATCCAGCTGCAGACATTACAACCTGAGTGTTTCCAAAGTGCTCTATGAAAAGAAGTGTTAAACACTGTGAGTTCAATGCACACATCCCAAAGCAGTTTCTGAGAATGATTCCGTCTATTTTTTCTACGAAGATATTTCCTTTTCTGCCATTGGCCTCAAAGCGCTTGAAATCTCCACTTGCAAATTCCACAAAAAGAGAGTTTCAAATCTGCTCTGTCTAAAGGAAGGTTCAACTCTGTGAGTTGAATACACACCACAAAAAGAAGTTACTGAGAATTCTTCTGTCTAGCATTATATGAAAAATCCCGTTTCCAACGAAGGCCACAAAGAGGTCCAAATATCCACTTGCAGATTCTGCAAAAAGAGTGTTTCCAAACTGCTCTATGAAAAGAAACGTTAAACTCTGTGAGTTGAACGCAAACATCACAAAGTAGTTTCTGAGAATGACTCCGTCTAGTTTTTATACGAAGATATTTCCTTTCCTACCATTCACTTCAAAGCGCTTGAAGTCTCCCCCTGAAAATTCCACAAAAAGTGTTTCCAATCTGCTCCGCCTAAAGGAAGCTTCAACTCTGTGAGTTGAATACCCACAACCCAAAGAAGTTACTGAGAATTCTTCTGTCTAGCATTATATGAAGAAATCCCGTTTCCAACGAAGGCCTCAAATACATCCAAATATCCAGTTGCTGACTTTACAAACTGAGTGTTTCCAAACTGCTCTATGAAAAGAAAGGTTAAACACTGTGAGTTGAACACACACGTACCAAAGTAGTTTCTGAGAATGATTCTGTCTAGTTTGCATACGAAGATATTTCCTTTTCTACCATTGGCCTCAAAGCTCTGAAATCTCCACTTGCAAATTCCACAAAAAGAGAGTTTCAAATCTGCTGTTTCTAAAGGAAAGTTCAACTCTGAGAGTTGAATACACACCAGAAAAAGCAGTTACTGAGAAGTCTTCTGTCTAGCATTATATGAAGAAATCCCATTTCCAACGAAGACTTCAAAGAGGTCCAAATATCCACTTGCAGATTCTGCAAAAAGAGTGTTTCGAAACAACTGTATGAAAAGAAAGGTTAAACACTGTGAGTTGAACGCACACATTGCAAAGCAGTTTCTGAGAATGATTCCGTCTAATTATTATACGAAGGTATTTCCTTTTCTATCATTGGCCTCAAAGCGCTTGATACCTCCACCTGAAAATTCCACAAAAAGAGTGTTTCCAATCTACTCTGTCTAAAGGAACGTTCAACTCTGTGAGTTGAATACACACACACAGAAAGAATTCACTGAGAATTCTTCTGTCTGGCATTACATGAAGAAATCCCGTTTCCAACGAAGGCCTCAAAGAGGTCCAAATATCCACTTGCAGATTCTGCAAAAAGAGTGTTTCAAAACCGCTCCATTAAAAGGAATGTTGAACTCTGTGAGTTGAATGCAAACATCACAACTCAGTTTCTGAGAATGCTTCTGACTAGATTTTATGGTAAGATATTTCCTTTTCTACCGTAGGCTTCAATGCCCTCTAAATACACCCTTGCAAATTCTACAAAGAGACTGTTTCATAACTGCTCTATAGGAAGAAAGGTTCAACTCTGTGAGTTGAATGCAGAGATCACAACGTGGTTTCTCCGAATGATTCTTTGTAGTTTTTACATGAAGATATTTCGTTGTCAACCGTAGGCTTCAAAGCACTCAAAGTATTCACTTGGAACTTTTACAAAAAGAGTGTTAGAAAACTGCTCTTTCCAAAGTAAGGTTCAACTCTGTGAGTTGAATGCACACATAACAATCAAGAAGTTTCTGAGAATTCTTCTGTCCTGGTTTATATGAAAAAATCCCGTTTCCAACGAAGGCCTCAAAGACGTTTAAATATCCACTTGCAGACTTCACAAACAGAGGGTTTCCAAACTGCTCTATGAAAAGAAAGGTTAAACTCTGTGAGTTGAACGCACACATCACAAAGTAGCTTCTGAGAATGATACTGTCTAGTTTGCATACGAAGATATTTCCTTTCTACCATTGGCGTCAAAGCGCTAGAATTCTCCACTTGCAAATTCCACAAAAAGAGTGTTTCCAATCTGCTCTGTCTAAAGGAAGGTTCAACTCTGTGAGTTGAATACACACACACAAAGAAGCTACTGAGAATTCTTTTGTCAAGAATTATAAGAAGAAATCCCGTTTCCAACGAAGGCCTCAAAGAGTTCCAAATATCCACTTGCACACTGCACAAACTAAGTCTTTCCAAACTGCTCTATGCAAAGAAATGTTCAACTCTGTGAGTTTAATACACACATCACAAAGCAGTTTCTGAGAATGATACTGTCTAGTTTTTATACGAAGATATTTCCTTTTGTACCATTGGCCTCATACTGCTAGAATTTTCCACTTGCAAATTCCACAAAAAGAGTGTTTCCAATCCGCTCTGTCTAAAGGAAGGTTCAACTCTCTGATTTGAATACATACATCCCAAAAGAAGTTACTGAGAATTCTTCTGTCTAGCATTATGTGAAGAAATCCCGTTTCCAACGAAAGCCTCAAAGAGGTCCAAATATCCAGTTGCAGAATTTACAAACTGACTGTTTCCAAACTCATCTATGAAAAGAAAGGTTAAACTCTGTGAGTTGAATGCACATATCACAAAGTAGTTCCTGAGAATGATTCTGTCTAGTTTTCATACGAAGATATTTCCTTTTCCACCAATGGCCTCAAAGTGCTTGAAATCTCCCCTTGCAAATTCCACAGACAAGTGTTTCAAATCTGCACTGTCTAAAGGAAGGTTCAACCCTGTGAGTTGAATACACACACACAGAAACAAATTCACTGAGAATTCTATTGTCTATCATTACACGAAGAAATCCCGTTTACTACGAAGGCCTCAAAGAGGTCCAAATATCCAGCTGCAGACATTACAAACTGAGTGTTTCCAAAGTGCTCTATGAAAAGAAGTGTTAAACACTGTGAGTTCAATGCACACATCCCAAAGCAGTTTCTGAGAATGATTCCGTCTATTTTTTCTACGAAGATATTTCCTTTTCTGCCGTTGGCCTCAAAGCGCTTGAAATCTCCACTTGCAAATTCCACAAAAAGAGAGTTTCAAATCTGCTCTGTCTAAAGGAAGGTTCAACTCTGTGAGTTGAATACACACCACAAAAAGAAGTTACTGAGAATTCTTCTGTCTAGCATTATATGAAAAATCCCGTTTCCAACGAAGGCCACAAAGAGGTCCAAATATCCACTTGCAGATTCTGCAAAAAGAGTGTTTCCAAACTGCTCTATGAAAAGAAACGTTAAACTCTGTGAGTTGAACGCAAACATCACAAAGTAGTTTCTGAGAATGACTCCGTCTAGTTTTTATACGAAGATATTTCCTTTCCTACCATTCACTTCAAAGCGCTTGAAGTCTCCCCCTGAAAATTCCACAAAAAGTGTTTCCAATCTGCTCCGCCTAAAGGAAGCTTCAACTCTGTGAGTTGAATACCCACAACCCAAAGAAGTTACTGAGAATTCTTCTGTCTAGCATTATATGAAGAAATCCCGTTTCCAACGAAGGCCTCAAATACATCCAAATATCCAGTTGCTGACTTTACAAACTGAGTGTTTCCAAACTGCTCTATGAAAAGAAAGGTTAAACACGGTGAGTTGAACACACACGTACCAAAGTAGTTTCTGAGAATGATTCTGTCTAGTTTGCATACGAAGATATTTCCTTTTCTACCATTGGCCTCAAAGCTCTGAAATCTCCACTTGCAAATTCCACAAAAAGAGAGTTTCAAATCTGCTGTTTCTAAAGGAAAGTTCAACTCTGAGAGTTGAATACACACCAGAAAAAGCAGTTACTGAGAAGTCTTCTGTCTAGCATTATATGAAGAAATCCCATTTCCAACGAAGACTTCAAAGAGGTCCAAATATCCACTTGCAGATTCTGCAAAAAGAGTGTTTCGAAACAACTGTATGAAAAGAAAGGTTAAACACTGTGAGTTGAACGCACACATTGCAAAGCGGTTTCTGAGAATGATTCCGTCTAATTATTATACGAAGGTATTTCCTTTTCTATCATTGGCCTCAAAGCGCTTGATACCTCCACCTGAAAATTCCACAAAAAGAGTGTTTCCAATCTACTCTGTCTAAAGGAACGTTCAACTCTGTGAGTTGAATACACACACACAGAAAGAATTCACTGAGAATTCTTCTGTCTGGCATTACATGAAGAAATCCCGTTTCCAACGAAGGCCTCAAAGAGGTCCAAATATCCACTTGCAGATTCTGCAAAAAGAGTGTTTCAAAACCGCTCCATTAAAAGGAATGTTGAACTCTGTGAGTTGAATGCAAACGTCACAACTCAGTTTCTGAGAATGCTTCTGACTAGATTTTATGGTAAGATATTTCCTTTTCCACCGTAGGCTTCAATGCCCTGTAAATACACCCTTGCAAATTCTACAAAGAGACTGTTTCATAACTGCTCTATAGGACGAAAGGTTCAACTCTGTGAGTTGAATGCAGAGATCACAACGTGGTTTCTGCGAATGATTCTTTGTAGTTTTTACATGAAGATATTTCGTTGTCTACCGTAGGCTTCAAAGCACTCAAAGTATTCACTTGGAACTTTTACAAAAAGAGTGTTAGAAAATTGCTCTTTCCAAGGTAAGGTTCAACTCTGTGAGTTGAATGCACACATAACAAACAAGAAGTTTCTGAGAATTCTTCTGTCCTGGTTTATATGAAGAAATCACGTTTCCAACGAAGGCCTCAAAGACGTTTAAATATCCACTTGCAGACTTCACAAACAGAGTGTTTCCAAACTGCTCTATGAAAAGAAAGGGTAAACACTGTGAGTTGAACGCACACATCACAAAGTAGTTTCTGAGAATGATACTGTCTAGTTTTTATACGAAGATATTTCCTTTTGTACCATTGGCCTCATACTGCTAGAATTTTCCACTTGCAAATTCCACAAAAAGAGTGTTTCCAATCTGCTCTGTCTAAAGGAAGGTTCAACTCTGTGAGTTGAGTACACACACACAAAGAAGCTACTGAGAATTCTTTTGTCAAGAATTATAAGAAGAAATCCCGTTTCCAACCAAGGCCTCAAAGAGTTCCAAATATCCACTTGCACACTGCACAAACTAAGTCTTTCCATACTGCTCTATGCAAAGAAATGTTCAACTCTGTGAGTTTAATACACACATCACAAAGCAGTTTCTGAGAATGATACTGTCTAGTTTTTATACGAAGATATTTCCTTTTGTACCATTGGCCTCATACTGCTAGAATTTTCCACTTGCAAATTCCACAAAAAGAGTGTTTCCAATCCGCTCTGTCTAAAGGAAGGTTCAACTCTCTGATTTGAATACATACATCCCAAAAGAAGTTACTGAGAATTCTTCTGTCTAGCATTATGTGAAGAAATCCCGTTTCCAACGAAAGCCTCAAAGAGGCCCAAATATCCAGTTGCAGCATTTACAAACTGACTGTTTCCAAACTCATCTATGAAAAGAAAGGTTAAACTCTGTGAGTTGAATGCACATATCACAAAGTAGTTCCTGAGAATGATTCTGTCTAGTTTTTATACGAAGATATTTCCTTTTCCACCAATGGCCTCAAAGTGCTTGAAATCTCCCCTTGCAAATTCCACAGACAAGTGTCTCAAATCTGCACTGTCTAAAGGAAGGTTCAACCCTGTGAGTTGAATACACACACACAGAAAAAAATTCACTGAGAATTCTATTGTCTATCATTACACGAAGAAATCCCGTTTACTACGAAGGCCTCAAAGAGGTCCAAATATCCAGCTGCAGACATTACAAACTGAGTGTTTCCAAAGTGCTCTATGAAAAGAAGTGTTAAACACTGTGAGTTCAATGCACACATCCCAAAGCAGTTTCTGAGAATGATTCCGTCTATTTTTTCTACGAAGATATTTCCTTTTCTGCCGTTGGCCTCAAAGCGCTTGAAATCTCCACTTGCAAATTCCACAAAAAGAGAGTTTCAAATCTGCTCTGTCTAAAGGAAGGTTCAACTCTGTGAGTTGAATACACACCACAAAAAGAAGTTACTGAGAATTCTTCTGTCTAGCATTATATGAAAAATCCCGTTTCCAACGAAGGCCACAAAGAGGTCCAAATATCCACTTGCAGATTCTGCAAAAAGAGTGTTTCCAAACTGCTCTATGAAAAGAAACGTTAAACTCTGTGAGTTGAACGCAAACATCACAAAGTAGTTTCTGAGAATGACTCCGTCTAGTTTTTATACGAAGATATTTCCTTTCCTACCATTCACTTCAAAGCGCTTGAAGTCTCCCCCTGAAAATTCCACAAAAGTGTTTCCAATCTGCTCCGCCTAAAGGAAGCTTCAACTCTGTGACTTGAATACCCACAACCCAAAGAAGTTACTGAGAATTCTTCTGTCTAGCATTATATGAAGAAATCCCGTTTCCAACGAAGGCCTCAAATACATCCAAATATCCAGTTGCTGACTTTACAAACTGAGTGTTTCCAAACTGCTCTATGAAAAGAAAGGTTAAACACTGTGAGTTGAACACACACGTACCAAAGTAGTTTCTGAGAATGATTCTGTCTAGTTTGCATACGAAGATATTTCCTTTTCTACCATTGGCCTCAAAGCTCTGAAATCTCCACTTGCAAATTCCACAAAAAGAGAGTTTCAAATCTGCTGTTTCTAAAGGAAAGTTCAACTCTGAGAGTTGAATACACACCAGAAAAAGCAGTTACTGAGAAGTCTTCTGTCTAGCATTATATGAAGAAATCCCATTTCCAACGAAGACTTCAAAGAGGTCCAAATATCCACTTGCAGATTCTGCAAAAAGAGTGTTTCGAAACAACTGTATGAAAAGAAAGGTTAAACACTGTGAGTTGAACGCACACATTGCAAAGCGGTTTCTGAGAATGATTCCGTCTAATTATTATACGAAGGTATTTCCTTTTCTATCATTGGCCTCAAAGCGCTTGATACCTCCACCTGAAAATTCCACAAAAAGAGTGTTTCCAATCTACTCTGTCTAAAGGAACGTTCAACTCTGTGAGTTGAATACACACACACAGAAAGAATTCACTGAGAATTCTTCTGTCTGGCATTACATGAAGAAATCCCGTTTCCAACGAAGGCCTCAAAGAGGTCCAAATATCCACTTGCAGATTCTGCAAAAAGAGTGTTTCAAAACCGCTCCATTAAAAGGAATGTTGAACTCTGTGAGTTGAATGCAAACATCACAACTCAGTTTCTGAGAATGCTTCTGACTAGATTTTATGGTAAGATATTTCCTTTTCTACCGTAGGCTTCAATGCCCTCTAAATACACCCTTGCAAATTCTACAAAGAGACTGTTTCATAACTGCTCTATAGGAAGAAAGGTTGAACTCTGTGAGTTGAATGCAGAGATCACAACGTGGTTTCTGCGAATGATTCTTTGTAGTTTTTACATGAAGATATTTCGTTGTCAACCGTAGGCTTCAAAGCACTCAAAGTATTCACTTGGAACTTTTACAAAACGAGTGTTAGGAAACTGCTCTTTCCAAAGTAAGGTTCAACTCTGTGAGTTGAATGCACACATAACAATCAAGAAGTTTCTGAGAATTCTTCTGTCCTGGTTTATATGAAAAAATCCCGTTTCCAACGAAGGCCTCAAAGACGTTTAAATATCCACTTGCAGACTTCACAAACAGAGGGTTTCCAAACTGCTCTATGAAAAGAAAGGTTAAACTCTGTGAGTTTAATACACACATCACAAAGCAGTTTCTGAGAATGATACTGTCTAGTTTTTATACGAAGATATTTCCTTTTGTACCATTGGCCTCATACTGCTAGAATTTTCCACTTGCAAATTCCACAAAAAGAGTGTTTCCAATCTGCTCTGTCTAAAGGAAGGTTCAACTCTGTGAGTTGAATACACACACACAAAGAAGCTACTGAGAATTCTTTTTTCAAGAAATTATAAGAAGAAATCCCGTTTCCAACGAAGGCCTCAAAGAGTTCCAAATATCCACTTGCACACTGCACAAACTAAGTCTTTCCAAACTGCTCTATGCAAAGAAATGTTCAACTCTGTGAGTTTAATACACACATCACAAAGCAGTTTCTGAGAATGATACTGTCTAGTTTTTATACGAAGATATTTCCTTTTGTACCATTGGTCTCATACTGCTAGAATTTTCCACATGCAAATTCCACAAAAAGAGTGTTTCCAATCCGCTCTGTCTAAAGGAAGGTTCAACTCTCTGATTTGAATACATACATCCCAAAAGAAGTTACTGAGAATTCTTCTGTCTAGCATTATGTGAAGAAATCCCGTTTCCAACGAAAGCCTCAAAGAGGTCCAAATATCCAGTTGCAGAATTTACAAACTGACTGTTTCCAAACTCATCTATGAAAAGAAAGGTTAAACTCTGGGAGTTGAATGCACATATCACAAAGTAGTTCCTGAGAATGATTCTGTCTAGTTTTTATACGAAGATATTTCCTTTTCCACCAATGGCCTCAAAGTGCTTGAAATCTCCCCTTGCAAATTCCACAGACAAGTGTCTCAAATCTGCACTGTCTAAAGGAAGGTTCAACCCTGTGAGTTGAATACACACACACAGAAAAAAATTCACTGAGAATTCTATTGTCTATCATTACACGAAGAAATCCCGTTTACTACGAAGGCCTCAAAGAGGTCCAAATATCCAGCTGCAGACTTTAAAAACTGAGTGTTTCCAAAGTGCTCTATGAAAAGAAGTGTTAAACACTGTGAGTTCAATGCACACATCCCAAAGCAGTTTCTGAGAATGATTCCGTCTATTTTTTCTACGAAGATATTTCCTTTTCTACCGTTGGCCTCAAAGCGCTTGAAATCTCCACTTGCAAATTCCACGAAAAGAGAGTTTCAAATCTGCTCTGTCTAAAGGAAGGTTCAACTCTGTGAGTTGAATACACACCACAAAAAGAAGTTACTGAGAATTCTTCTGTCTAGCATTATATGAAAAATCCCGTTTCCAACGAAGGCCACAAAGAGGTCCAAATATCCACTTGCAGATTCTACAAAAAGAGTGTTTCCAAACTGCTCTATGAAAAGAAACGTTAAACTCTGTGAGTTGAACGCAAACATCACAAAGTAGTTTCTGAGAATGACTCCGTCTACTTTTTATACGAAGAATATTTCCTTTTCTACCATTCACTTCAAAGCGCTTGAAGTCTCCCCCTGAAAATTCCACAAAAAGTGTTTCCAATCTGCTCCGCCTAAAGGAAGCTTCAACTCTGTGAGTTGTATACCCACAACCCAAAGAAGTTACTGAGAATTCTTCTGTCTAGCATTACATGAAGAAATCCCGTTTCCAACGAAGGCCTCAAATACATCCAAATATCCAGTTGCTGACTTTACAAACTGAGTGTTTCCAAACTGCTCTATGAAAGGAAAGGTTAAACACTGTGAGTTGAACACACACGTACCAAAGTGGTTTCTGAGAATGATTCTGTCTCGTTTGCATACGAAGATATTTCCTTTTCTACCATTGGCCTCAAAGCTTTGAAATCTCCACTTGCAAATTCCACAAAATGAGAGTTTCAAATCTGCTGTTTCTAAAGGAAAGTTCAACTCTGAGAGTTGAATACACACCAGAAAAAGCAGTTACTGAGAATTCTTCTGTCTAGCATTATATGAAGAAATCCCATTTCCAACGAAGACTTCAAAGAGGTCCAAATATCCACTTGCAGATTCTGCAAAAAGAGTGTTTCGAAACAACTGTATGAAAAGAAAGGTTAAACGCTGTGAGTTGAAGGCACACATTGCAAAGCAGTTTCTGAGAATGATTCCGTCTAATTATTATACGAAGGTATTTCCTTTTCTATCATGGGCCGCAAAGCGCTTGATACCTCCACCTGAAAATTCCACAAAAAGAGTGTTTCCAATCTACTCTGTCTAAAGGAACGTTCAACTCTGTGAGTTGAATACACACACACAGAAAGAATTCACTGAGAGTTCTTCTGTCTGGCATTACATGAAGAAATCCCGTTTCCAACGAAGGCCTGAAAGAGGTCCAAATATCCACTTGCAGATTCTGCAAAAAGAGTGTTTCAAAACCGCTCTATGAAAAGGAATGTTGAACTCTGTGAGTTGAATGCAAACATCACAACTCAGTTTCTGAGAATGCTTCTGACTAGATTTTATGGTCAGATATTTCCTTTTCTACCGTAGGCCTCAATGCCCTCTAAATACACCCTTGCAAATTCTACAAAGGGACTGTTTAATAACTGCTCTATAGGAAGAAAGGTTGAACTATGTGAGTTGCATGCAGAGATCACAACGTGGTTTCGGCGAATGATTCTTTGTAGTTTTTACATGAAGATATTTCGTTGTCTACCGTAGGCTTCAAAGCACTCAAAGTATTCACTTGGAACTTTTACAAAAAGAGTGTTAGAAAACTGCTCTTTCCAAAGTAAGGTTCAACTCTGTGAGTTGAATGCACACATAACAAACAAGAAGTTTCTGAGAATTCTTCTGTCCTGGTTTATAGGAACAAATCCCGTTTCCAACAAAGGCCTCAAAGACGTTTAAATATCCACTTGCAGACTTCACAAACAGAGGGTTTCCAAACTGCTCTATGAAAAGAAAGGTTAAACTCTGTGAGTTGAACGCACACATCACAAAGTAGCTTCTGAGAATGATACTGTCTAGTTTTTATATGAACATATTTCCTTTCTACCATTGGCGTCAAAGCGCTAGAATTCTCCACTTGCAAATTCCACAAAAAGAGTGTTTCCAATCTGCTCTGTCTAAAGGAAGGTTCAACTCTGTGAGTTGAATACACACACACAAAGAAGCTACTGAGAATTCTTTTGTCAAGAATTATAAGAAGAAATCCCGTTTCCAACGAAGGCCTCAAAGAGTTCCAAATATCCACTTGCACACTGCACAAACTAAGTCTTTCCAAACTGCTCTATGCAAAGAAATGTTCAACTCTGTGAGTTTAATACACACATCACAAAGCAGTTTCTGAGAATGATACTGTCTAGTTTTTATACGAAGATATTTCCTTTTGTACCATTGGCCTCATACTGCTAGAATTTTCCACTTGCAAATTCCACAAAAAGAGTGTTTCCAATCCGCTCTGTCTAAAGGAAGGTTCAACTCTCTGATTTGAATACATACATCCCAAAAGAAGTTACTGAGAATTCTTCTGTCTAGCATTATGTGAAGAAATCCCGTTTCCAACGAAAGCCTCAAAGAGGTCCAAATATCCAGTTGCAGAATTTACAAACTGACTGTTTCCAAACTCATCTATGAAAAGAAAGGTTAAACTCTGTGAGTTGAATGCCCATATCACACAAGTAGTTCCTGAGAATGATTCCTGTCTAGTTTTTATATGAAGATATTTGCTTTTCCACCAATGGCCTCAAAGTGCTTGAAATCTCCCCTTGCAAATTCCACAGACAAGTGTTTCAAATCTGCACTGTCTAAAGGAAGGTTCAACCCTGTGAGTTGAATACACACACACAGAAACAAATTCACTGAGAATTCTATTGTCTATCATTACACGAAGAAATCCCGTTTACTACGAAGGCCTCAAAGAGGTCCAAATATCCAGCTGCAGACATTACAAACTGAGTGTTTCCCAAGTGCTCTATGAAAAGAAGTGTTAAACACTGTGAGTTCAATGCACACATCCCAAAGCAGTTTCTGAGAATGATTCCGTCTATTTTTTCTACGAAGATATTTCCTTTTCTGCCGTTGGCCTCAAAGCGCTTGAAATCTCCACTTGCAAATTCCACAAAAAGAGAGTTTCAAATCTGCTCTGTCTAAAGGAAGGTTCAACTCTGTGAGTTGAATACACACCACAAAAAGAAGTTACTGAGAATTCTTCTGTCTAGCATTATATGAAAAATCCCGTTTCCAACGAAGGCCACAAAGAGGTCCAAATATCCACTTGCAGATTCTGCAAAAAGAGTGTTTCCAAACTGCTCTATGAAAAGAAACGTTAAACTCTGTGAGTTGAACGCAAACATCACAAAGTAGTTTCTGAGAATGACTCCGTCTAGTTTTTATACGAAGATATTTCCTTTCCTACCATTCACTTCAAAGCGCTTGAAGTCTCCCCCTGAAAATTCCACAAAAAGTGTTTCCAATCTGCTCCGCCTAAAGGAAGCTTCAACTCTGTGACTTGAATACCCACAACCCAAAGAAGTTACTGAGAATTCTCTGTCTAGCATTATAGGAAGAAATCCCGTTTCCAACGAAGGCCTCAAATACATCCAGATATCCAGTTGCTGACTTTACAAACTGAGTGTTTCCAAACTGCTCTATGAAAGGAAAGGTTAAACACTGTGAGTTGAACACACACGTACCAAAGTAGTTTCTGAGAATGATTCTGTCTCGTTTGCATACGAAGATATTTCCTTTTCTACCATTGGCCTCAAAGCTTTGAAATCTCCACTTGCAAATTCCACAAAAAGAGAGTTTCAAATCTGCTGTTTCTAAAGGAAAGTTCAACTCTGAGAGTTGAATACATACCAGAAAAAGCAGTTACTGAGAAGTCTTCTGTCTAGCATTATATGAAGAAATCCCATTTCCAAAGAAGACTTCAAAGAGGTCCAAATATCCACTTGCAGGTTCTGCAAAAAGAGTGTTTCGAAACAACTGTATGAAAAGAAAGGTTAAACGCTGTGAGTTGAAGGCACACATTGCAAAGCAGTTTCTGAGAATGATTCCGTCTAATTATTATACGAAGGTATTTCCTTTTCTATCATGGGCCTCAAAGCGCTTGATACCTCCACCTGAAAATTCCACAAAAAGAGTGTTTCCAATCTACTCTGTCTAAAGGAACGTTCAACTCTGTGAGTTGAATACACACACACAGAAAGAATTCACTGAGAGTTCTTCTGTCTGGCATTACATGAAGAAATCCCGTTTCCAACGAAGGCCTCAAAGAGGTCCAAATATCCACTTGCAGATTCTGCAAAAAGAGTGTTTCAAAACCGCTCCATGAAAAGGAATGTTGAACTCTGTGAGTTGAATGCAAACATCACAACTCAGTTTCTGAGAATGCTTCTGACTAGATTTTATGGTAAGATATTTCCTTTTCTACCGAAGGCTTCAATGCCCTCTAAATACACCCTTGCAAATTCTACAAAGAGACTGTTTCATAACTGCTCTATAGGAAGAAAGGTTCAACTCTGTGAGTTGAATGCAGGGATCACAACGTGGTTTCTGCGAATGATTCTTTGTAGTTTTTACATGAAGATATTTCGTTGTCAACCGTAGGCTTCAAAGCACTCAAAGTATTCACTTGGAACTTTTACAAAAAGAGTGTTAGAAAACTGCTCCTTCCAAAGTAAGGTTCAACTCTGTGAGTTGAATGCACACATAACAATCAAGAAGTTTCTGAGAATTCTTCTGTCCTGGTTTATATGAAGAAATCCCGTTTCCAACGAAGGCCTCAAAGACGTTTAAATATCCACTTGCAGACTTCACAAACAGAGTGTTTCCAAACTGCTCTATGAAAAGAAAGGGTAAACACTGTGAGTTGAACGCACACCTCACAAAGTAGTTTACTGAGAATGATAACTGTCTAGTTTTTATACGAAGATATTTCCTTTCTACCATTGGCGTCAAAGCGCTAGAATTCTCCACGTGCAAATTCCACAAAAAGAGTGTTTCCAATCTGCTCTGTCTAAAGGAAGGTTCAACTCTGTGAGTTGAATACACACACACAAAGAAGCTATTGAGAATTCTTTTGTCAAGAATTATAAGAAGAAATCCCGTTTCCAACGAAGGCCTCAAAGAGTTCCAAATATCCACTTGCACACTGCACAAACTAAGTCTTTCCAAACTGCTCTATGCAAAGAAATGTTCAACTCTGTGAGTTTAATACACACATCACAAAGCAGTTTCTGAGAATGATACTGTCTAGTTTTTATACGAAGATATTTCCTTTTGTACCATTGGCCTCATACTGCTAGAATTTTCCACTTGCAAATTCCACAAAAAGAGTGTTTCCAATCCGCTCTGTCTAAAGGAAGGTTCAACTCTCTGATTTGAATACATACATCCCAAAAGAAGTTACTGAGAATTCTTCTGTCTAGCATTATGTGAAGAAATCCCGTTTCCAACGAAAGCCTCAAAGAGGTCCAAATATCCAGTTGCAGAATTTACAAACTGACTGTTTCCAAACTCATCTATGAAAAGAAAGGTTAAACTCTGTGAGTTGAATGCACATATCACAAAGTAGTTCCTGAGAATGATTCTGTCTAGTTTTAATACGAAGATATTTCCTTTTCCACCAATGGCCTCAAAGTGCTTGAAATCTCCCCTTGCAAATTCCACAGACAAGTGTTTCAAATCTGCACTGTCTAAAGGAAGGTTCAACACTGTGAGTTGAATACACACACACAGAAAAAAATTCACTGAGAATTCTATTGTCTATCATTACACGAAGAAATCCCGTTTACTACGAAGGCCTCAAAGAGGTCCAAATATCCAGCTGCAGACATTACAAACTGAGTGTTTCCAAAGTGCTCTATGAAAAGAAGTGTTAAACACTGTGAGTTCAATGCACACATCCCAAAGCAGTTTCTGAGAATGATTCCGTCTATTTTTTCTACGAAGATATTTCCTTTTCTACCGTTGGCCTCAAAGCGCTTGAAATCTCCACTTGCAAATTCCACAAAAAGAGAGTTTCAAATCTGCTCTGTCTAAAGGAAGGTTCAACTCTGTGAGTTGAATACACACCACAAAAAGAAGTTACTGAGAATTCTTCTGTCTAGCATTATATGAAAAATCCCGTTTCTAACGAAGGCCACAAAGAGGTCCAAATATCCACTTGCAGATTCTGCAAAAAGAGTGTTTCCAAACTGCTCTATGAAAAGAAACGTTAAACTCTGTGAGTTGAACGCAAACATCACAAAGTAGTTTCTGAGAATGACTCCGTCTAGTTTTTATACGAAGATATTTCCTTTCCTACCATTCACTTCAAAGCGCTTGAAGTCTCCCCCTGAAAATTCCACAAAAAGTGTTTCCAATCTGCTCCGCCTAAAGGAAGCTTCAACTCTGTGAGTTGAATACCCACAACCCAAAGAAGTTACTGAGAATTCTTCTGTCTAGCACTATATGAAGAAATCCCGTTTCCAACGAAGGCCTCAAATACATCCAAATATCCAGTTGCTGACTTTACAAACTGAGTGTTTCCAAACTGCTCTATGAAAAGAAAGGTTAAACACTGTGAGTTGAACACACACGTACCAAAGTAGTTTCTGAGAATGATTCTGTCTAGTTTGCATACGAAGATATTTCCTTTTCTACCATTGGCCTCAAAGCTTTGAAATCTCCACTTGCAAATTCCACAAAAAGAGAGTTTCAACTCTGCTGTTTCTAAAGGAAAGTTCAACTCTGAGAGTTGAATACACACCAGAAAAAGCAGTTACTGAGAAGTCTTCTGTCTAGCATTATATGAAGAAATCCCATTTCCAACGAAGACTTCAAAGAGGTCCAAATATCCACTTGCAGATTCTGCAAAAAGAGTGTTTCGAAACAACTGTATGAAAAGAAAGGTTAAACACTGTGAGTTGAACGCACACATTGCAAAGCAGTTTCTGAGAATGATTCCGTCTAATTATTATACGAAGGTATTTCCTTTTCTATCATTGGCCTCAAAGCGCTTGATACCTCCACCTGAAAATTCCATAAAAAGAGTGTTTCCAATCTACTCTGTCTAAAGGAACGTTCAACTCTGTGAGTTGAATACACACACACAGAAAGAATTCACTGAGAATTCTTCTGTCTGGCATTACATGAAGAAATCCCGTTTTCAACGAAGGCCTCAAAGAGGTCCAAATATCCACTTGCAGATTCTGCAAAAAGAGTGTTTCAAAACCGCTCCATGAAAAGGAATGTTGAACTCTGTGAGTTGAATGCAAACATCACAACTCAGTTTCTGAGAATGCTTCTGACTAGATTTTATGGTAAGATATTTCCTTTTCTACCGTAGGCTTCAATGCCCTCTAAATACACCCTTGCAAATTCTACAAAGAGACTGTTTCATAACTGCTCTATAGGAAGAAAGGTTGAACTCTGTGAGTTGAATGCAGAGATCACAACGTGGTTTCTGCGAATGATTCTTTGTAGTTTTTACATGAAGATATTTCGTTGTCAACCGTAGGCTTCAAAGCACTCAAAGTATTCACTTGGAACTTTTACAAAAAGAGTATTAGAAAACTGCTCTTTCCAAAGTAAGGTTCAACTCTTTGAGTTGAATGCACACATAACAATCAAGAAGTTTCTGAGAATTCTTCTGTCCTGTTTTATATGAAAAAATCCCGTTTCCAACGAAGGCCTCAAAGACGTTTAAATATCCACTTGCAGACTTCACAAACAGAGGGTTTCCAAACTGCTCTATGAAAAGAAAGGTTAAACTCTGTGAGTTGAACGCACACATCACAAAGTAGCTTCTGAGAATGATACTGTCTAGTTTTTATACGAAGATATTTCCTTTCTACCATTGGCGTCAAAGCGCTAGAATTCTCCACTTGCAAATTCCACAAAAAGAGTGTTTCCAATCTGCTCTGTCTAAAGGAAGGTTCAACTCTGTGAGTTGAATACACACACACAAAGAAGCTACTGAGAATTCTTTTGTCAAGAATTATAAGAAGAAATCCCGTTTCCAACGAAGGCCTCAAAGAGTTCCAAATATCCACTTGCACACTGCACAAACTAAGTCTTTCCAAACTGCTCTATGCAAAGAAATGTTCAACTCTGTGAGTTTAATACACACATCACAAAGCAGTTTCTGAGAACGATACTGTCTAGTTTTTATACGAAGATATTTCCTTTTGTACCATTGGCCTCATACTGCTAGAATTTTCCACTTGCAAATTCCACAAAAAGAGTGTTTCCAATCCGCTCTGTCTAAAGGAAGGTTCAACTCTCTGATTTGAATACATACATCCCAAAAGAAGTTACTGAGAATTCTTCTGTCTAGCATTATGTGAAGAAATCCCGTTTCCAACGAAAGCCTCAAAGAGGTCCAAATATCCAGTTGCAGAATTTACAAACTGACTGTTTCCAAACTCATCTATGAAAAGAAAGGTTAAACTCTGTGAGTTGAATGCACATATCACAAAATAGTTCCTGAGAATGATTCTGTCTAGTTTTCATACGAAGATATTTCCTTTTCCACCAATGGCCTCAAAGTGCTTGAAATCTCCCCTTGCAAATTCCACAGACAAGTGTTTCAAATCTGCACTGTCTAAAGGAAGGTTCAACCCTGTGAGTTGAATACACACACACAGAAACAAATTCACTGAGAATTCTATTGTCTATCATTACACGAAGAAATCCCGTTTACTACGAAGCCTCAAAGAGGTCCAAATATCCAGCTGCAGACATTACAAACTGAGTGTTTCCAAAGTGCTCTATGAAAAGAAGTGTTAAACACTGTGAGTTCAATGCACACATCCCAAAGCAGTTTCTGAGAATGATTCCGTCTATTTTTTCTACGAAGATATTTCCTTTTCTGCCGTTGGCCTCAAAGCGCTTGAAATCTCCACTTGCAAATTCCACAAAAAGAGAGTTTCAAATCTGCTCTGTCTAAAGGAAGGTTCAACTCTGTGAGTTGAATACACACCACAAAAAGAAGTTACTGAGAATTCTTCTGTCTAGCATTATATGAAAAATCCCGTTTCCAACGAAGGCCACAAAGAGGTCCAAATATCCACTTGCAGATTCTGCAAAAAGAGTGTTTCCAAACTGCTCTATGAAAAGAAACGTTAAACTCTGTGAGTTGAACGCAAACATCACAAAGTAGTTTCTGAGAATGACTCCGTCTAGTTTTTATACGAAGATATTTCCTTTCCTACCATTCACTTCAAAGCGCTTGAAGTCTCCACCTGAAAATTCCACAAAAAGTGTTTCCAATCTGCTCCGCCTAAAGGAAGCTTCAACTCTGTGAGTTGAATACCCACAACCCAAAGAAGTTACTGAGAATTCTTCTGTCTAGCATTATATGAAGAAATCCCGTTTCCAACGAAGGCCTCAAATACATCCAAATATCCAGTTGCTGACTTTACAAACTGAGTGTTTCCAAACTGCTCTATGAAAAGAAAGGTTAAACACTGTGAGTTGAACACACACGTACCAAAGTAGTTTCTGAGAATGATTCTGTCTAGTTTGCATACGAAGATATTTCCTTTTCTACCAGTGGCCTCAAAGCTCTGAAATCTCCACTTGCAAATTCCACAAAAAGAGAGTTTCAAATCTGCTGTTTCTAAAGGAAAGTTCAACTCGGAGAGTTGAATACACACCAGAAAAAGCAGTTACTGAGAAGTCTTCTGTCTAGCATTATATGAAGAAATCCCATTTCCAACGAAGACTTCAAAGAGGTCCAAATAGCCACTTGCAGATTCTGCAAAAAGAGTGTTTCGAAACAACTGTATGAAAAGAAAGGTTAAAGACTGTGAGTTGAACGCACACATTGCAAAGCAGTTTCTGAGAATGATTCCGTCTAATTATTATACGAAGGTATTTCCTTTTCTATCATTGGCCTCAAAGCGCTTGATACCTCCACCTGAAAATTCCACAAAAAGAGTGTTTCCAATCTACTCTGTCTAAAGGAACGTTCAACTCTGTGAGTTGAATACACACACACAGAAAGAATTCACTGAGAATTCTTCTGTCTGGCATTACATGAAGAAATCCCGTTTCCAACGAAGGCCTCAAAGAGGTCCAAATATCCACTTGCAGATTCTGCAAAAAGAGTGTTTCAAAACCGCTCCATTAAAAGGAATGTTGAACTCTGTGAGTTGAATGCAAACATCACAACTCAGTTGCTGAGAATGCTTCTGACTAGATTTTATGGTAAGATATTTCCTTTTCTACCGTAGGCTTCAATGCCCTCTAAATACACCCTTGCAAATTCTACAAAGAGACTGTTTCATAACTGCTCTATAGGAAGAAAGGTTCAACTCTGTGAGCTGAATGCAGAGATCACAACGTGGTTTCTGCGAATGATTCTTTGTAGTTTTTACATGAAGATATTTCGTTGTCAACCGTAGGCTTCAAAGCACTCAAAGTATTCACTTGGAACTTTTACAAAAAGAGTGTTAGAAAACTGCTCTTTCCAAAGTAAGGTTCAACTCTGTGAGTTGAATGCACACATAACAAAGAAGAAGTTTCTGAGAATTCTTCTGTCCTGGTTTATATGAAAAAATCCCGTTTCCAACGAAGGCCTCAAAGACGTTTAAATATCCACTTGCAGACTTCACAAACAGAGGGTTTCCAAACTGCTCTATGAAAAGAAAGGTTAAACTCTGTGAGTTGAACGCACACATCACAAAGTAGCTTCTGAGAATGATACTGTCTAGTTTTTATACGAAGATATTTCCTTTCTACCATTGGCGTCAAAGCGCTAGAATTCTCCACTTGCAAATTCCACAAAAAGAGTGTTTCCAATCTGCTCTGTCTAAAGGAAGGTTCAACTCTGTGAGTTGAATACACACACACAAAGAAGCTACTGAGAATTCTTTTGTCAAGAATTATAAGAAGAAATCCCGTTTCCAACGAAGGCCTCAAAGAGTTCCAAATATCCACTTGCACACTGCACAAACTAAGTCTTTCCAAACTGCTCTATGCAAAGAAATGTTCAACTCTGTGAGTTTAATACACACATCACAAAGCAGTTTCTGAGAATGATACTGTCTAGTTTTTATACGAAGATATTTCCTTTTGTACCATTGGCCTCATACTGCTAGAATTTTCCACTTGCAAATTCCACAAAAAGAGTGTTTCCAATCCGCTCTGTCTAAAGGAAGGTTCAACTCTCTGATTTGAATACATACATCCCAAAAGAAGTTACTGAGAATTCTTCTGTCTAGCATTATGTGAAGAAATCCCGTTTCCAACGAAAGCCTCAAAGAGGCCCAAATATCCAGTTGCAGAATTTACAAACTGACTGTTTCCAAACTCATCTATGAAAAGAAAGGTTAAACTCTGTGAGTTGAATGCACATATCACAAAGTAGTTCCTGAGAATGATTCTGTCTAGTTTTTATACGAAGATATTTCCTTTTCCACCAATGGCCTCAAAGTGCTTGAAATCTCCCCTTGCAAATTCCACAGACAAGTGTCTCAAATCTGCACTGTCTAAAGGAAGGTTCAACCCTGTGAGTTGAATACACACACACAGAAAAAAATTCACTGAGAATTCTATTGTCTATCATTACACGAAGAAATCCCGTTTACTACGAAGGCCTCAAAGAGGTCCAAATATCCAGCTGCAGACATTACAAACTGAGTGTTTCCAAAGTGCTCTATGAAAAGAAGTGTTAAACACTGTGAGTTCAATGCACACATCCCAAAGCAGTTTCTGAGAATGATTCCGTCTATTTTTTCTACGAAGATATTTCCTTTTCTACCGTTGGCCTCAAAGCGCTTGAAATCTCCACTTGCAAATTCCACAAAAAGAGAGTTTCAAATCTGCTCTGTCTAAAGGAAGGTTCAACTCTGTGAGTTGAATACACACCACAAAAAGAAGTTACTGAGAATTCTTCTGTCTAGCATTATATGAAAAATCCCGTTTCCAACGAAGGCCACAAAGAGGTCCAAATATCCACTTGCAGATTCTGCAAAAAGAGTGTTTCCAAACTGCTCTATGAAAAGAAACGTTAAACTCTGTGAGTTGAACGCAAACATCACAAAGTAGTTTCTGAGAATGACTCCGTCTAGTTTTTATACGAAGATATTTCCTTTCCTACCATTCACTTCAAAGCGCTTGAAGTCTCCCCCTGAAAATTCCACAAAAAGTGTTTCCAATCTGCTCCGCCTAAAGGAAGCTTCAACTCTGTGACTTGAATACCCACAACCCAAAGAAGTTACTGAGAATTCTTCTGTCTAGCATTATATGAAGAAATCCCGTTTCCAACGAAGGCCTCAAATACATCCAAATATCCAGTTGCTGACTTTACAAACTGAGTGTTTCCAAACTGCTCTATGAAAAGAAAGGTTAAACACTGTGAGTTGAACACACACGTACCAAAGTAGTTTCTGAGAATGATTCTGTCTAGTTTGCATACGAAGATATTTCCTTTTCTACCATTGGCCTCAAAGCTCTGAAATCTCCACTTGCAAATTCCACAAAAAGAGAGTTTCAAATCTGCTGTTTCTAAAGGAAAGTTCAACTCTGAGAGTTGAATACACACCAGAAAAAGCAGTTACTGAGAAGTCTTCTGTCTAGCATTATATGAAGAAATCCCATTTCCAACGAAGACTTCAAAGAGGTCCAAATATCCACTTGCAGATTCTGCAAAAAGAGTGTTTCGAAACAACTGTATGAAAAGAAAGGTTAAACACTGTGAGTTGAACGCACACATTGCAAAGCGGTTTCTGAGAATGATTCCGTCTAATTATTATACGAAGGTATTTCCTTTTCTATCATTGGCCTCAAAGCGCTTGATACCTCCACCTGAAAATTCCACAAAAAGAGTGTTTCCAATCTACTCTGTCTAAAGGAACGTTCAACTCTGTGAGTTGAATACACACACACAGAAAGAATTCACTGAGAATTCTTCTGTCTGGCATTACATGAAGAAATCCCGTTTCCAACGAAGGCCTCAAAGAGGTCCAAATATCCACTTGCAGATTCTGCAAAAAGAGTGTTTCAAAACCGCTCCCATTAAAAGGAATGTTGAACTCTGTGAGTTGAATGCAAACATCACAACTCAGTTGCTGAGAATGCTTCTGACTAGATTTTATGGTAAGATATTTCCTTTTCTACCGTAGGCTTCAATGCCCTCTAAATACACCCTTGCAAATTCTACAAAGAGACTGTTTCATAACTGCTCTATAGGAAGAAAGGTTCAACTCTGTGAGTTGAATGCAGAGATCACAACGTGGTTTCTGCGAATGATTCTTTGTAGTTTTTACATGAAGATATTTCGTTGTCAACCGTAGGCTTCAAAGCACTCAAAGTATTCACTTGGAACTTTTACAAAAAGAGTGTTAGAAAACCGCTCTTTCCAAAGTAAGGTTCAACTCTGTGAGTTGAATGCACCCATAACAATCAAGAAGTTTCTGAGAATTCTTCTGTCCTGGTTTATATGAAGAAATCCCGTTTCCAACGAAGGCCTCAAAGACGTTTAAATATCCACTTGCAGACTTCACAAACAGAGGGTTTCCAAACTGCTCTATGAAAAGAAAGGTTAAACTCTGTGAGTTGAACGCACACATCACAAAGTAGCTTCTGAGAATGATACTGTCTAGTTTTTATACGAAGATATTTCCTTTCTACCATTGGCGTCAAAGCGCTAGAATTCTCCACTTGCAAATTCCACAAAAAGAGTGTTTCCAATCTGCTCTGTCTAAAGGAAGGTTCAACTCTGTGAGTTGAATACACACACACAAAGAAGCTACTGAGAATTCTTTTGTCAAGAATTATAAGAAGAAATCCCGTTTCCAACGAAGGCCTCAAAGAGTTCCAAATATCCACTTGCACACTGCACAAACTAAGTCTTTCCAAACTGCTCTATGCAAAGAAATGTTCAACTCTGTGAGTTTAATACACACATCACAAAGCAGTTTCTGAGAATGATTACTGTCTAGTTTTTATACGAAGATATTTCCTTTTGTACCATTGGCCTCATACTGCTAGAATTTTCCACTTGCAAATTCCACAAAAAGAGTGTTTCCAATCCGCTCTGTCTAAAGGAAGGTTCAACTCTCTGATTTGAATACATACATCCCAAAAGAAGTTACTGAGAATTCTTCTGTCTAGCATTATGTGAAGAAATCCCGTTTCCAACGAAAGCCTCAAAGAGGCCCAAATATCCAGTTGCAGAATTTACAAACTGACTGTTTCCAAACTCATCTATGAAAAGAAAGGTTAAACTCTGTGAGTTGAATGCGCATATCACAAAGTAGTTCCTGAGAATGATTCTGTCTAGTTTTTATACGAAGATATTTCCTTTTCCACCAATGGCCTCAGAGTGCTTGAAATCTCCCCTTGCAAATTCCACAGACAAGTGTTTCAAATCTGCACTGTCTAAAGGAAGGTTCAACCCTGTGAGTTGAATACACACACAGAGAAAAAAATTCACTGAGAATTCTATTGTCTATCATTACACGAAGAAATCCCGTTTACTACGAAGGCCTCAAAGAGGTCCAAATATCCAGCTGCAGACATTACAAACTGAGTGTTTCCAAAGTGCTCTATGAAAAGAAGTGTTAAACACTGTGAGTTCAATGCACACATCCCAAAGCAGTTTCTGAGAATGATTCCGTCTATTTTTTCTACGAAGATATTTCCTTTTCTGCCGTTGGCCTCAAAGCGCTTGAAATCTCCACTTGCAAATTCCACAAAAAGAGAGTTTCAAATCTGCTCTGTCTAAAGGAAGGTTCAACTCTGTGAGTTGAATACACACCACAAAAAGAAGTTACTGAGAATTCTTCTGTCTAGCATTATATGAAAAATCCCGTTTCCAACGAAGGCCACAAAGAGGTCCAAATATCCACTTGCAGATTCTGCAAAAAGAGTGTTTCCAAACTGCTCTATGAAAAGAAACGTTAAACTCTGTGAGTTGAACGCAAACATCACAAAGTAGTTTCTGAGAATGACTCCGTCTAGTTTTTATACGAAGATATTTCCTTTCCTACCATTCACTTCAAAGCGCTTGAAGTCTCCCCCTGAAAATTCCACAAAAAGTGTTTCCAATCTGCTCCGCCTAAAGGAAGCTTCAACTCTGTGACTTGAATACCCACAACCCAAAGAAGTTACTGAGAATTCTTCTGTCTAGCATTATATGAAGAAATCCCGTTTCCAACGAAGGCCTCAAATACATCCAAATATCCAGTTGCTGACTTTACAAACTGAGTGTTTCCAAACTGCTCTATGAAAAGAAAGGTTAAACACTGTGAGTTGAACACACACGTACCAAAGTAGTTTCTGAGAATGATTCTGTCTAGTTTGCATACGAAGATATTTCCTTTTCTACCATTGGCCTCAAAGCTCTAAAATCTCCACTTGCAAATTCCACAAAAAGAGAGTTTCAACTCTGCTGTTTCTAAAGGAAAGTTCAACTCTGAGAGTTGAATACACACCAGAAAAAGCAGTTACTGAGAAGTCTTCTGTCTAGCATTATATGAAGAAATCCCATTTCCAACGAAGACTTCAAAGAGGTCCAAATATCCACTTACAGATTCTGCAAAAAGAGTGTTTCGAAACAACTGTATGAAAAGAAAGGTTAAACACTGTGAGTTGAACGCACACATTGCAAAGCAGTTTCTGAGAATGATTCCGTCTAATTATTATACGAAGGTATTTCCTTTTCTATCATTGGCCTCAAAGCGCTTGATACCTCCACCTGAAAATTCCACAAAAACAGTGTTTCCAATCTACTCTGTCTAAAGGAACGTTCAACTCTGTGAGTTGAATACACACACACAGAAAGAATTCACTGAGAATTCTTCTGTCTGGCATTACATGAAGAAATCCCGTTTCCAACGAAGGCCTCAAAGAGGTCCAAATATCCACTTGCAGATTCTGCAAAAAGAGTGTTTCAAAACCGCTCCATTAAAAGGAATGTTGAACTCTGTGAGTTGAATGCAAACATCACAACTCAGTTTCTGAGAATGCTTCTGACTAGATTTTATGGTAAGATATTTCCTTTTCTACCGTAGGCTTCAATGCCCTCTAAATACACCCTTGCAAATTCTACAAAGAGACTGTTTCATAACTGCTCTATAGGAAGAAAGGTTCAACTCTGTGAGTTGAATGCAGAGATCACAACGTGGTTTCTGCGAATGATTCTTTGTAGTTTTTACATGAAGATATTTCGTTGTCAACCGTAGGCTTCAAAGCACTCAAAGTATTCACTTGGAACTTTTACAAAAAGAGTGTTAGAAAACTGCTCTTTCCAAAGTAAGGTTCAACTCTGTGAGTTGAATGCACACATAACAATCAAGAAGTTTCTGAGAATTCTTCTGTCCTGGTTCATATGAAGAAATCCCGTTTCCAACGAAGGCCTCAAAGACGTTTAAATATCCACTTGCAGACTTCACAAACAGAGGGTTTCCAAACTGCTCTATGAAAAGAAAGGTTAAACTCTGTGAGTTGAACGCACACATCACAAAGTAGCTTCTGAGAATGATACTGTCTAGTTTTTATACGAAGATATTTCCTTTCTACCATTGGCGTCAAAGCGCTAGAATTCTCCACTTGCAAATTCCACAAAAAGAGTGTTTCCAATCTGCTCTGTCTAAAGGAAGGTTCAACTCTGTGAGTTGAATACACACACACAAAGAAGCTACTGAGAATTCTTTTGTCAAGAATTATAAGAAGAAATCCCGTTTCCAACGAAGGCCTCAAAGAGTTCCAAATATCCACTTGCACACTGCACAAACTAAGTCTTTCCAAACTGCTTTAAGCAAAGAAATGTTCAACTCTGTGAGTTTAATACACACATCACAAAGCAGTTTCTGAGAATGATACTGTCTAGTTTTTATACGAAGATATTTCCTTTTGTACCATTGGCCTCATACTGCTAGAATTTTCCACTTGCAAATTCCACAAAAAGAGTGTTTCCAATCCGCTCTGTCTAAAGGAAGGTTCAACTCTCTGATTTGAATACATACATCCCAAAAGAAGTTACTGAGAATTCTTCTGTCTAGCATTATGTGAAGAAATCCCGTTTCCAACGAAAGCCTCAAAGAGGTCCAAATATCCAGTTGCAGAATTTACAAACTGACTGTTTCCAAACTCATCTATGAAAAGAAAGGTTAAACTCTGTGAGTTGAATGCACATATCACAAAGTAGTTCCTGAGAATGATTCTGTCTACTTTTTATACGAAGATATTTCCTTTTCCACCAATGGCCTCAAAGTGCTTGAAATCTCCCCTTGCAAATTCCACAGACAAGTGTTTCAAATCTGCACTGTCTAAAGGAAGGTTCAACCCTGTGAGTTGAATACACACACACACAGAAACAAATTCACTGAGAATTCTATTGTCTATCATTACACGAAGAAATCCCGTTTACTACGAAGGCCTCAAAGAGGTCCAAATATCCAGCTGCAGACATTACAAACTGAGTGTTTCCAAAGTGCTCTATGAAAAGAAGTGTTAAACACTGTGAGTTCAATGCACACATCCCAAAGCAGTTTCTGAGAATGATTCCGTCTATTTTTTCTACGAAGATATTTCCTTTTCTACCGTTGGCCTCAAAGCGCTTTAAATCTCCACTTGCAAATTCCACAAAAAGAGAGTTTGAAATCTGCTCTGTCTAAAGGAAGGTTCAACTCTGTGAGTTGAATACACACCACAAAAAGAAGTTACTGAGAATTCTTCTGTCTAGCATTATATGAAAAATCCCGTTTCCAACGAAGGCCACAAAGGAGGTCCAAATATCCACTTGCAGATTCTGCAAAAAGAGTGTTTCCAAACTGCTCTATGAAAAGAAACGTTAAACTCTGTGAGTTGAACGCAAACATCACAAAGTAGTTTCTGAGAATGACTCCGTCTAGTTTTTATACGAAGATATTTCCTTTTCTACCATTCACTTCAAAGCGCTTGAAGTCTCCCCCTGAAAATTCCACAAAAAGTGTTTCCAATCTGCTCCGCCTAAAGGAAGCTTCAACTCTGTGAGTTGAATACCCACAACCCAAAGAAGTTACTGAGAATTCTTCTGTCTAGCACTATATGAAGAAATCCCGTTTCCAACGAAGGCCTCAAATACATCCAAATATCCAGTTGCTGACTTTACAAACTGAGTGTTTCCAAACTGCTCTATGAAAAGAAAGGTTAAACACTGTGAGTTGAACACACACGTACCAAAGTAGTTTCTGAGAATGATTCTGTCTAGTTTGCATACGAAGATATTTCCTTTTCTACCATTGGCCTCAAAGCTTTGAAATCTCCACTTGCAAATTCCACAAAAAGAGAGTTTCAACTCTGCTGTTTCTAAAGGAAAGTTCAACTCTGAGAGTTGAATACACACCAGAAAAAGCAGTTACTGAGAAGTCTTCTGTCTAGCATTATATGAAGAAATCCCATTTCCAACGAAGACTTCAAAGAGGTCCAAATATCCACTTGCAGATTCTGCAAAAAGAGTGTTTCGAAACAACTGTATGAAAAGAAAGGTTAAACACTGTGAGTTGAACGCACACATTGCAGAGCAGTTTCTGAGAATGATTCCGTCTAATTATTATACGAAGGTATTTCCTTTTCTATCATTGGCCTCAAAGCGCTTGATACCTCCACCTGAAAATTCCACAAAAAGAGTGTTTCCAATCTACTCTGTCTAAAGGAACGTTCAACTCCGTGAGTTGAATACACACACACAGAAAGAATTCACTGAGAATTCTTCTGTCTGGCATTACATGAAGAAATCCCGTTTCCAACGAAGGCCTCAAAGAGGTCCAAATATCCACTTGCAGATTCTGCAAAAAGAGTGTTTCAAAACCGCTCCATTAAAAGGAATGTTGAACTCTGTGAGTTGAATGCAAACATCACAACTCAGTTTCTGAGAATGCTTCTGACTAGATTTTATGGTAAGATATTTCCTTTTCTACCGTAGGCTTCAATGCCCTCTAAATACACCCTTGCAAATTCTACAAAGAGACTGTTTCATAACTGCTCTATAGGAAGAAAGGTTCAACTCTGTGAGTTGAATGCAGAGATCACGACGTGGTTTCTGCGAATGATTCTTTGTAGTTTTTACATGAAGATATTTCGTTGTCAACCGTAGGCTTCAAAGCACTCAAAGTATTCACTTGGAACTTTTACAAAAAGAGTGTTAGAAAACTGCTCTTTCCAAAGTAAGGTTCAACTCTGTGAGTTGAATGCACACATAACAATCAAGAAGTTTCTGAGAATTCTTCTGTCCTGGTTTATATGAAAAAATCCCGTTTCCAACGAAGGCCTCAAAGACGTTTAAATATCCACTTGCAGACTTCACAAACAGAGGGTTTCCAAACTGCTCTATGAAAAGAAAGGTTAAACTCTGTGAGTTGAACGCACACATCACAAAGTAGCTTCTGAGAATGATACTGTCTAGTTTTTATACGAAGATATTTCCTTTCTACCATTGGCGTCAAAGCGCTAGAATTCTCCACTTGCAAATTCCACAAAAAGAGTGTTTCCAATCTGCTCTGTCTAAAGGAAGGTTCAACTCTGTGAGTTGAATACACACACACAAAGAAGCTACTGAGAATTCTTTTGTCAAGAATTATAAGAAGAAATCCCGTTTCCAACGAAGGCCTCAAAGAGTTCCAAATATCCACTTGCACACTGCACAAACTAAGTCTTTCCAAACTGCTCTATGCAAAGAAATGTTCAACTCTGTGAGTTTAATACACACATCACAAAGCAGTTTCTGAGAATGATTACTGTCTAGTTTTTATACGAAAGATATTTCCTTTTGTACCATTGGCCTCATACTGCTAGAATTTTCCACTTGCAAATTCCACAAAAAGAGTGTTTCCAATCCGCTCTGTCTAAAGGAAGGTTCAACTCTCTGATTTGAATACATACATCCCAAAAGAAGTTCCTGAGAATTCTTCTGTCTAGCATTATGTGAAGAAATCCCGTTTCCAACGAAAGCCTCAAAGAGGTCCAAATATCCAGTTGCAGAATTTACAAACTGACTGTTTCCAAACTCATCTATGAAAAGAAAGGTTAAACTCTGTGAGTTGAATGCACATATCACAAAGTAGTTCCTGAGAATGATTCTGTCTAGTTTTCATACGAAGATATTTCCTTTTCCACCAATGGCCTCAAAGTGCTTGAAATCTCCCCTTGCAAATTCCACAGACAAGTGTTTCAAATCTGCACTGTCTAAAGGAAGGTTCAACCCTGTGAGTTGAATACACACACACAGAAAAAAATTCACTGAGAATTCTATTGTCTATCATTACACGAAGAAATCCCGTTTACTACGAAGGCCTCAAAGAGGTCCAAATATCCAGCTGCAGACATTACAAACTGAGTGTTTCCAAAGTGCTCTATGAAAAGAAGTGTTAAACACTGTGAGTTCAATGCACACATCCCAAAGCAGTTTCTGAGAATGATTCCGTCTATTTTTTCTACGAAGATATTTCCTTTTCTGCCGTTGGCCTCAAAGCGCTTGAAATCTCCACTTGCAAATTCCACAAAAAGAGAGTTTCAAATCTGCTCTGTCTAAAGGAAGGTTCAACTCTGTGAGTTGAATACACACCACAAAAAGAAGTTACTGAGAATTCTTCTGTCTAGCATTATATGAAAAATCCCGTTTCCAACGAAGGCCACAAAGAGGTCCAAATATCCACTTGCAGATTCTGCAAAAAGAGTGTTTCCAAACTGCTCTATGAAAAGAAACGTTAAACTCTGTGAGTTGAACACAAACATCACAAAGTAGTTTCTGAGAATGACTCCGTCTAGTTTTTATACGAAGCATATTTCCTTTCCTACCATTCACTTCAAAGCGCTTGAAGTCTCCCCCTGAAAATTCCACAAAAAGTGTTTCCAATCTGCTCCGCCTAAAGGAAGCTTCAACTCTGTGACTTGAATACCCACAACCCAAAGAAGTTACTGAGAATTCTTCTGTCTAGCATTATATGAAGAAATCCCGTTTCCAACGAAGGCCTCAAATACATCCAAATATCCAGTTGCTGACTTTACAAACTGAGTGTTTCCAAACTGCTCTATGAAAAGAAAGGTTAAACACTGTGAGTTGAACACACACGTACCAAAGTAGTTTCTGAGAATGATTCTGTCTAGTTTGCATACGAAGATATTTCCTTTTCTACCATTGGCCTCAAAGCTCTGAAATCTCCACTTGCAAATTCCACAAAAAGAGAGTTTCAAATCTGCTGTTTCTAAAGGAAAGTTCAACTCTGAGAGTTGAATACACACCAGAAAAAGCAGTTACTGAGAAGTCTTCTGTCTAGCATTATATGAAGAAATCCCATTTCCAACGAAGACTTCAAAGAGGTCCAAATATCCACTTGCAGATTCTGCAAAAAGAGTGTTTCGAAACAACTGTATGAAAAGAAAGGTTAAACACTGTGAGTTGAACGCACACATTGCAAAGCGGTTTCTGAGAATGATTCCGTCTAATTATTATACGAAGGTATTTCCTTTTCTATCATTGGCCTCAAAGCGCTTGATACTTCCACCTGAAAATTCCACAAAAAGAGTGTTTCCAATCTACTCTGTCTAAAGGAACGTTCAACTCTGTGAGTTGAATACACACACACAGAAAGAATTCACTGAGAATTCTTCTGTCTGGCATTACATGAAGAAATCCCGTTTCCAACGAAGGCCTCAAAGAGGTCCAAATATCCACTTGCAGATTCTGCAAAAAGAGTGTTTCAAAACCGCTCCATTAAAAGGAATGTTGAACTCTGTGAGTTGAATGGAAACATCACAACTCAGTTGCTGAGAATGCTTCTGACTAGATTTTATGGTAAGATATTTCCTTTTCTACCGTAGGCTTCAATGCCCTCTAAATACACCCTTGCAAATTCTACAAAGAGACTGTTTCATAACTGCTCTATAGGAAGAAAGGTTGAACTCTGTGAGTTGAATGCAGGGATCACAACGTGGTTTCTGCGAATGATTCTTTGTAGTTTTTACATGAAGATATTTCGTTGTCAACCGTAGGCTTCAAAGCACTCAAAGTATTCACTTGGAACTTTTACAAAAAGAGTGTTAGAAAACTGCTCTTTCCAAAGTAAGGTTCAACTCTGTGAGTTGAATGCACACATAACAATCAAGAAGTTTCTGAGAATTCTTCTGTCCTGGTTTATATGAAAAAATCCCGTTTCCAACGAAGGCCTCAAAGACGTTTAAATATCCACTTGCAGACTTCACAAACAGAGGGTTTCCAAACTGCTCTATGAAAAGAAAGGTTAAACTCTGTGAGTTGAACGCACACATCACAAAGTAGCTTCTGAGAATGATACTGTCTAGTTTTTATACGAAGATATTTCCTTTCTACCATTGGCGTCAAAGCGCTAGAATTCTCCACTTGCAAATTCCACAAAAAGAGTGTTTCCAATCTGCTCTGTGTAAAGGAAGGTTCAACTCTGTGAGTTGAATACACACACACAAAGAAGCTACTGAGAATTCTTTTTTCAAGAAATTATAAGAAGAAATCCCGTTTCCAACGAAGGCCTCAAAGAGTTCCAAATATCCACTTGCACACTGCACAAACTAAGTCTTTCCAAACTGCTCTATGCAAAGAAATGTTCAACTCTGTGAGTTTAATACACACATCACAAAGCAGTTTCTGAGAATGATACTGTCTAGTTTTTATACGAAGATATTTCCTTTTGTACCATTGGCCTCATACTGCTAGAATTTTCCACTTGCAAATTCCACAAAAAGAGTGTTTCCAATCCGCTCTGTCTAAAGGAAGGTTCAACTCTCTGATTTGAATACATACATCCCAAAAGAAGTTACTGAGAATTCTTCTGTCTAGCATTATGTGAAGAAATCCCGTTTCCAACGAAAGCCTCAAAGAGGTCCAAATATCCAGTTGCAGAATTTACAAACTGACTGTTTCCAAACTCATCTATGAAAAGAAAGGTTAAACTCTGGGAGTTGAATGCACATATCACAAAGTAGTTCCTGAGAATGATTCTGTCTAGTTTTTATACGAAGATATTTCCTTTTCCACCAATGGCCTCAAAGTGCTTGAAATCTCCCCTTGCAAATTCCACAGACAAGTGTTTCAAATCTGCACTGTCTAAAGGAAGGTTCAACCCTGTGAGTTGAATACACACACACAGAAAAAAATTCACTGAGAATTCTATTGTCTATCATTACACGAAGAAATCCCGTTTACCACGAAGGCCTCAAAGAGGTCCAAATATCCAGCTGCAGACATTACAAACTGAGTGTTTCCAAAGTGCTCTATGAAAAGAAGTGTTAAACACTGTGAGTTCAATGCACACATCCCAAAGCAGTTTCTGAGAATGATTCCGTCTATTTTTTCTACGAAGATATTTCCTTTTCTGCCGTTGGCCTCAAAGCGCTTGAAATCTCCACTTGCAAATTCCACAAAAAGAGAGTTTCAAATCTGCTCTGTCTAAAGGAAGGTTCAACTCTGTGAGTTGAATACACACCACAAAAAGAAGTTACTGAGAATTCTTCTGTCTAGCATTATATGAAAAATCCCGTTTCCAACGAAGGCCACAAAGAGGTCCAAATATCCACTTGCAGATTCTGCAAAAAGAGTGTTTCCAAACTGCTCTATGAAAAGAAACGTTAAACTCTGTGAGTTGAACGCAAACATCACAAAGTAGTTTCTGAGAATGACTCCGTCTAGTTTTTATACGAAGATATTTCCTTTCCTACCATTCACTTCAAAGCGCTTGAAGTCTCCCCCTGAAAATTCCACAAAAAGTGTTTCCAATCTGCTCCGCCTAAAGGAAGCTTCAACTCTGTGACTTGAATACCCACAACCCAAAGAAGTTACTGAGAATTCTTCTGTCTAGCATTATATGAAGAAATCCCGTTTCCAACGAAGGCCTCAAATACATCCAAATATCCAGTTGCTGACTTTACAAACTGAGTGTTTCCAAACTGCTCTATGAAAAGAAAGGTTAAACACTGTGAGTTGAACACACACGTACCAAAGTAGTTTCTGAGAATGATTCTGTCTAGTTTGCATACGAAGATATTTCCTTTTCTACCATTGGCCTCAAAGCTCTGAAATCTCCACTTGCAAATTCCACAAAAAGAGAGTTTCAAATCTGCTGTTTCTAAAGGAAAGTTCAACTCTGAGAGTTGAATACACACCAGAAAAAGCAGTTACTGAGAAGTCTTCTGTCTAGCATTATATGAAGAAATCCCATTTCCAACGAAGACTTCAAAGAGGTCCAAATATCCACTTGCAGATTCTGCAAAAAGAGTGTTTCGAAACAACTGTATGAAAAGAAAGGTTAAACACTGTGAGTTGAACGCACACATTGCAAAGCAGTTTCTGAGAATGATTCCGTCTAATTATTATACGAAGGTATTTCCTTTTCTATCATTGGCCTCAAAGCGCTTGATGCCTCCACCTGAAAATTCCACAAAAAGAGTGTTTCCAATCTACTCTGTCTAAAGGAACGTTCAACTCCGTGAGTTGAATACACACACACAGAAAGAATTCACTGAGAATTCTTCTGTCTGGCATTACATGAAGAAATCCCGTTTCCAACGAAGGCCTCAAAGAGGTCCAAATATCCACTTGCAGATTCTGCAAAAAGAGTGTTTCAAAACCGCTCCATTAAAAGGAATGTTGAACTCTGTGAGTTGAATGCAAACATCACAACTCAGTTTCTGAGAATGCTTCTGACTAGATTTTATGGTAAGATATTTCCTTTTCTACCGTAGGCTTCAATGCCCTGTAAATACACCCTTGCAAATTCTACAAAGAGACTGTTTCATAACTGCTCTATAGGAGGAAAGGTTCAACTCTGTGAGTTGAATGCAGAGATCACAACGTGGTTTCTGTGAATGATTCTTTGTAGTTTTTACATGAAGATATTTCGTTGTCTACCGTAGGCTTCAAAGCACTCAAAGTATTCACTTGGAACTTTTACAAAAAGAGTGTTAGAAAACTGCTCTTTCCAAAGTAAGGTTCAACTCTGTGAGTTGAATGCACACATAACAAACAAGAAGTTTCTGAGAATTCTTCTGTCCTGGTTTATATGAAAAAATCCCGTTTCCAACGAAGGCCTCAAAGACGTTTAAATATCCACTTGCAGACTTCACAAACAGAGTGTTTCCAAACTGCTCTATGAAAAAGAAAGGTTAAACTCTGTGAGTTGAACGCACACATCACAAAGTAGCTTCTGAGAATGATACTGTCTAGTTTTTATACGAAGATATTTCCTTTCTACCATTGGCGTCAAAGCGCTAGAATTCTCCACTTGCAAATTCCACAAAAAGAGTGTTTCCAATCTGCTCTGTCTAAAGGAAGGTTCAACTCTGTGAGTTGAATACACACACACAAAGAAGCTACTGAGAATTCTTTTGTCAAGAATTATAAGAAGAAATCCCGTTTCCAACGAAGGCCTCAAAGAGTTCCAAATATCCACTTGCACACTGCACAAACTAAGTCTTTCCAAACTGCTCTATGCAAAGAAATGTTCAACTCTGTGAGTTTAATACACACATCACAAAGCAGTTTCTGAGAATGATACTGTCTAGTTTTTATACGAAGATATTTCCTTTTGTACCATTGGCCTCATACTGTTAGAATTTTCCACTTGCAAATTCCACAAAAAGAGTGTTTCCAATCCGCTCTGTCTAAAGGAAGGTTCAACTCTCTGATTTGAATACATACATCCCAAAAGAAGTTACTGAGAATTCTTCTGTCTAGCATTATGTGAAGAAATCCCGTTTCCAACGAAAGCCTCAAAGCAGGTCCAAATATCCAGTTGCAGAATTTACAAACTGACTGTTTCCAAACTCATCTATGAAAAGAAAGGTTAAACTCTGGGAGTTGAATGCCCATATCACAAAGTAGTTCCTGAGAATGATTCTGTATAGTTTTCATACGAAGATATTTCCTTTTCCACCAATGGCCTCAAAGTGCTTGAAATCTCCCCTTGCAAATTCCACAGACAAGTGTTTCAAATCTGCACTGTCTAAAGGATGGTTCAACCCTGTGAGTTGAATACACACACACAGAAAAAAATTCACTGAGAATTCTATTGTCTATCATTACACGAAGAAATCCCGTTTACTACGAAGGCCTCAAAGAGGTCCAAATATCCAGCTGCAGACATTATAAACTGAGTGTTTCCAAAGTGCTCTATGAAAAGAAGTGTTAAACACTGTGAGTTCAATGCACACATCCCAAAGCAGTTTCTGAGAATGATTCCGTCTATTTTTTCTACGAAGATATTTCCTTTTCTGCCGTTGGCCTCAAAGCGCTTGAAATCTCCACTTGCAAATTCCACAAAAAGAGAGTTTCAAATCTGCTCTGTCTAAAGGAAGGTTCAACTCTGTGAGTTGAATACACACCACAAAAAGAAGTTACTGAGAATTCTTCTGTCTAGCATTATATGAAAAATCCCGTTTCCAACGAAGGCCACAAAGAGGTCCAAATATCCACTTGCAGATTCTGCAAAAAGAGTGTTTCCAAACTGCTCTATGAAAAGAAACGTTAAACTCTGTGAGTTGAACGCAAACATCACAAAGTAGTTTCTGAGAATGACTCCGTCTAGTTTTTATACGAAGATATTTCCTTTCCTACCATTCACTTCAAAGCGCTTGAAGTCTCCCCCTGAAAATTCCACAAAAAGTGTTTCCAATCTGCTCCGCCTAAAGGAAGCTTCAACTCTGTGAGTTGAATACCCACAACCCAAAGAAGTTACTGAGAATTCTTCTGTCTAGCATTATATGAAGAAATCCCGTTTCCAACGAAGGCCTCAAATACATCCAAATATCCAGTTGCTGACTTTACAAACTGAGTGTTTCCAAACTGCTCTATGAAAAGAAAGGTTACACACTGTGAGTTGAACACACACGTACCAAAGTAGTTTCTGAGAATGATTCTGTCTAGTTTGCATACGAAGATATTTCCTTTTCTACCATTGGCCTCAAAGCTCTGAAATCTCCACTTGCAAATTCCACAAAAAGAGAGTTTCAAATCTGCTGTTTCTAAAGGAAAGTTCAACTCTGAGAGTTGAATACACACCAGAAAAAGCAGTTACTGAGAAGTCTTCTGTCTAGCATTATATGAAGAAATCCCATTTCCAACGAAGACTTCAAACAGGTCCAAATATCCACTTGCAGATTCTGCAAAAAGAGTGTTTCGAAACAACTGTATGAAAAGAAAGGTTAAACACTGTGAGTTGAACGCACACATTGCAAAGCAGTTTCTGAGAATGATTCCGTCTAATTATTATACGAAGGTATTTCCTTTTCTATCATTGGCCTCAAAGCGCTTGATACCTCCACCTGAAAATTCCACAAAAAGAGTGTTTCCAATCTACTCTGTCTAAAGGAACGTTCAACTCTGTGAGTTGAATACACACACACAGAAAGAATTCACTGAGAATTCTTCTGTCTGGCATTACATGAAGAAATCCCGTTTCCAACGAAGGCCTCAAAGAGGTCCAAATATCCACTTGCAGATTCTGCAAAAAGAGTGTTTCAAAACCGCTCCATTAAAAGGAATGTTGAACTCTGTGAGTTGAATGCAAACATCACAACTCAGTTGCTGAGAATGCTTCTGACTAGATTTTATGGTAAGATATTTCCTTTTCTACCGTAGGCTTCAATGCCCTCTAAATACACCCTTGCAAATTCTACAAAGAGACTGTTTCATAACTGCTCTATAGGAAGAAAGGTTCAACTCTGTGAGTTGAATGCAGAGATCACAACGTGGTTTCTGCGAATGATTCTTTGTAGTTTTTACAGGAAGATATTTCGTTGTCAACCGTAGGCTTCAAAGCACTCAAAGTATTCACTTGGAACTTTTACAAAAAGAGTGTTAGAAAACTGCTCTTTCCAAAGTAAGGTTCAACTCTGTGAGTTGAATGCACACATAACAATCAAGAAGTTTCTGAGAATTCTTCTGTCCTGGTTTATATGAAAAAATCCCGTTTCCAACGAAGGCCTCAGAGACGTTTAAATATCCACTTGCAGACTTCACAAACAGAGTGTTTCCAAACTGCTCTATGAAAAGAAAGGTTAAACTCTTTGAGTTGAACGCACACATCACAAAGTTGTTTCTGAGAAAGATACTGTCTAGTTTTTATACGAAGATATTTCCTTTCTACCATTGGCGTCAAAGCGTTAGAATTCTCCACTTGCAAATTCCACAAAAAGAGTGTTTCCAATCTGCTCTGTCTAAAGGAAGGTTCAACTCTGTGAGTTGAATACACACACACAAAGAAGCTACTGAGAATTCTTTTGTCAAGAATTATAAGAAGAAATCCCGTTTCCAACGAAGGCCTCAAAGAGTTCCAAATATCCACTTGCACACTGCAAAAACTAAGTCTTTCCAAACTGCTCTATGCAAAGAAATGTTCAACTCTGTGAGTTTAATTCACACATCACAAAGCAGTTTCTGAGAATGATACTGTCTAGTTTTTATACGAAGATATTTCCTTTTGTACCATTGGCCTCATACTGCTAGAATTTTCCACTTGCAAATTCCACAAAAAGAGTGTTTCCAATCCGCTCTGTCTAAAGGAAGGTTCAACTCTCTGATTTGAATACATACATCCCAAAAGAAGTTACTGAGAATTACTTCTGTCTAGCATTATGTGAAGAAATCCCGTTTCCAACGAAAGCCTCAAAGAGGTCCAAATATCCAGTTGCAGAATTTACAAACTGACTGTTTCCAAACTCATCTATGAAAAGAAAGGTTAAACTCTGTGAGTTGAATGCACATATCACAAAGTAGTTCCGGAGAATGATTCTGTCTAGTTTTTATACGAAGATATTTCCTTTTCCACCAATGGCCTCAAAGTGCTTGAAATCTCCCCTTGCAAATTCCACAGACAAGTGTTTCAAATCTGCACTGTCTAAAGGAAGGTTCAACCCTGTGAGTTGAATACACACACACAGAAAAAAATTCACTGAGAATTCTATTGTCTATCATTACACGAAGAAATCCCGTTTACTACGAAGGCCTCAAAGAGGTCCAAATATCCAGCTGCAGACATTACAAACTGAGTGTTTCCAAAGTGCTCTATGAAAAGAAGTGTTAAACACTGTGAGTTCAATGCACACATCCCAAAGCAGTTTCTGAGAATGATTCCGTCTATTTTTTCTACGAAGATATTTCCTTTTCTACCGTTGGCCTCAAAGCGCTTGAAATCTCCACTTGCAAATTCCACAAAAAGAGAGTTTCAAATCTGCTCTGTCTAAAGGAAGGTTAAACTCTGTGAGTTGAATACACACCACAAAAAGAAGTTACTGAGAATTCTTCTGTCTAGCATTATATGAAGAAATCCCGTTTCCAACGAAGGCCTCAAAAACATCCAAATATCCAGTTGCTGACTTTACAAACTGAGTGTTTCCAAACTGCTCTATGAAAAGAAAGGTTAAACACTGTGAGTTGAACACACACGTACCAAAGTAGTTTCTGAGAATGATTCTGTCTAGTTTGCATACGAAGATATTTCCTTTTCTACCATTGGCCTCAAAGCTTTGAAATCTCCACTTGCAAATTCCACAAAAAGAGAGTTTCAACTCTGCTGTTTCTAAAGGAAAGTTCAACTCTGAGAGTTGAATACACACCAGAAAAAGCAGTTACTGAGAAGTCTTCTGTCTAGCATTATATGAAGAAATCCCATTTCCAACCGAAGACTTCAAAGAGGTCCAAATATCCACTTGCAGATTCTGCAAAAAGAGTGTTTCGAAACAACTCTATGAAAAGAAAGGTTAAACACTGTGAGTTGAACGCACACATTGCAAAGCGGTTTCTGAGAATGATTCCGTCTAATTATTATACGAAGGTATTTCCTTTTCTATCATGGGCCTCAAAGCGCTTGATACCTCCACCTGAAAATTCCACAAAAAGAGTGTTTCCAATCTACTCTGTCTAAAGGAACGTTCAACTCTGTGAGTTGAATACACACACACAGAAAGAATTCACTGAGAATTCTTCTGTCTGGCATTACATGAAGAAATCCCGTTTCCAACGAAGGCCTCAAAGAGGTCCAAATATCCACTTGCAGATTCTGCAAAAAGAGTGTTTCAAAACCGCTCTATTAAAAGGAATGTTGAACTCTGTGAGTTGAATGCAAACATCACAACTCAGTTTCTGAGAATGCTTCTGACTAGATTTTATGGTCAGATATTTCCTTTTCTACCGTAGGCCTCAATGCCCTCTAAATACACCCTTGCAAATTCTACAAACAGACTGTTTATAACTGCTCTGTAGGAAGAAAGGTTGAACTCTGTGAGTTGAATGCAGAGATCACAACGTGGTTTCTGCGAATGATTCTTTGTAGTTTTTACATGAAGATATTTCGTTGTCTACCGTAGGCTTCAAAGCACTCAAAGTATTCACTTGGAACTTTTACAAAAAGAGTGTTAGAAAACTGCTCTTTCCAAAGTAAGGTTCAACTCTGTGAGTTGAATGCACACATAACAAACAAGAAGTTTCTGAGAATTCTTCTGTCCTGGTTTATAGGAAAAAATCCCGTTTCCAACGAAGGCCTCAAAGACGTTTAAATATCCACTTGCAGACTTCACAAACAGAGTGTTTCCAAACTGCTCTATGAAAAGAAAGGTTAAACTCTGTGAGTTGAACGCACACATCACAAAGTAGTTTCCGAGAATGATACTGTCCAGTTTTTATACGAAGATATTTCCTTTCCTACCATTGGCGTCAAAGCGCTAGAATTCTCCACTTGCAAATTCCACAAAAAGAGGGTTTCCAATCTGCTCTGCCTAAAGGCAGGTTCAACTCTGTGAGTTGAATACACACACACAAAGAAGCTACTGAGAATTCTTTTGTCAAGAATTATAAGAAGAAATCCCGTTTCCAGCGAAGGCCTCAAAGAGTTCCAAATATCCACTTGCACACTGTGCAAACTAAGTCTTTCCCAACTGCTCTATGCAAAGAAATGTTCAACTCTGTGAGTTTAATGCACACATCACAAAGCAGTTTCTGAGAATGATTCCCTCTAGTTTTTATACGAAGATAGCCTTTTCTACCATTGGCCTCAAGGCTCTTGGAATCTCCACCTGAAAATTCCGCAAAAAGCGTGTTTCCAATGCGCTCTGTCTAAAGGAAGGTTCAACTCTCTGAGTTGAATACATACATCCCAAAAGAAGTTACTGCGAATTCTTGTGTCTAGCATTATGTGAAGAAATCCCGTTTCCAACGAAAGCCTCAAAGAGGTCCTAATATCCAGTTGCAGAATTTACAAACTGACTGTTTCCAAACTCATCTATGAAAAGAAAGGTTAAACCCTGTGAGTTGAACGCACATATCACAAAGTAGTTCCTGAGAATGATTCTGTCTAGTTTTTATACGAAGATATTTCCTTTTCCACCAATGGCCTCAAAGTGCTTGAAATCTCCCCTTGCAAATTCCACAGAAAAGTGTTTCAAATCTGCACTGTCTGAAGGAAGGTTCAACCCTGTGAGTTGAATACACACACACAGAAAAAAATTCACTGAGAATTCTATTGTCTATCATTACACGAAGAAATCCCGTTTACTACGAAGGCCTCAAAGAGGTCCAAATATCCAGCTGCAGACATTACAAACTGAGTGTTTCCAAAGTGCTCTATGAAAAGAAGTGTTAAACACTGTGAGTTCAATGCACACATCCCAAAGCAGTTTCTGAGAATGATTCCGTCTATTTTTTCTACGAAGATATTTCCTTTTCTACCGTTGGCCTCAAAGCGCTTGAAATCTCCACTTGCAAATTCCACGAAAAGAGAGTTTCAAATCTGCTCTGTCTAAAGGAAGGTTCCACTCTGTGAGTTGAATACACACCACAAAAAGAAGTTACTGAGAATTCTTCTGTCTAGCATTATATGAAAAATCCCGTTTCCAACGAAGGCCCCAAAGAGATCCAAATATCCACTTGCAGATTCTGCAAAAAGAGTGTTTCCAAACTGCTCTATGAAAAGAAACGTTAAACTCTGTGAGTTGAACGCAAACATCACAAAGTAGTTTCTGAGAATGACTCCGTCTAGTTTTTATACGAAGATATTTCCTTTTCTACCGTTGGCCTCAAAGCGCTTGAAGTCTCCCCCTGAAAATTCCACAAAAAGTGTTTCCAATCTGCTCCGCCTAAAGGAAGCTTCAACTCTGTGAGTTGAATACCCACAACACAAAGAAGTTACTGAGAATTCTTCTGTCTAGCATTATATGAAGAAATCCCGTTTCCAACGCAGGCCTCAAATACATCCAAATATCCAGTTGCTGACTTTACAAACTGAGTGTTTCCAAACTGCTCTATGAAAAGAAAGGTTAAACACTGTGAGTTGAACACACACGTACCAAAGTAGTTTCTGAGAATGATTCTGTCTAGTTTGCATACGAAGCATATTTCCTTTTCTACCATTGGCCTCAAAGCTCTGAAATCTCCACTTGCAAATTCCACAAAAAGAGAGTTTCAAATCTGCTGTTTCTAAAGGAAAGTTCAACTCTGAGAGTTGAATACACACCAGAAAAAGCAGTTACTGAGAAGTCTTCTGTCTAGCATTATATGAAGAAATCCCATTTCCAACGAAGACTTCAAAGAGGTCCAAATATCCACTTGCAGATTCTGCAAAAAGAGTGTTTCGAAACAACTGTATGAAAAGAAAGGTTAAACACTGTGAGTTGAACGCACACATTGCAAAGCAGTTTCTGAGAATGATTCCGTCTAATTATTATACGAAGGTATTTCCTTTTCTATCATTGGCCTCAAAGCGCTTGATACCTCCACCTGAAAATTCCACAAAAAGAGTGTTTCCAATCTACTCTGTCTAAAGGAACGTTCAACTCTGTGAGTTGAATACACACACAGAGAAAGAATTCACTGAGAATTCTTCTGTCTGGCATTACATGAAGAAATCCCGTTTCCAACGAAGGCCTCAAAGAGGTCCAAATATCCACTTGCAGATTCTGCAAAAAGAGTGTTTCAAAACCGCTCCATTAAAAGGAATGTTGAACTCTGTGAGTGGAATGGAAACATCACAACTCAGTTGCTGAGAATGCTTCTGACTAGATTTTATGGTAAGATATTTCCTTTTCTACCGTAGGCTTCAATGCCCTCTAAATACACCCTTGCAAATTCTACAAAGAGACTGTTTCATAACTGCTCTATAGGAAGAAAGGTTGAACTCTGTGAGTTGAATGCAGAGATCACAACGTGGTTTCTGCGAATGATTCTTTGTAGTTTTTACATGAAGATATTTCGTTGTCAACCGTAGGCTTCAAAGCACTCAAAGTATTCACTTGGAACTTTTACAAAAAGAGTGTTAGAAAACTGCTCTTTCCAAAGTAAGGTTCAACTCTGTGAGTTGAATGCACACATAACAATCAAGAAGTTTCTGAGAATTCTTCTGTCCTGGTTTATATGAAAAAATCCCGTTTCCAACGAAGGCCTCAAAGACGTTTAAATATCCACTTGCAGACTTCACAAACAGAGGGTTTCCAAACTGCTCTATGAAAAGAAAGGTTAAACTCTGTGAGTTGAACGCACACATCACAAAGTAGCTTCTGAGAATGATACTGTCTAGTTTTTATACGAAGATATTTCCTTTCTACCATTGGCGTCAAAGCGCTAGAATTCTCCACTTGCAAATTCCACAAAAAGAGTGTTTCCAATCTGCTCTGTCTAAAGGAAGGTTCAACTCTGTGAGTTGAATACACACACACAAAGAAGCTACTGAGAATTCTTTTGTCAAGAATTATAAGAAGAAATCCCGTTTCCAACGAAGGCCTCAAAGAGTTCCAAATATCCACTTGCACACTGCACAAACTAAGTCTTTCCAAACTGCTCTATGCAAAGAAATGTTCAACTCTGTGAGTTTAATACACACATCACAAAGCAGTTTCTGAGAATGATACTGTCTAGTTTTTATACGAAGATATTTCCTTTTGTACCATTGGCCTCATACTGCTAGAATTTTCCACTTGCAAATTCCACAAAAAGAGTGTTTCCAATCCGCTCTGTCTAAAGGAAGGTTCAACTCTCTGATTTGAATACATACATCCCAAAAGAAGTTACTGAGAATTCTTCTGTCTAGCATTATGTGAAGAAATCCCGTTTCCAACGAAAGCCTCAAAGAGGTCCAAATATCCAGTTGCAGAATTTACAAACTGACTGTTTCCAAACTCATCTATGAAAAGAAAGGTTAAACTCTGTGAGTTGAATGCACATATCACAAAGTAGTTCCTGAGAATGATTCTGTCTAGTTTTCATACGAAGATATTTCCTTTTCCACCAATGGCCTCAAAGTGCTTGAAATCTCCCCTTGCAAATTCCACAGACAAGTGTTTCAAATCTGCACTGTCTAAAGGAAGGTTCAACCCTGTGAGTTGAATACACACACACAGAAAAAAATTCACTGAGAATTCTATTGTCTATCATTACACGAAGAAATCCCGTTTACTACGAAGGCCTCAAAGAGGTCCAAATATCCAGCTGCAGACATTACAAACTGAGTGTTTCCAAAGTGCTCTATGAAAAGAAGTGTTAAACACTGTGAGTTCAATGCACACATCCCAAAGCAGTTTCTGAGAATGATTCCGTCTATTTTTTCTACAAAGATATTTCCTTTTCTGCCGTTGGCCTCAAAGCGCTTGAAATCTCCACTTGCAAATTCCACAAAAAGAGAGTTTCAAATCTGCTCTGTCTAAAGGAAGGTTCAACTCTGTGAGTTGAATACACACCACAAAAAGAAGTTACTGAGAATTCTTCTGTCTAGCATTATATGAAAAATCCCGTTTCCAACGAAGGCCACAAAGAGGTCCAAATATCCACTTGCAGATTCTGCAAAAAGAGTGTTTCCAAACTGCTCTATGAAAAGAAACGTTAAACTCTGTGAGTTGAACGCAAACATCACAAAGTAGTTTCTGAGAATGACTCCGTCTAGTTTTTATACGAAGATATTTCCTTTCCTACCACTCACTTCAAAGCGCTTGAAGTCTCCCCCTGAAAATTCCACAAAAAGTGTTTCCAATCTGCTCCGCCTAAAGGAAGCTTCAACTCTGTGACTTGAATACCCACAACCCAAAGAAGTTACTGAGAATTCTTCTGTCTAGCATTATATGAAGAAATCCCGTTTCCAACGAAGGCCTCAAATACATCCAAATATCCAGTTGCTGACTTTACAAACTGAGTGTTTCCAAACTGCTCTATGAAAAGAAAGGTTAAACACTGTGAGTTGAACACACACGTACCAAAGTAGTTTCTGAGAATGATTCTGTCTAGTTTGCATACGAAGATATTTCCTTTTCTACCATTGGCCTCAAAGCTCTGAAATCTCCACTTGCAAATTCCACAAAAAGAGAGTTTCAAATCTGCTGTTTCTAAAGGAAAGTTCAACTCTGAGAGTTGAATACACACCAGAAAAAGCAGTTACTGAGAAGTCTTCTGTCTAGCATTATATGAAGAAATCCCATTTCCAACGAAGACTTCAAAGAGGTCCAAATATCCACTTGCAGATTCTGCAAAAAGAGTGTTTCGAAACAACTGTATGAAAAGAAAGGTTAAACACTGTGAGTTGAACGCACACATTGCAAAGCAGTTTCTGAGAATGATTCCGTCTAATTATTATACGAAGGTATTTCCTTTTCTATCATTGGCCTCAAAGCGCTTGATACCTCCACCTGAAAATTCCACAAAAAGAGTGTTTCCAATCTACTCTGTCTAAAGGAACGTTCAACTCTGTGAGTTGAATACACACACACAGAAAGAATTCACTGAGAATTCTTCTGTCTGGCATTACATGAAGAAATCCCGTTTCCAACGAAGGCCTCAAAGAGGTCCAAATATCCACTTGCAGATTCTGCAAAAAGAGTGTTTCAAAACCGCTCCATTAAAAGGAATGTTGAACTTCTGTGAGTTGAATGCAAACATCACAACTCAGTTGCTGAGAATGCTTCTGACTAGATTTTATGGTAAGATATTTCCTTTTCTACCGTAGGCTTCAATGCCCTCTAAATACACCCTTGCAAATTCTACAAAGAGACTGTTTCATAACTGCTCTATAGGAAGAAAGGTTGAACTCTGTGAGTTGAATGCAGAGATCACAACGTGGTTTCTGCGAATCATTCTTTGTAGTTTTTACATGAAGATATTTCGTTGTCAACCGTAGGCTTCAAAGCACTCAAAGTATTCACTTGGAACTTTTACAAAAAGAGTGTTAGAAAACTGCTCTTTCCAAAGTAAGGTTCAACTCTGTGAGTTGAATGCACACATAACAATCAAGAAGTTTCTGAGAATTCTTCTGTCCTGGTTTATATGAAAAAATCCCGTTTCCAACGAAGGCCTCAAAGACGTTTAAATATCCACTTGCAGACTTCACAAACAGAGGGTTTCCAAACTGCTCTATGAAAAGAAAGGTTAAACTCTGTGAGTTGAACGCACACATCACAAAGTAGCTTCTGAGAATGATACTGTCTAGTTTTTATACGAAGATATTTCCTTTCTACCATTGGCGTCAAAGCGCTAGAATTCTCCACTTGCAAATTCCACAAAAAGAGTGTTTCCAATCTGCTCTGTCTAAAGGAAGGTTCAACTCTGTGAGTTGAATACACACACACAAAGAAGCTACTGAGAATTCTTTTGTCAAGAATTATAAGAAGAAATCCCGTTTCCAACGAAGGCCTCAAAGTAGTTCCAAATATCCACTTGCACACTGCACAAACTAAGTCTTTCCAAACTGCTCTATGCAAAGAAATGTTCAACTCTGTGAGTTTAATACACACATCGCAAAGCAGTTTCTGAGAATGATACTGTCTAGTTTTTATACGAAGATATTTCCTTTTGTACCATTGGCCTCATACTGCTAGAATTTTCCACTTGCAAATTCCACAAAAAGAGTGTTTCCAATCCGCTCTGTCTAAAGGAAGGTTCAACTCTCTGATTTGAATACATACATCCCAAAAGAAGTTACTGAGAATTCTTCTGTCTAGCATTATGTGAAGAAATCCTGTTTCCAACGAAAGCCTCAAAGAGGCCCAAATATCCAGTTGCAGCATTTACAAACTGACTGTTTCCAAACTCATCTATGAAAAGAAAGGTTAAACTCTGTGAGTTGAATGCACATATCACAAAGTAGTTCCTGAGAATGATTCTGTCTAGTTTTTATACGAAGATATTTCCTTTTCCACCAATGGCCTCAAAGTGCTTGAAATCTCCCCTTGCAAATTCCACAGACAAGTGTCTCAAATCTGCACTGTCTAAAGGAAGGTTCAACCCTGTGAGTTGAATACACACACACAGAAAAAAATTCACTGAGAATTCTATTGTCTATCATTACACGAAGAAATCCCGTTTACCACGAAGGCCTCAAAGAGGTCCAAATATCCAGCTGCAGACATTACAAACTGAGTGTTTCCAAAGTGCTCTATGAAAAGAAGTGTTAAACACTGTGAGTTCAATGCACACATCCCAAAGCAGTTTCTGAGAATGATTCCGTCTATTTTTTCTACGAAGATATTTCCTTTTCTGCCGTTGGCCTCAAAGCGCTTGAAATCTCCACTTGCAAATTCCACAAAAAGAGAGTTTCAAATCTGCTCTGTCTAAAGGAAGGTTCAACTCTGTGAGTTGAATACACACCACAAAAAGAAGTTACTGAGAATTCTTCTGTCTAGCATTATATGAAAAATCCCGTTTCCAACGAAGGCCACAAAGAGGTCCAAATATCCACTTGCAGATTCTGCAAAAAGAGTGTTTCCAAACTGCTCTATGAAAAGAAACGTTAAACTCTGTGAGTTGAACGCAAACATCACAAAGTAGTTTCTGAGAATGACTCCGTCTAGTTTTTATACGAAGATATTTCCTTTCCTACCATTCACTTCAAAGCGCTTGAAGTCTCCCCCTGAAAATTCCACAAAAAGTGTTTCCAATCTGCTCCGCTAAAGGAAGCTTCAACTCTGTGAGTTGAATACCCACAACCCAAAGAAGTTACTGAGAATTCTTCTGTCTAGCATTATATGAAGAAATCCCGTTTCCAACGAAGGCCTCAAATACATCCAAATATCCAGTTGCTGACTTTACAAACTGAGTGTTTCCAAACTGCTCTATGAAAAGAAAGGTTAAACACTGTGAGTTGAACACACACGTACCAAAGTAGTTTCTGAGAATGATTCTGTCTAGTTTGCATACGAAGATATTTCCTTTTCTACCATTGGCCTCAAAGCTCTGAAATCTCCACTTGCAAATTCCACAAAAAGAGAGTTTCAAATCTGCTGTTTCTAAAGGAAAGTTCAACTCTGAGAGTAGAATACACACCAGAAAAAGCAGTTACTGAGAAGTCTTCTGTCTAGCATTATATGAAGAAATCCCATTTCCAACGAAGACTTCAAAGAGGTCCAAATATCCACTTGCAGATTCTGCAAAAAGAGTGTTTCGAAACAACTGTATGAAAAGAAAGGTTAAATACTGTGAGTTGAACGCACACATTGCAAAGCAGTTTCTGAGAATGATTCCGTCTAATTATTATACGAAGGTATTTCCTTTTCTATCATTGGCCTCAAAGCGCTTGATACCTCCACCTGAAAATTCCACAAAAAGAGTGTTTCCAATCTACTCTGTCTAAAGGAACGTTCAACTCTGTGAGTTGAATACACACACACAGAAAGAATTCACTGAGAATTCTTCTGTCTGGCATTACATGAAGAAATCCCGTTTCCAACGAAGGCCTCAAAGAGGTCCAAATATCCACTTGCAGATTCTGCAAAAAGAGTGTTTCAAAACCGCTCCATTAAAAGGAATGTTGAACTCTGTGAGTTGAATGCAAACATCACAACTCAGTTGCTGAGAATGCTTCTGACTAGATTTTATGGTAAGATATTTCCTTTTCTACCGTAGGCTTCAATGCCCTCTAAATACACCCTTGCAAATTCTACAAAGAGACTGTTTCATAACTGCTCTATAGGAAGAAAGGTTCAACTCTGTGAGTTGAATGCAGAGATCACAACGTGGTTTCTGCGAATGATTCTTTGTAGTTTTTACAGGAAGATATTTCGTTGTCAACCGTAGGCTTCAAAGCACTCAAAGTATTCACTTGGAACTTTTACAAAAAGAGTGTTAGAAAACTGCTCTTTCCAAAGTAAGGTTCAACTCTGTGAGTTGAATGCACACATAACAATCAAGAAGTTTCTGAGAATTCTTCTGTCCTGGTTTATATGAAAAAATCCCGTTTCCAACGAAGGCCTCAAAGACGTTTAAATATCCACTTGCAGACTTCACAAACAGAGGGTTTCCAAACTGCTCTATGAAAAGAAAGGTTAAACTCTGTGAGTTGAACGCACACATCACAAAGTAGCTTCTGAGAATGATACTGTCTAGTTTTTATACGAAGATATTTCCTTTCTACCATTGGCGTCAAAGCGCTAGAATTCTCCACTTGCAAATTCCACAAAAAGAGTGTTTCCAATCTGCTCTGTCTAAAGGAAGGTTCAACTCTGTGAGTTGAATACACACACACAAAGAAGCTACTGAGAATTCTTTTTTCAAGAAATTATAAGAAGAAATCCCGTTTCCAATGAAGGCCTCAAAGAGTTCCAAATATCCACTTGCACACTGCACAAACTAAGTCTTTCCAAACTGCTCTATGCAAAGAAATGTTCAACTCTGTGAGTTTAATACACACATCACAAAGCAGTTTCTGAGAATGATACTGTCTAGTTTTTATACGAAGATATTTCCTTTTGTACCATTGGCCTCATACTGCTAGAATTTTCCACTTGCAAATTCCACAAAAAGAGTGTTTCCAATCCGCTCTGTCTAAAGGAAGGTTCAACTCTCTGATTTGAATACATACATCCCAAAAGAAGTTACTGAGAATTCTTCTGTCTAGCATTATGTGAAGAAATCCCGTTTCCAACGAAAGCCTCAAAGAGGTCCAAATATCCAGTTGCAGAATTTACAAACTGACTGTTTCCAAACTCATCTATGAAAAGAAAGGTTAAACTCTGGGAGTTGAATGCACATATCACAAAGTAGTTCCTGAGAATGATTCTGTCTAGTTTTTATACGAAGATATTTCCTTTTCCACCAATGGCCTCAAAGTGCTTGAAATCTCCCCTTGCAAATTCCACAGACAAGTGTTTCAAATCTGCACTGTCTAAAGGAAGGTTCAACCCTGTGAGTTGAATACACACACACAGAAAAAAATTCACTGAGAATTCTATTGTCTATCATTACACGAAGAAATCCCGTTTACTACGAAGCCTCAAAGAGGTCCAAATATCCAGCTGCAGACATTACAAACTGAGTGTTTCCAAAGTGCTCTATGAAAAGAAGTGTTAAACACTGTGAGTTCAATGCACACATCCCAAAGCAGTTTCTGAGAATGATTCCGTCTATTTTTTCTACGAAGATATTTCCTTTTCTGCCGTTGGCCTCAAAGCGCTTGAAATCTCCACTTGCAAATTCCACAAAAAGAGAGTTTCAAATCTGCTCTGTCTAAAGGAAGGTTCAACTCTGTGAGTTGAATACACACCACAAAAAGAAGTTACTGAGAATTCTTCTGTCTAGCATTATATGAAAAATCCCGTTTCCAACGAAGGCACAAAGAGGTCCAAATATCCACTTGCAGATTCTGCAAAAAGAGTGTTTCCAAACTGCTCTGTGAAAAGAAACGTTAAACTCTGTGAGTTGAACGCAAACATCACAAAGTAGTTTCTGAGAATGACTCCGTCTAGTTTTTATACGAAGATATTTCCTTTCCTACCATTCACTTCAAAGCGCTTGAAGTCTCCCCCTGAAAATTCCACAAAAAGTGTTTCCAATCTGCTCCGCCTAAAGGAAGCTTCAACTCTGTGACTTGAATACCCACAACCCAAAGAAGTTACTGAGAATTCTTCTGTCTAGCATTATATGAAGAAATCCCGTTTCCAACGAAGGCCTCAAATACATCCAAATATCCAGTTGCTGACTTTACAAACTGAGTGTTTCCAAACTGCTCTATGAAAAGAAAGGTTAAACACTGTGAGTTGAACACACACGTACCAAAGTAGTTTCTGAGAATGATTCTGTCTAGTTTGCATACGAAGATATTTCCTTTTCTACCATTGGCCTCAAAGCTCTGAAATCTCCACTTGCAAATTCCACAAAAAGAGAGTTTCAAATCTGCTGTTTCTAAAGGAAAGTTCAACTCCTGAGAGTTGAATACACACCAGAGAAAGCAGTTACTGAGAAGTCTTCTGTCTAGCATTATATGAAGAAATCCCATTTCCAACGAAGACTTCAAAGAGGTCCAAATATCCACTTGCAGATTCTGCAAAAAGAGTGTTTCGAAACAACTGTATGAAAAGAAAGGTTAAACACTGTGAGTTGAACGCACACATTGCAAAGCGGTTTCTGAGAATGATTCCGTCTAATTATTATACGAAGGTATTTCCTTTTCTATCATTGGCCTCAAAGCGCTTGATACCTCCACCTGAAAATTCCACAAAAAGAGTGTTTCCAATCTACTCTGTCTAAAGGAACGTTCAACTCTGTGAGTTGAATACACACACACAGAAAGAATTCACTGAGAATTCTTCTGTCTGGCATTACATGAAGAAATCCCGTTTCCAACGAAGGCCTCAAAGAGGTCCAAATATCCACTTGCAGATTCTGCAAAAAGAGTGTTTCAAAACCGCTCCATTAAAAGGAATGTTGAACTCTGTGAGTTGAATGCAAACATCACAACTCAGTTTCTGAGAATGCTTCTGACTAGATTTTATGGTAAGATATTTCCTTTTCTACCGTAGGCTTCAATGCCCTGTAAATACACCCTTGCAAATTCTACAAAGAGACTGTTTCATAACTGCTCTATAGGAGGAAATGTTCAACTCTGTGAGTTGAATGCAGAGATCACAACGTGGTTTCTGCGAATGATTCTTTGTAGTTTTTACATGAAGATATTTCGTTGTCTACCGTAGGCTTCAAAGCATTCAAAGTATTCACTTGGAACTTTTACAAAAAGAGTGTTAGAAAACTGCTCTTTCCAAAGTAAGGTTCAACTCTGTGAGTTGAATGCACACATAACAAACAAGAAGTTTCTGAGAATTCTTCTGTCCTGGTTTATATGAAGAAATCCCGTTTCCAACGAAGGCCTCAAAGACGTTTAAATATCCACTTGCAGACTTCACAAACAGAGTGTTTCCAAACTGCTCTATGAAAAGAAAGGGTAAACACTGTGAGTTGAACGCACACCTCACAAAGTAGTTTCTGAGAATGATCTGTCTAGTTTTTATACGAAGATATTTCCTTTTGTACCATTGGCCTCATACTGCTAGAATTTTCCACTTGCAAATTCCACAAAAAGAATATTTCCAATCTGCTCTGTCTAAAGGAAGGTTCAACTCTGTGAGTTGAGTACACACACACAAAGAAGCTACTGAGAATCTTTTTTGTCAAGAAGTATAAGAAGAAATCCCTTTTCAAACGAAGGCCTCAAAGAGTTCCAAATATCCACTTGCACACTGTACAAACTAAGTCTTTCCAAACTGCTCTATGCAAAGAAATGTTCAACTCTGTGAGTTCAATGCACACATCACAAAGCAGTTTCTGAGAATGATTCCCTCTAGTTTTTATACGAAGATAGCCTTTTGTACCATTGGCCTCAAGGCTCTTGGAATCTCCACCTGAAAATTCCGCAAAAAGCGTGTTTCCAATGCGCTCTGTCTAAAGGAAGGTTCAACTCTCTGAGTTGAATACATACATCCCAAAGGAAGTTACTGCGAATTCTTCTGTCTAGCATTATGTGAAGAAATCCCGTTTCCAACGAAAGCCTCAAAGAGGTCCAAATATCCAGTTGCAGAATTTACAAACTGACTGTTTCCAAACTCATCTATGAAAAGAAAGGTTAAACCCTGTGAGTTGAATGCACATATCACAAAGTAGTTCCTGAGAATGATTCTGTCTAGTTTTTATACGAAGATATTTCCTTTTCCACCAATGGCCTCAAAGTGCTTGAAATCTCCCCTTGCAAATTCCACAGAAAAGTGTTTCAAATCTGCACTGTCTGAAGGAAGGTTCAACCCTGTGAGTTGAATACACACACACAGAAAGAAATTCACTGAGAATTCTATTGTCTATCATTACACGAAGAAATCCCGTTTACTACGAAGGCCTCAAAGAGGTCCAAATATCCAGCTGCAGACATTACAAACTGAGTGTTTCCAAAGTGCTCTATGAAAAGAAGTGTTAAACACTGTGAGTTCAATGCACACATCCCAAAGCAGTTTCTGAGAATGATTCCGTCTATTTTTTCTACGAAGATATTTCCTTTTCTACCGTTGGCCCCAAAGCGCTTGAAATCTCCACTTGCAAATTCCACGAAAAGAGAGTTTCAAATCTGCTCTGTCTAAAGGAAGGTTCAACTCTCTGAGTTGAATACACACCACAAAAAGAAGTTACTGAGAATTCTTCTGTCTAGCATTATATGAAAAATCCCGTTTCCAACGAAGGCCACAAAGAGGTCCAAATATCCACTTGCAGATTCTGCAAAAAGAGTGTTTCCAAACTGCTCTATGAAAAGAAACGTTAAACTCTGTGAGTTGAACGCAAACATCACAAAGTAGTTTCTGAGAATGACTCCGTCTAGTTTTTATACGAAGATATTTCCTTTCCTCCCATTCACTTCAAAGCGCTTGAAGTCTCCCCCTGAAAATTCCACAAAAAGTGTTTCCAATCTGCTCCGCCTAAAGGAAGCTTCAACTCTGTGAGTTGAATACCCACAACCCAAAGAAGTTACTGAGAATTCTTCTGTCTAGCATTATATGAAGAAATCCCGTTTCCAACGAAGGCCTCAAATACATCCAAATATCCAGTTGCTGACTTTACAAACTGAGTGTTTCCAAACTGCTCTATGAAAAGAAAGGTTAAACACTGTGAGTTGAACACACACGTACCAAAGTAGTTTCTGAGAATGATTCTGTCTAGTTTGCATACGAAGATATTTCCTTTTCTACCATTGGCCTCAAAGCTCTGAAATCTCCACTTGCAAATTCCACAAAAAGAGAGTTTCAAATCTGCTGTTTCTAAAGGAAAGTTCAACTCTGAGAGTTGAATACACACCAGAAAAAGCAGTTACTGAGAAGTCTTCTGTCTAGCATTATATGAAGAAATCCCATTTCCAACGAAGACTTCAAAGAGGTCCAAATATCCACTTGCAGATTCTGCAAAAAGAGTGTTTCGAAACAACTGTATGAAAAGAAAGGTTAAACACTGTGAGTTGAACGCACACATTGCAAAGCAGTTTCTGAGAATGATTCCGTCTAATTATTATACGAAGGTATTTCCTTTTCTATCATTGGCCTCAAAGTGCTTGATACCTCCACCTGAAAATTCCACAAAAAGAGTGTTTCCAATCTACTCTGTCTAAAGGAACGTTCAACTCTGTGAGTTGAATACACACACACAGAAAGAATTCACTGAGAATTCTTCTGTCTGGCATTACATGAAGAAATCCCGTTTCCAACGAAGGCCTCAAAGAGGTCCAAATATCCACTTGCAGATTCTGCAAAAAGAGTGTTTCAAAACCGCTCCATTAAAAGGAATGTTGAACTCTGTGAGTTGAATGCAAACATCACAACTCAGTTGCTGAGAATGCTTCTGACTAGATTTTATGGTAAGATATTTCCTTTTCTACCGTAGGCTTCAATGCCCTCTAAATACACCCTTGCAAATTCTACAAAGAGACTGTTTCATAACTGCTCTATAGGAAGAAAGGTTGAACTCTGTGAGTTGAATGCAGAGATCACAACGTGGTTTCTGCGAATGATTCTTTGTAGTTTTTACATGAAGATATTTCGTTGTCAACCGTAGGCTTCAAAGCACTCAAAGTATTCACTTGGAACTTTTACAAAAAGAGTGTTAGAAAACTGCTCTTTCCAAAGTAAGGTTCAACTCTGTGAGTTGAATGCACACATAACAATCAAGAAGTTTCTGAGAATTCTTCTGTCCTGGTTTATATGAAGAAATCCCGTTTCCAACGAAGGCCTCAAAGACGTTTAAATATCCACTTGCAGACTTCACAAACAGAGTGTTTCCAAACTGCTCTATGAAAAGAAAGGGTAAACACTGTGAGTTGAACGCACACCTCACAAAGTAGTTTCCTGAGAATGATTACTGTCTAGTTTTTATACGAAGATATTTCCTTTCTACCATTGGCGTCAAAGCGCTAGAATTCTCCACTTGCAAATTCCACAAAAAGAGTGTTTCCAATCTGCTCTGTCTAAAGGAAGGTTCAACTCTGTGAGTTGAATACACACACACAAAGAAGCTACTGAGAATTCTTTTTTCAAGAAATTATAAGAAGAAATCCCGTTTCCAACGAAGGCCTCAAAGAGTTCCAAATATCCACTTGCACACTGCACAAACTAAGTCTTTCCAAACTGCTCTATGCAAAGAAATGTTCAACTCTGTGAGTTTAATACACACATCACAAAGCAGTTTCTGAGAATGATACTGTCTAGTTTTTATACGAAGATATTTCCTTTTGTACCATTGGCCTCATACTGCTAGAATTTTCCACTTGCAAATTCCACAAAAAGAGGGTTTCCAATCCGCTCTGTCTAAAGGAAGGTTCAACTCTCTGATTTGAATACATACATCCCAAAAGAAGTTACTGAGAATTCTTCTGTCTAGCATTATGTGAAGAAATCCCGTTTCCAACGAAAGCCTCAAAGAGGTCCAAATATCCAGTTGCAGAATTTACAAACTGACTGTTTCCAAACTCATCTATGAAAAGAAAGGTTAAACTCTGGGAGTTGAATGCACATATCACAAAGTAGTTCCTGAGAATGATTCTGTATAGTTTTCATACGAAGATATTTCCTTTTCCACCAATGGCCTCAAAGTGCTTGAAATCTCCCCTTGCAAATTCCACAGACAAGTGTTTCAAATCTGCACTGTCTAAAGGATGGTTCAACCCTGTGAGTTGAATACACACACACAGAAAAAAATTCACTGAGAATTCTATTGTCTATCATTACACGAAGAAATCCCGTTTACTACGAAGGCCTCAAAGAGGTCCAAATATCCAGCTGCAGACATTATAAACTGAGTGTTTCCAAAGTGCTCTATGAAAAGAAGTGTTAAACACTGTGAGTTCAATGCACACATCCCAAAGCAGTTTCTGAGAATGATTCCGTCTATTTTTTCTACGAAGATATTTCCTTTTCTGCCGTTGGCCTCAAAGCGCTTGAAATCTCCACTTGCAAATTCCACAAAAAGAGAGTTTCAAATCTGCTCTGTCTAAAGGAAGGTTCAACTCTGTGAGTTGAATACACACCACAAAAAGAAGTTACTGAGAATTCTTCTGTCTAGCATTATATGAAAAATCCCGTTTCCAACGAAGGCCACAAAGAGGTCCAAATATCCACTTGCAGATTCTGCAAAAAGAGTGTTTCCAAACTGCTCTATGAAAAGAAACGTTAAACTCTGTGAGTTGAACGCAAACATCACAAAGTAGTTTCTGAGAATGACTCCGTCTAGTTTTTATACGAAGATATTTCCTTTCCTACCATTCACTTCAAAGCGCTTGAAGTCTCCCCCTGAAAATTCCACAAAAAGTGTTTCCAATCTGCTCCGCCTAAAGGAAGCTTCAACTCTGTGACTTGAATACCCACAACCCAAAGAAGTTACTGAGAATTCTTCTGTCTAGCATTATATGAAGAAATCCCGTTTCCAACGAAGGCCTCAAATACATCCAAATATCCAGTTGCTGACTTTACAAACTGAGTGTTTCCAAACTGCTCTATGAAAAGAAAGGTTAAACACTGTGAGTTGAACACACACGTACCAAAGTAGTTTCTGAGAATGATTCTGTCTAGTTTGCATACGAAGATATTTCCTTTTCTACCATTGGCCTCAAAGCTTTGAAATCTCCACTTGCAAATTCCACAAAAAGAGAGTTTCAAATCTGCTGTTTCTAAAGGAAAGTTCAACTCTGAGAGTTGAATACACACCAGAAAAAGCAGTTACTGAGAAGTCTTCTGTCTAGCATTATATGAAGAAATCCCATTTCCAAAGAAGACTTCAAAGAGGTCCAAATATCCACTTGCAGGTTCTGCAAAAAGAGTGTTTCGAAACAACTGTATGAAAAGAAAGGTTAAACGCTGTGAGTTGAAGGCACACATTGCAAAGCAGTTTCTGAGAATGATTCCGTCTAATTATTATACGAAGGTATTTCCTTTTCTATCATGGGCTTCAAAGCGCTTGATACCTCCACCTGAAAATTCCACAAAAAGAGTGTTTCCAATCTACTCTGTCTAAAGGAACGTTCAACTCTGTGAGTTGAATACACACACACAGAAAGAATTCACTGAGAGTTCTTCTGTCTGGCATTACATGAAGAAATCCCGTTTCCAACGAAGGCCTCAAAGAGGTCCAAATATCCACTTGCAGATTCTGCAAAAAGAGTGTTTCAAAACCGCTCCATGACAAGGAATGTTGAACTCTGTGAGTTGAATGCAAACATCACAACACCGTTTCTGAGAATGCTTCTGACTAGATTTTATGGTCAGATATTTCCTTTTCTACCATAGGCTTCAATACCCTCTAAATACACCCTTGCAAATTCTACAAAGAGACTGTTTAATAACTGCTCTATAGGAAGAAAGGTTGAACTCTGTGAGTTGAATGCGGAGATCACAACGTGGTTTCGGCGAATGATTCTTCGCAGTTTTTACATGAAGATATTTCGTTGTCTACCGTAGGCTTCAAAGCACTCAAAGTATTCACTTGGAACTTTTACAACAAGAGTGTTAGAAAACTGCTCTTTCCAAAGTAAGGTTCAACTCTGTGAGTTGAATGCACACATAACAAACAAGAAGTTTCTGAGAATTCTTCTGTCCTGGTTTATATAAAGAAATCCCGTTTCCAACGAAGGCCTCAAAGACGTTTAAATATCCACTTGCAGACTTCACAAACAGAGGGTTTCCAAACTGCTCTATGAAAAGAAAGGTTAAACTCTGTGAGTTGAACGCACACATCACAAAGTAGCTTCTGAGAATGATACTGTCTAGTTTTTATACGAAGATATTTCCTTTCTACCATTGGCGTCAAAGCGCTAGAATTCTCCACTTGCAAATTCCACAAAAAGAGTGTTTCCAATCTGCTCTGTCTAAAGGAAGGTTCAACTCTGTGAGTTGAATACACACACACAAAGAAGCTACTGAGAATTCTTTTGTCAAGAATTACAAGAAGAAATCCCGTTTCCAACGAAGGCCTCAAAGAGTTCCAAATATCCACTTGCACACTGCACAAACTAAGTCTTTCCAAACTGCTCTATGCAAAGAAATGTTCAACTCTGTGAGTTTAATACGCACATCACAAAGCAGTTTCTGAGAATGATACTGTCTAGTTTTTATACGAAGATATTTCCTTTTGTACCATTGGCCTCATACTGCTAGAATTTTCCACTTGCAAATTCCACAAAAAGAGTGTTTCCAATCCGCTCTGTCTAAAGGAAGGTTCAACTCTCTGATTTGAATACATACATCCCAAAAGAAGTTACTGAGAATTCTTCTGTCTAGCATTATGTGAAGAAATCCCGTTTCCAACGAAAGCCTCAAAGAGGTACAAATATCCAGTTGCAGAATTTACAAACTGACTGTTTCCAAACTCATCTATGAAAAGAAAGGTTAAACTCTGTGAGTTGAATGCACATATCACAAAGTAGTTCCTGAGAATGATTCTGTCTAGTTTTCATACGAAGATATTTCCTTTTCCACCAATGGCCTCAAAGTGCTTGAAATCTCCCCTTGCAAATTCCACAGACAAGTGTTTCAAATCTGCACTGTCTAAAGGAAGGTTCAACCCTGTGAGTTGAATACACACACACAGAAAAAAATTCACTGAGAATTCTATTGTCTATCATTACACGAAGAAATCCCGTTTACTACGAAGGCCTCAAAGAGGTCCAAATATCCAGCTGCAGACATTACAAACTGAGTGTTTCCAAAGTGCTCTATGAAAAGAAGTGTTAAACACTGTGAGTTCAATGCACACATCCCAAAGCAGTTTCTGAGAATGATTCCGTCTATTTTTTCTACGAAGATATTTCCTTTTCTGCCGTTGGCCTCAAAGCGCTTGAAATCTCCACTTGCAAATTCCACAAAAAGAGAGTTTCAAATCTGCTCTGTCTAAAGGAAGGTTCAACTCTGTGAGTTGAATACACACCACAAAAAGAAGTTACTGAGAATTCTTCTGTCTAGCATTATATGAAAAATCCCGTTTCCAACGAAGGCCACAAAGAGGTCCAAATATCCACTTGCAGATTCTGCAAAAAGAGTGTTTCCAAACTGCTCTATGAAAAGAAACGTTAAACTCTGTGAGTTGAACGCAAACATCACAAAGTAGTTTCTGAGAATGACTCCGTCTAGTTTTTATACGAAGATATTTCCTTTCCTACCATTCACTTCAAAGCGCTTGAAGTCTCCCCCTGAAAATTCCACAAAAAGTGTTTCCAATCTGCTCCGCCTAAAGGAAGCTTCAACTCTGTGACTTGAATACCCACAACCCAAAGAAGTTACTGAGAATTCTTCTGTCTAGCACTATATGAAGAAATCCCGTTTCCAACGAAGGCCTCAAATACATCCAAATATCCAGTTGCTGACTTTACAAACTGAGTGTTTCCAAACTGCTCTATGAAAAGAAAGGTTAAACACTGTGAGTTGAACACACACGTACCAAAGTAGTTTCTGAGAATGATTCTGTCTAGTTTGCATACGAAGATATTTCCTTTTCTACCATTGGCCTCAAAGCTCTGAAATCTCCACTTGCAAATTCCACAAAAAGAGAGTTTCAAATCTGCTGTTTCTAAAGGAAAGTTCAACTCTGAGAGTTGAATACACACCAGAAAAAGCAGTTACTGAGAAGTCTTCTGTCTAGCATTATATGAAGAAATCCCATTTCCAACGAAGACTTCAAAGAGGTCCAAATATCCACTTGCAGATTCTGCAAAAAGAGTGTTTCGAAACAACTGTATGAAAAGAAAGGTTAAACACTGTGAGTTGAACGCACACATTGCAAAGCAGTTTCTGAGAATGATTCCGTCTAATTATTATACGAAGGTATTTCCTTTTCTATCATTGGCCTCAAAGCGCTTGATACCTCCACCTGAAAATTCCACAAAAAGAGTGTTTCCAATCTACTCTGTCTAAAGGAACGTTCAACTCTGTGAGTTGAATACACACACACAGAAAGAATTCAATGAGAATTCTTCTGTCTGGCATTCCATGAAGAAATCCCGTTTCCAACGAAGGCCTCAAAGAGGTCCAAATATCCACTTGCAGATTCTGCAAAAAGAGTGTTTCAAAACCGCTCCATTAAAAGGAATGTTGAACTCTGTGAGTTGAATGCAAACATCACAACTCAGTTGCTGCGAATGTTTCTGACTAGATTTTATGATAAGATATTTCCTTTTCTACCGTAGGCTTCAATGCCCTCTAAATACACCCTTGCAAATTCTACAAAGAGACTGTTTAATAACTGCTCTATAGGAAGAAATGTTGAACTCTGTGAGTTGAATGCAGAGATCACAACGTGGTTTCTGTGAATGATTCTTTGTAGTTTTTACATGAAGATATTTCGTTGTCAACCGTAGGCTTCAAAGCACTCAAAGTATTCACTTGGAACTTTTACAAAAAGAGTGTTAGAAAACTGCTCTTTCCAAAGTAAGGTTCAACTCTGTGAGTTGAATGCACACATAACAATCAAGAAGTTTCTGAGAATTCTTCTGTCCTGGTTTATATGAACAAATCCCGTTTCCAACGAAGGCCTCAAAGACGTTTAAATATCCACTTGCAGACTTCACAAACAGAGGGTTTCCAAACTGCTCTATGAAAAGAAAGGTTAAACTCTGTGAGTTGAACGCACACATCACAAAGTAGCTTCTGAGAATGATACTGTCTAGTTTTTATACGAAGATATTTCCTTTCTACCATTGGCGTCAAAGCGCTAGAATTCTCCACTTGCAAATTCCACAAAAAGAGTGTTTCCAATCTGCTCTGTCTAAAGGAAGGTTCAACTCTGTGAGTTGAATACACACACACAAAGAAGCTACTGAGAATTCTTTTGTCAAGAATTATAAGAAGAAATCCCGTTTCCAACGAAGGCCTCAAAGAGTTCCAAATATCCACTTGCACACTGCACAAACTAAGTCTTTCCAAACTGCTCTATGCAAAGAAATGTTCAACTCTGTGAGTTTAATACACACATCACAAAGCAGTTTCTGAGAATGATACTGTCTAGTTTTTATACGAAGATATTTCCTTTTGTACCATTGGCCTCATACTGCTAGAATTTTCCACTTGCAAATTCCACAAAAAGAGTGTTTCCAATCCGCTCTGTCTAAAGGAAGGTTCAACTCTCTGATTTGAATACATACATCCCAAAAGAAGTTACTGAGAATTCTTCTGTCTAGCATTATGTGAAGAAATCCCGTTTCCAATGAAAGCCTCAAAGAGGTCCAAATATCCAGTTGCAGAATTTACAAACTGACTGTTTCCAAACTCATCTATGAAAAGAAAAGTTAAACTCTGTGAGTTGAATGCACATATCACAAAGTAGTTCCTGAGAATGATTCTGTCTAGTTTTTATACGAAGATATTTCCTTTTCCACCAATGGCCTCAAAGTGCTTGAAATCTCCCCTTGCAAATTCCACAGACAAGTGTTTCAAATCTGCACTGTCTAAAGGAAGGTTCAACCCTGTGAGTTGAATACACACACACAGAAACAAATTCACTGAGAATTCTATTGTCTATCATTACACGAAGAAATCCCGTTTACTACGAAGGCCTCAAAGAGGTCCAAATATCCAGCTGCAGACATTACAAACTGAGTGTTTCCAAAGTGCTCTATGAAAAGAAGTGTTAAACACTGTGAGTTCAATGCACACATCCCAAAGCAGTTTCTGAGAATGATTCCGTCTATTTTCTCTACGAAGATATTTCCTTTTCTGCCGTTGGCCTCAAAGCGCTTGAAATCTCCACTTGCAAATTCCACAAAAAGAGAGTTTCAAATCTGCTCTGTCTAAAGGAAGGTTCAACTCTGTGAGTTGAATACACACCACAAAAAGAAGTTACTGAGAATTCTTCTGTCTAGCATTATATGAAAAATCCCGTTTCCAACGAAGGCCACAAAGAGGTCCAAATATCCACTTGCAGATTCTGCAAAAAGAGTGTTTCCAAACTGCTCTATGAAAAGAAACGTTAAACTCTGTGAGTTGAACGCAAACATCACAAAGTAGTTTCTGAGAATGACTCCGTCTAGTTTTTATACCGAAGATATTTCCTTTCCTACCATTCACTTCAAAGCGCTTGAAGTCTCCCCCTGAAAATTCCACAAAAAGTGTTTCCAATCTGCTCCGCCTAAAGGAAGCTTCAACTCTGTGACTTGAATACCCACAACCCAAAGAAGTTACTGAGAATTCTTCTGTCTAGCATTATATGAAGAAATCCCGTTTCCAACGAAGGCCTCAAATACATCCAAATATCCAGTTGCTGACTTTACAAACTGAGTGTTTCCAAACTGCTCTATGAAAAGAAAGGTTAAACACTGTGAGTTGAACACACACGTACCAAAGTAGTTTCTGAGAATGATTCTGTCTAGTTTGCATACGAAGATATTTCCTTTTCTACCATTGGCCTCAAAGCTCTGAAATCTCCACTTGCAAATTCCACAAAAAGAGAGTTTCAAATCTGCTGTTTCTAAAGGAAAGTTCAACTCTGAGAGTTGAATACACACCAGAAAAAGCAGTTACTGAGAAGTCTTCTGTCTAGCATTATATGAAGAAATCCCATTTCCAACGAAGACTTCAAAGAGGTCCAAATATCCACTTGCAGATTCTGCAAAAAGAGTGTTTCGAAACAACTGTATGAAAAGAAAGGTTAAACACTGTGAGTTGAACGCACACATTGCAAAGCGGTTTCTGAGAATGATTCCGTCTAATTATTATACGAAGGTATTTCCTTTTCTATCATTGGCCTCAAAGCGCTTGATACCTCCACCTGAAAATTCCACCAAAAGAGTGTTTCCAATCTACTCTGTCTAAAGGAACGTTCAACTCTGTGAGTTGAATACACACACACAGAAAGAATTCACTGAGAATTCTTCTGTCTGGCATTACATGAAGAAATCCCGTTTCCAACGAAGGCCTCAAAGAGGTCCAAATATCCACTTGCAGATTCTGCAAAAAGAGTGTTTCAAAACCGCTCCATTAAAAGGAATGTTGAACTCTGTGAGTTGAATGCAAACATCACAACTCAGTTTCTGAGAATGCTTCTGACTAGATTTTATGGTAAGATATTTCCTTTTATACCGTAGGCTTCAATGCCCTCTAAATACACCCTTGCAAATTCTACAAAGAGACTGTTTCATAACTGCTCTATAGGAAGAAAGGTTCAACTCTGTGAGTTGAATGCAGAGATCACAACGTGGTTTCTGCGAATGATTCTTTGTAGTTTTTACATGAAGATATTTCGTTGTCAACCGTAGGCTTCAAAGCACTCAAAGTATTCACTTGGAACTTTTACAAAAAGAGTGTTAGAAAACTGCTCTTTCCAAAGTAAGGTTCAACTCTGTGAGTTGAATGCACACATAACAATCAAGAAGTTTCTGAGAATTCTTCTGTCCTGGTTTATATGAAAAAATCCCGTTTCCAACGAAGGCCTCAAAGACGTTTAAATATCCACTTGCAGACTTCACAAACAGAGGGTTTCCAAACTGCTCTATGAAAAGAAAGGTTAAACTCTGTGAGTTTAATACACACATCACAAAGCAGTTTCTGAGAATGATACTGTCTAGTTTTTATACGAAGATATTTCCTTTTGTACCATTGGCCTCATACTGCTAGAATTTTCCACTTGCAAATTCCACAAAAAGAGTGTTTCCAATCCGCTCTGTCTAAAGGAAGGTTCAACTCTCTGATTTGAATACATACATCCCAAAAGAAGTTACTGAGAATTCTTCTGGCTAGCATTATGTGAAAAAATCCCGTTTCCAACGAAAGCCTCAAAGAGGTCCAAATATCCAGTTGCAGAATTTACAAACTGACTGTTTCCAAACTCATCTATGAAAAGAAAGGTTAAACTCTGGGAGTTGAATGCACATATCACAAAGTAGTTCCTGAGAATGATTCTGTCTAGTTTTCATACGAAGATATTTCCTTTTCCACCAATGGCCTCAAAGTGCTTGAAATCTCCCCTTGCAAATTCCACAGACAAGTGTTTCAAATCTGCACTGTCTAAAGGAAGGTTCAACCCTGTGAGTTGAATACACACACACAGAAAAAAATTCACTGAGAATTCTATTGTCTATCATTACACGAAGAAATCCCGTTTACCACGAAGGCCTCAAAGAGGTCCAAATATCCAGCTGCAGACATTACAAACTGAGTGTTTCCAAAGTGCTCTATGAAAAGAAGTGTTAAACACTTTGAGTTCAATGCACACATCCCAAAGCAGTTTCTGAGAATGATGCCGTCTATTTTTTCTACGAAGATATTTCCTTTTCTGCCGTTGGCCTCAAAGCGCTTGAAATCTCCACTTGCAAATTCCACAAAAAGAGAGTTTCAAATCTGCTGTTTCTAAAGGAAAGTTCAACTCTGAGAGTTGAATACACACCAGAAAAAGCAGTTACTGAGAAGTCTTCTGTCTAGCATTATAAGAAGAAATCCCATTTCCAACGAAGACTTCAAAGAGGTCCAAATATCCACTTGCAGATTCTGCAAAAAGAGTGTTTCGAAACAACTGTATGAAAAGAAAGGTTAAACACTGTGAGTTGAACGCACACATTGCAAAGCAGTTTCTGAGAATGATTCCGTCTAATTATTATACGAAGGTATTTCCTTTTCTATCATTGGCCTCAAAGCGCTTGATACCTCCACCTGAAAATTCCACAAAAAGAGTGTTTCCAATCTACTCTGTCTAAAGGAACGTTCAACTCTGTGAGTTGAATACACACACACAGAAAGAATTCACTGAGAATTCTTCTGTCTGGCATTACATGAAGAAATCCCGTTTCCAACGAAGGCCTCAAAGAGGTCCAAATATCCACTTGCAGATTCTGCAAAAAGAGTGTTTCAAAACCGCTCCATTAAAAGGAATGTTGAACTCTGTGAGTTGAATGCAAACATCACAACTCAGTTTCTGAGAATGCTTCTGACTAGATTTTATGGTAAGATATTTCCTTTTCTACCGTAGGCTTCAATGCCCTCTAAATACACCCTTGCAAATTCTACAAAGAGACTGTTTCATAACTGCTCTATAGGAAGAAAGGTTGAACTCTGTGAGTTGACTGCAGAGATCACAACGTGGTTTCTGCGAATGATTCTTTGTAGTTTTTACATGAAGATATTTCGTTGTCAACCGTAGGCTTCAAAGCACTCAAAGTATTCACTTGGAACTTTTACAAAAAGAGTGTTAGAAAACTGCTCTTTCCAAAGTAAGGTTCAACTCTGTGAGTTGAATGCACACATAACAATCAAGAAGTTTCTGAGAATTCTTCTGTCCTGGTTTATATGAACAAATCCCGTTTCCAACGAAGGCCTCAAAGACGTTTAAATATCCACTTGCAGACTTCACAAACAGAGGGTTTCCAAACTGCTCTATGAAAAGAAAGGTTAAACTCTGTGAGTTGAACGCACACATCACAAAGTAGTTTCTGAGAATGATACTGTCTAGTTTTTATACGAAGATATTTCCTTTCTACCATTGGCGTCAAAGCGCTAGAATTCTCCACTTGCAAATTCCACAAAAAGAGTGTTTCCAATCTGCTCTGTCTAAAGGAAGGTTCAACTCTGTGAGTTGAATACACACACACAAAGAAGCTACTGAGAATTCTTTTTTCAAGAAATTATAAGAAGAAATCCCGTTTCCAACGAAGGCCTCAAAGAGTTCCAAATATCCACTTGCACACTGCACAAACTAAGTCTTTCCAAACTGCTCTATGCAAAGAAATGTTCAACTCTGTGAGTTTAATACACACATCACAAAGCAGTTTCTGAGAATGGTACTGTCTAGTTTTTATACGAAGATATTTCCTTTTGTACCATTGGCCTCATACTGCTAGAATTTTCCACTTGCAAATTCCACAAAAAGAGTGTTTCCAATCCGCTCTGTCTAAAGGAAGGTTCAACTCTCTGATTTGAATACATACATCCCAAAAGAAGTTACTGAGAATTCTTCTGTCTAGCATTATGTGAAGAAATCCCGTTTCCAACGAAAGCCTCAAAGAGGTCCAAATATCCAGTTGCAGAATTTACAAACTGACTGTTTCCAAACTCATCTATGAAAAGAAAGGTTAAACTCTGTGAGTTGAATGCACATATCACAAAGTAGTTCCTGAGAATGATTCTGTCTAGTTTTTATACGAAGATATTTCCTTTTCCACCAATGGCCTCAAAGTGCTTGAAATCTCCCCTTGCAAATTCCACAGACAAGTATTTCAAATCTGCACTGTCTAAAGGAAGGTTCAACCCTGTGAGTTGAATACACACACACAGAAAAAAATTCACTGAGAATTCTATTGTCTATCATTACACGAAGAAATCCCGTTTACTACGAAGGCCTCAAAGAGGTCCAAATATCCAGCTGCAGACATTACAAACTGAGTGTTTCCAAAGTGCTCTATGAAAAGAAGTGTTAAACACTGTGAGTTCAATGCACACATCCCAAAGCAGTTTCTGAGAATGATTCCGTCTATTTTTTCTACGAAGATATTTCCTTTTCTGCCGTTGGCCTCAAAGCGCTTGAAATCTCCACTTGCAAATTCCACAAAAAGAGAGTTTCAAATCTGCTCTGTCTAAAGGAAGGTTCAACTCTGTGAGTTGAATACACACCACAAAAAGAAGTTACTGAGAATTCTTCTGTCTGGCATTACATGAAGAAATCCCGTTTCCAACGAAGGCCTCAAAGAGGTCCAAATATCCACTTGCAGATTCTGCAAAAAGAGTGTTTCAAAACCGCTCCATTAAAAGGAATGTTGAACTCTGTGAGTTGAATGCAAACATCACAACTCAGTTTCTGAGAATGCTTCTGACTAGATTTTATGGTAAGATATTTCCTTTTCTACCGTAGGCTTCAATGCCCTCTAAATACACCCTTGCAAATTCTACAAAGAGACTGTTTCATAACTGCTCTATAGGAAGAAAGGTTGAACTCTGTGAGTTGACTGCAGAGATCACAACGTGGTTTCTGCGAATGATTCTTTGTAGTTTTTACATGAAGATATTTCGTTGTCAACCGTAGGCTTCAAAGCACTCAAAGTATTCACTTGGAACTTTTACAAAAAGAGTGTTAGAAAACTGCTCTTTCCAAAGTAAGGTTCAACTCTGTGAGTTGAATGCACACATAACAATCAAGAAGTTTCTGAGAATTCTTCTGTCCTGGTTTATATGAAAAAATCCCGTTTCCAACGAAGGCCTCAAAGACGTTTAAATATCCACTTGCAGACTTCACAAACAGAGGGTTTCCAAACTGCTCTATGAAAAGAAAGGTGAAACTCTGTGAGTTTAATACACACATCACAAAGCAGTTTCTGAGAATGATACTGTCTAGTTTTTATACGAAGATATTTCCTTTTGTACCATTGGCCTCATACTGCTAGAATTTTCCACTTGCAAATTCCACAAAAAGAATGTTTCCAATCCGCTCTGTCTAAAGGAAGGTTCAACTCTCTGATTTGAATACATACATCCCAAAAGAAGTTACTGAGAATTCTTCTGTCTAGCATTATGTGAAGAAATCCCGTTTCCAACGAAAGCCTCAAAGAGGTCCAAATATCCAGTTGCAGAATTTACAAACTGACTGTTTCCAAACTCATCTATGAAAAGAAAGGTTAAACTCTGTGAGTTGAATGCACATATCACAAAGTAGTTCCTGAGAATGATTCTGTCTAGTTTTCATACGAAGATATTTCCTTTTCCACCAATGGCCTCAAAGTGCTTGAAATCTCCCCTTGCAAATTCCACAGACAAGTGTCTCAAATCTGCACTGTCTAAAGGAAGGTTCAACCCTGTGAGTTGAATACACACACACAGAAAAAAATTCACTGAGAATTCTATTGTCTATCATTACACGAAGAAATCCCGTTTACTACGAAGGCCTCAAAGAGGTCCAAATATCCAGCTGCAGACATTACAACCTGAGTGTTTCCAAAGTGCTCTATGAAAAGAAGTGTTAAACACTGTGAGTTCAATGCACACATCCCAAAGCAGTTTCTGAGAATGATTCCGTCTATTTTTTCTACGAAGATATTTCCTTTTCTGCCGTTGGCCTCAAAGCGCTTGAAATCTCCACTTGCAAATTCCACAAAAAGAGAGTTTCAAATCTGCTCTGTCTAAAGGAAGGTTCAACTCTGTGAGTTGAATACACACCACAAAAAGAAGTTACTGAGAATTCTTCTGTCTAGCATTATATGAAAAATCCCGTTTCCAACGAAGGCCACAAAGAGGTCCAAATATCCACTTGCAGATTCTGCAAAAAGAGTGTTTCCAAACTGCTCTATGAAAAGAAACGTTAAACTCTGTGAGTTGAACGCAAACATCACAAAGTAGTTTCTGAGAATGACTCCGTCTAGTTTTTATACGAAGATATTTCCTTTCCTACCATTCACTTCAAAGCGCTTGAAGTCTCCCCCTGAAAATTCCACAAAAAGTGTTTCCAATCTGCTCCGCCTAAAGGAAGCTTCAACTCTGTGAGTTGAATACCCACAACCCAAAGAAGTTACTGAGAATTCTTCTGTCTAGCATTATATGAAGAAATCCCGTTTCCAACGAAGGCCTCAAATACATCCAAATATCCAGTTGCTGACTTTACAAACTGAGTGTTTCCAAACTGCTCTATGAAAAGAAAGGTTAAACACTGTGAGTTGAACACACACGTACCAAAGTAGTTTCTGAGAATGATTCTGTCTAGTTTGCATACGAAGATATTTCCTTTTCTACCATTGGCCTCAAAGCTCTGAAATCTCCACTTGCAAATTCCACAAAAAGAGAGTTTCAAATCTGCTGTTTCTAAAGGAAAGTTCAACTCTGAGAGTTGAATACACACCAGAAAAAGCAGTTACTGAGAAGTCTTCTGTCTAGCATTATATGAAGAAATCCCATTTCCAACGAAGTACTTCAAAGAGGTCCAAATATCCACTTGCAGATTCTGCAAAAAGAGTGTTTCGAAACAACTGTATGAAAAGAAAGGTTAAACACTGTGAGTTGAACGCACACATTGCAAAGCAGTTTCTGAGAATGATTCCGTCTAATTATTATACGAAGGTATTTCCTTTTCTATCATTGGCCTCAAAGCGCTTGATACCTCCACCTGAAAATTCCACAAAAAGAGTGTTTCCAATCTACTCTGTCTAAAGGAACGTTCAACTCTGTGAGTTGAATACACACACACAGAAAGAATTCACTGAGAATTCTTCTGTCTGGCATTACATGAAGAAATCCCGTTTCCAACGAAGGCCTCAAAGAGGTCCAAATATCCACTTGCAGATTCTGCAAAAAGAGTGTTTCAAAACCGCTCCATTAAAAGGAATGTTGAACTCTGTGAGTTGAATGCAAACATCACAACTCAGTTTCTGAGAATGCTTCTGACTAGATTTTATGGTAAGATATTTCCTTTTCTACCGTAGGCTTCAATGCCCTCTAAATACACCCTTGCAAATTCTACAAAGAGACTGTTTCATAACTGCTCTATAGGAAGAAAGGTTCAACTCTGTGAGTTGAATGCAGAGATCACAACGTGGTTTCTGCGAATGATTCTTTGTAGTTTTTACATGAAGATATTTCGTTGTCAACCGTAGGCTTCAAAGCACTCAAAGTATTCACTTGGAACTTTTACAAAAAGAGTGTTAGAAAACTGCTCTTTCCAAAGTAAGGTTCAACTCTGTGAGTTGAATGCACACATAACAATCAAGAAGTTTCTGAGAATTCTTCTGTCCTGGTTTATATGAAAAAATCCCGTTTCCAACGAAGGCCTCAAAGACGTTTAAATATCCACTTGCAGACTTCACAAACAGAGGGTTTCCAAACTGCTCTATGAAAAGAAAGGTTAAACTCTGTGAGTTGAACGCACACATCACAAAGTAGCTTCTGAGAATGATACTGTCTAGTTTTTATACGAAGATATTTCCTTTCTACCATTGGCGTCAAAGCGCTAGAATTCTCCACTTGCAAATTCCACAAAAAGAGTGTTTCCAATCTGCTCTGTCTAAAGGAAGGTTCAACTCTGTGAGTTGAATACACACACACAAAGAAGCTACTGAGAATTCTTTTTTCAAGAAATTATAAGAAGAAATCCCGTTTCCAACGAAGGCCTCAAAGAGTTCCAAATATCCACTTGCACACTGCACAAACTAAGTCTTTCCAAACTGCTCTATGCAAAGAAATGTTCAACTCTGTGAGTTTAATACACACATCACAAAGCAGTTTCTGAGAATGATACTGTCTAGTTTTTATACGAAGATATTTCCTTTTGTACCATTGGCCTCATACTGCTAGAATTTTCCACTTGCAAATTCCACAAAAAGAGTGTTTCCAATCCGCTCTGTCTAAAGGAAGGTTCAACTCTCTGATTTGAATACATACATCCCAAAAGAAGTTACTGAGAATTCTTCTGTCTAGCATTATGTGAAGAAATCCCGTTTCCAACGAAAGCCTCAAAGAGGTCCAAATATCCAGTGGCAGAATTTACAAACTGACTGTTTCCAAACTCATCTATGAAAAGAAAGGTTAAACTCTGGGAGTTGAATGCACATATCACAAAGTAGTTCCTGAGAATGATTCTGTCTAGTTTTTATACGAAGATATTTCCTTTTCCACCAATGGCCTCAAAGTGCTTGAAATCTCCCCTTGCAAATTCCACAGACAAGTGTTTCAAATCTGCACTGTCTAAAGGAAGGTTCAACCCTGTGAGTTGAATACACACACACAGAAAAAAATTCACTGAGAATTCTATTGTCTATCATTACACGAAGAAATCCCGTTTACTACGAAGGCCTCAAAGAGGTCCAAATATCCAGCTGCAGACATTACAAACTGAGTGTTTCCAAAGTGCTCTATGAAAAGAAGTGTTAAACACTGTGAGTTCAATGCACACATCCCAAAGCAGTTTCTGAGAATGATTCCGTCTATTTTTTCTACGAAGATATTTCCTTTTCTACCGTTGGCCTCAAAGCGCTTGAAATCTCCACTTGCAAATTCCACAAAAAGAGAGTTTCAAATCTGCTCTGTCTAAAGGAAGGTTCAACTCTGTGAGTTGAATACACACCACAAAAGGAAGTTACTGAGAATTCTTCTGTCTAGCATTATATGAAAAATCCCGTTTCCAACGAAGGCCACAAAGAGGTCCAAATATCCACTTGCAGATTCTGCAAAAAGAGTGTTTCCAAACTGCTCTATGAAAAGAAACGTTAAACTCTGTGAGTTGAACGCAAACATCACAAAGTAGTTTCTGAGAATGACTCCGTCTAGTTTTTATACGAAGATATTTCCTTTCCTACCATTCACTTCAAAGCGCTTGAAGTCTCCCCCTGAAAATTCCACAAAAAGTGTTTCCAATCTGCTCCGCCTAAAGGAAGCTTCAACTCTGTGAGTTGAATACCCACAACCCAAAGAAGTTACTGAGAATTCTTCTGTCTAGCATTATATGAAGAAATCCCGTTTCCAACGAAGGCCTCAAATACATCCAAATATCCAGTTGCTGACTTTACAAACTGAGTGTTTCCAAACTGCTCTATGAAAAGAAAGGTTAAACACTGTGAGTTGAACACACACGTACCAAAGTAGTTTCTGAGAATGATTCTGTCTAGTTTGCATACGAAGATATTTCCTTTTCTACCATTGGCCTCAAAGCTCTGAAATCTCCACTTGCAAATTCCACAAAAAGAGAGTTTCAAATCTGCTGTTTCTAAAGGAAAGTTCAACTCTGAGAGTAGAATACACACCAGAAAAAGCAGTTACTGAGAAGTCTTCTGTCTAGCATTATATGAAGAAATCCCATTTCCAACGAAGACTTCAAAGAGGTCCAAATATCCACTTGCAGATTCTGCAAAAAGAGTGTTTCGAAACAACTGTATGAAAAGAAAGGTTAAACACTGTGAGTTGAACGCACACATTGCAAAGCAGTTTCTGAGAATGATTCCGTCTAATTATTATACGAAGGTATTTCCTTTTCTATCATTGGCCTCAAAGCGCTTGATACCTCCACCTGAAAATTCCACAAAAAGAGTGTTTCCAATCTACTCTGTCTAAAGGAACGTTCAACTCTGTGAGTTGAATACACACACACAGAAAGAATTCACTGAGAATTCTTCTGTCTGGCATTACATGAAGAAATCCCGTTTCCAACGAAGGCCTCAAAGAGGTCCAAATATCCACTTGCAGATTCTGCAAAAAGAGTGTTTCAAAACCGCTCCATTAAAAGGAATGTTGAACTCTGTGAGTTGAATGCAAACATCACAACTCAGTTTCTGAGAATGCTTCTGACTAGTATTTTATGGTAAGATATTTCCTTTTCTACCGTAGGCTTCAATGCCCTCTAAATACACCCTTGCAAATTCTACAAAGAGACTGTTTCATAACTGCTCTATAGGAAGAAAGGTTGAACTCTGTGAGTTGAATGCAGAGATCACAACGTGGTTTCTGCGAATGATTCTTTGTAGTTTTTACATGAAGATATTTCGTTGTCAACCGTAGGCTTCAAAGCACTCAAAGTATTCACTTGGAACTTTTACAAAACGAGTGTTAGGAAACTGCTCTTTCCAAAGTAAGGTTCAACTCTGTGAGTTGAATGCACACATAACAATCAAGAAGTTTCTGAGAATTCTTCTGTCCTGGTTTATATGAAAAAATCCCGTTTCCAACGAAGGCCTCAAAGCACGTTTAAATATCCACTTGCAGACTTCACAAACAGAGTGTTTCCAAACTGCTCTATGAAAAGAAAGGTTAAACTCTGTGAGTTGAACGCACACATCACAAAGTAGCTTCTGAGAATGATACTGTCTAGTGTTTATACGAAGATATTTCCTTTCTACCATTGGCGTCAAAGCGCTAGAATTCTCCACTTGCAAATTCCACAAAAAGAGTGTTTCCAATCTGCTCTGTCTAAAGGAAGGTTCAACTCTGTGAGTTGAATACACACACACAAAGAAGCTACTGAGAATTCTTTTGTCAAGAATTATAAGAAGAAATCCCGTTTCCAACGAAGGCCTCAAAGAGTTCCAAATATCCACTTGCACACTGCACAAACTAAGTCTTTCCAAACTGCTCTATGCAAAGAAATGTTCAACTCTGTGAGTTTAATACACACATCACAAAGCAGTTTCTGAGAATGATACTGTCTAGTTTTTATACGAAGATATTTCCTTTTGTACCATTGGCCTCATACTGCTAGAATTTTCCACTTGCAAATTCCACAAAAAGAGTGTTTCCAATCCGCTCTGTCTAAAGGAAGGTTCAACTCTCTGATTTGAATACATACATCCCAAAAGAAGTTCCTGAGAATTCTTCTGTCTAGCATTATGTGAAGAAATCCCGTTTCCAACGAAAGCCTCAAAGAGGTCCAAATATCCAGTTGCAGAATTTACAAACTGACTGTTTCCAAACTCATCTATGAAAAGAAAGGTTAAACTCTGTGAGTTGAATGCACATATCACAAAGTAGTTCCTGAGAATGATTCTGTCTAGTTTTTATACGAAGATATTTCCTTTTCCACCAATGGCCTCAAAGTGCTTGAAATCTCCCCTTGCAAATTCCACAGACAAGTGTTTCAAATCTGCACTGTCTAAAGGAAGGTTCAACCCTGTGAGTTGAATACACACACACAGAAAAAAATTCACTGAGAATTCTATTGTCTATCATTACACGAAGAAATCCCGTTTACTACGAAGGCCTCAAAGAGGTCCAAATATCCAGCTGCAGACATTACAAACTGAGTGTTTCCAAAGTGCTCTATGAAAAGAAGTGTTAAACACTGTGAGTTCAATGCACACATCCCAAAGCAGTTTCTGAGAATGATTCCGTCTATTTTTTCTACGAAGATATTTCCTTTTCTGCCGTTGGCCTCAAAGCGCTTGAAATCTCCACTTGCAAATTCCACAAAAAGAGAGTTTCAAATCTGCTCTGTCTAAAGGAAGGTTCAACTCTGTGAGTTGAATACACACCACAAAAAGAAGTTACTGAGAAGTCTTCTGTCTAGCATTATATGAAAAATCCCGTTTCCAACGAAGGCCACAAAGAGGTCCAAATATCCACTTGCAGATTCTGCAAAAAGTGTGTTTCCAAACTGCTCTATGAAAAGAAACGTTAAACTCTGTGAGTTGAACGCAAACATCACAAAGTAGTTTCTGAGAATGACTCCGTCTAGTTTTTATACGAAGATATTTCCTTTCCTACCATTCACTTCAAAGCGCTTGAAGTCTCCCCCTGAAAATTCCACAAAAAGTGTTTCCAATCTGCTCCGCCTAAAGGAAGCTTCAACTCTGTGACTTGAATACCCACAACCCAAAGAAGTTACTGAGAATTCTTCTGTCTAGCATTATATGAAGAAATCCCGTTTCCAACGAAGGCCTCAAATACATCCAAATATCCAGTTGCTGACTTTACAAACTGAGTGTTTCCAAACTGCTCTATGAAAAGAAAGGTTAAACACTGTGAGTTGAACACACACGTACCAAAGTAGTTTCTGAGAATGATTCTGTCTAGTTTGCATACGAAGATATTTCCTTTTCTACCATTGGCCTCAAAGCTCTGAAATCTCCACTTGCAAATTCCACAAAAAGAGAGTTTCAAATCTGCTGTTTCTAAAGGAAAGTTCAACTCTGAGAGTTGAATACACACCAGAAAAAGCAGTTACTGAGAAGTCTTCTGTCTAGCATTATATGAAGAAATCCCATTTCCAACGAAGACTTCAAAGAGGTCCAAATATCCACTTGCAGATTCTGCAAAAAGAGTGTTTCGAAACAACTGTATGAAAAGAAAGGTTAAACACTGTGAGTTGAACGCACACATTGCAAAGCGGTTTCTGAGAATGATTCCGTCTAATTATTATACGAAGGTATTTCCTTTTCTATCATTGGCCTCAAAGCGCTTGATACCTCCACCTGAAAATTCCACAAAAAGAGTGTTTCCAATCTACTCTGTCTAAAGGAACGTTCAACTCTGTGAGTTGAATACACACACACAGAAAGAATTCACTGAGAATTCTTCTGTCTGGCATTACATGAAGAAATCCCGTTTCCAACGAAGGCCTCAAAGAGGTCCAAATATCCACTTGCAGATTCTGCAAAAAGAGTGTTTCAAAACCGCTCCATTAAAAGGAATGTTGAACTCTGTGAGTTGAATGCAAACATCACAACTCAGTTGCTGAGAATGCTTCTGACTAGATTTTATGGTAAGATATTTCCTTTTCTACCGTAGGCTTCAATGCCCTCTAAATACACCCTTGCAAATTCTACAAAGAGACTGTTTCATAACTGCTCTATAGGGAGAAAGGTTCAACTCTGTGAGTTGAATGCAGAGATCACAACGTGGTTTCTGCGAATGATTCTTTGTAGTTTTTACATGAAGATATTTCGTTGTCAACCGTAGGCTTCAAAGCACTCAAAGTATTCACTTGGAACTTTTACAAAAAGAGTGTTAGAAAACCGCTCTTTCCAAAGTAAGGTTCAACTCTGTGAGTTGAATGCACCCATAACAATCAAGAAGTTTCTGAGAATTCTTCTGTCCTGGTTTATGTGAAGAAATCCCGTTTCCAACGAAGGCCTCAAAGACGTTTAAATATCCACTTGCAGACTTCACAAACAGAGGGTTTCCAAACTGCTCTATGAAAAGAAAGGTTAAACTCTGTGAGTTGAACGCACACATCACAAAGTAGCTTCTGAGAATGATACTGTCTAGTTTTTATACGAAGATATTTCCTTTCTACCATTGGCGTCAAAGCGCTAGAATTCTCCACTTGCAAATTCCACAAAAAGAGTGTTTCCAATCTGCTCTGTCTAAAGGAAGGTTCAACTCTGTGAGTTGAATACACACACACAAAGAAGCTACTGAGAATTCTTTTGTCAAGAATTATAAGAAGAAATCCCGTTTCCAACGAAGGCCTCAAAGAGTTCCAAATATCCACTTGCACACTGCACAAACTAAGTCTTTCCAAACTGCTCTATGCAAAGAAATGTTCAACTCTGTGAGTTTAATACACACATCACAAAGCAGTTTCTGAGAATGATACTGTCTAGTTTTTATACGAAGAATATTTCCTTTTGTACCATTGGCCTCATACTGCTAGAATTTTCCACTTGCAAATTCCACAAAAAGAGTGTTTCCAATCCGCTCTGTCTAAAGGAAGGTTCAACTCTCTGATTTGAATACATACATCCCAAAAGAAGTTACTGAGAATTCTTCTGTCTAGCATTATGTGAAGAAATCCCGTTTCCAACGAAAGCCTCAAAGAGGTCCAAATATCCAGTTGCAGAATTTACAAACTGACTGTTTCCAAACTCATCTATGAAAAGAAAGGTTAAACTCTGTGAGTTGAATGCACATATCACAAAGTAGTTCCTGAGAATGATTCTGTCTAGTTTTTATACGAAGATATTTCCTTTTCCACCAATGGCCTCAAAGTGCTTGAAATCTCCCCTTGCAAATTCCACAGAAAAGTGTTTCAAATCTGCACTGTCTGAAGGAAGGTTCAACCCTGTGAGTTGAATACACACACACAGAAAAAAATTCACTGAGAATTCTATTGTCTATCATTACACGAAGAAATCCCGTTTACTACGAAGGCCTCAAAGAGGTCCAAATATCCAGCTGCAGACATTACAAACTGAGTGTTTCCAAAGTGCTCTATGAAAAGAAGTGTTAAACACTGTGAGTTCAATGCACACATCCCAAAGCAGTTTCTGAGAATGATTCCGTCTATTTTTTCTACGAAGATATTTCCTTTTCTGCCGTTGGCCTCAAAGCGCTTGAAATCTCCACTTGCAAATTCCACAAAAAGAGAGTTTCAAATCTGCTCTGTCTAAAGGAAGGTTCAACTCTGTGAGTTGAATACACACCACAGAAAGAAGTTACTGAGAATTCTTCTGTCTAGCATTATATGAAAAATCCCGTTTCCAACGAAGGCCACAAAGAGGTCCAAATATCCACTTGCAGATTCTGCAAAAAGAGTGTTTCCAAACTGCTCTATGAAAAGAAACGTTAAACTCTGTGAGTTGAACGCAAACATCACAAAGTAGTTTCTGAGAATGACTCCGTCTAGTTTTTATACGAAGATATTTCCTTTCCTACCATTCACTTCAAAGCGCTTGAAGTCTCCCCCTGAAAATTCCACAAAAAGTGTTTCCAATCTGCTCCGCTAAAGGAAGCTTCAACTCTGTGAGTTGAATACCCACAACCCAAAGAAGTTACTGAGAATTCTTCTGTCTAGCATTATATGAAGAAATCCCGTTTCCAACGAAGGCCTCAAATACATCCAAATATCCAGTTGCTGACTTTACAAACTGAGTGTTTCCAAACTGCTCTATGAAAAGAAAGGTTAAACACTGTGAGTTGAACACACACGTACCAAAGTAGTTTCTGAGAATGATTCTGTCTAGTTTGCATACGAAGATATTTCCTTTTCTACCATTGACCTCAAAGCTCTGAAATCTCCACTTGCAAATTCCACAAAAAGAGAGTTTCAAATCTGCTGTTTCTAAAGGAAAGTTCAACTCTGAGAGTTGAATACACACCAGAAAAAGCAGTTACTGAGAAGTCTTCTGTCTAGCATTATATGAAGAAATCCCATTTCCAACGAAGACTTCAAAGAGGTCCAAATATCCACTTGCAGATTCTGCAAAAAGAGTGTTTCGAAACAACTGTATGAAAAGAAAGGTTAAACACTGTGAGTTGAACGCACACATTGCAAAGCAGTTTCTGAGAATGATTCCGTCTAATTATTATACGAAGGTATTTCCTTTTCTATCATTGGCCTCAAAGCGCTTGATACGTCCACCTGAAAATTCCACAAAAAGAGTGTTTCCAATCTACTCTGTCTAAAGGAACGTTCAACTCTGTGAGTTGAATACACACACACAGAAAGAATTCACTGAGAATTCTTCTGTCTGGCATTACATGAAGAAATCCCGTTTCCAACGAAGGCCTCAAAGAGGTCCAAATATCCACTTGCAGATTCTGCAAAAAGAGTGTTTCAAAACCGCTCCATTAAAAGGAATGTTGAACTCTGTGAGTTGAATGCAAACATCACAACTCAGTTTCTGAGAATGCTTCTGACTAGATTTTATGGTAAGATATTTCCTTTTCTACCGTAGGCTTCAATGCCCTCTAAATACACCCTTGCAAATTCTACAAAGAGACTGTTTCATAACTGCTCTATAGGAAGAAAGGTTGAACTCTGTGAGTTGAATGCAGAGATCACAACGTGGTTTCTGCGAATGATTCTTTGTAGTTTTTACATGAAGATATTTCGTTGTCAACCGTAGGCTTCAAAGCACTCAAAGTATTCACTTGGAACTTTTACAAAAAGAGTGTTAGAAAACTGCTCTTTCCAAAGTAAGGTTCAACTCTGTGAGTTGAATGCACACATAACAATCAAGACGTTTCTGAGAATTCTTCTGTCCTGGTTTATATGAAAAAATCCCGTTTCCAACGAAGGCCTCAAAGACGGTTTAAATATCCACTTGCAGACTTCACAAACAGAGGGTTTCCAAACTGCTCTATGAAAAGAAAGGTTAAACTCTGTGAGTTGAACGCACACATCACAAAGTAGCTTCTGAGAATGATACTGTCTAGTTTTTATACGAAGATATTTCCTTTCTACCATTGGCGTCAAAGCGCTAGAATTCTCCACTTGCAAATTCCACAAAAAGAGTGTTTCCAATCTGCTCTGTCTAAAGGAAGGTTCAACTCTGTGAGTTGAATACACACACACAAAGAAGCTACTGAGAATTCTTTTGTCAAGAATTATAAGAAGAAATCCCGTTTCCAACGAAGGCCTCAAAGAGTTCCAAATATCCACTTGCACACTGCACAAACTAAGTCTTTCCAAACTGCTCTATGCAAAGAAATGTTCAACTCTGTGAGTTTAATACACACATCACAAAGCAGTTTCTGAGAATGATACTGTCTAGTTTTTATACGAAGATATTTCCTTTTGTACCATTGGCCTCATACTGCTAGAATTTTCCACTTGCAAATTCCACAAAAAGAGTGTTTCCAATCCGCTCTGTCTAAAGGAAGGTTCAACTCTCTGATTTGAATACATACATCCCAAAAGAAGTTACTGAGAATTCTTCTGTCTAGCATTATGTGAAGAAATCCCGTTTCCAATGAAAGCCTCAAAGAGGTCCAAATATCCAGTTGCAGAATTTACAAACTGACTGTTTCCAAACTCATCTATGAAAAGAAAGGTTAAACTCTGTGAGTTGAATGCACATATCACAAAGTAGTTCCTGAGAATGATTCTGTCTAGTTTTCATACGAAGATATTTCCTTTTCCACCAATGGCCTCAAAGTGCTTGAAATCTCCCCTTGCAAATTCCACAGACAAGTGTTTCAAATCTGCACTGTCTAAAGGAAGGTTCAACCCTGTGAGTTGAATACACACACACAGAAAAAAATTCACTGAGAATTCTATTGTCTATCATGACACGAAGAAATCCCGTTTACTACGAAGGCCTCAAAGAGGTCCAAATATCCAGCTGCAGACATTACAACCTGAGTGTTTCCAAAGTGCTCTATGAAAAGAAGTGTTAAACACTGTGAGTTCAATGCACACATCCCAAAGCAGTTTCTGAGAATGATTCCGTCTATTTTTTCTACGAAGATATTTCCTTTTCTGCCGTTGGCCTCAAAGCGCTTGAAATCTCCACTTGCAAATTCCACAAAAAGAGAGTTTCAAATCTGCTCTGTCTAAAGGAAGGTTCAACTCTGTGAGTTGAATACACACCACAAAAAGAAGTTACTGAGAATTCTTCTGTCTAGCATTATATGAAAAATCCCGTTTCCAACGAAGGCCACAAAGAGGTCCAAATATCCACTTGCAGATTCTGCAAAAAGAGTGTTTCCAAACTGCTCTATGAAAAGAAACGTTAAACTCTGTGAGTTGAACGCAAACATCACAAAGTAGTTTCTGAGAATGACTCCGTCTAGTTTTTATACGAAGATATTTCCTTTCCTACCATTCACTTCAAAGCGCTTGAAGTCTCCCCCTGAAAATTCCACAAAAAGTGTTTCCAATCTGCTCCGCCTAAAGGAAGCTTCAACTCTGTGACTTGAATACCCACAACCCAAAGAAGTTACTGAGAATTCTTCTGTCTAGCATTATATGAAGAAATCCCGTTTCCAACGAAGGCCTCAAATACATCCAAATATCCAGTTGCTGACTTTACAAACTGAGTGTTTCCAAACTGCTCTATGAAAAGAAAGGTTAAACACTGTTAGTTGAACACACACGTACCAAAGTAGTTTCTGAGAATGATTCTGTCTTGTTTGCATACGAAGATATTTCCTTTTCTACCATTGGCCTCAAAGCTTTGAAATCTCCACTTGCAAATTCCACAAAAAGAGAGTTTCAAATCTGCTGTTTCTAAAGGAAAGTTCAACTCTGAGAGTTGAATACACACCAGAAAAAGCAGTTACTGAGAAGTCTTCTGTCTAGCATTATATGAAGAAATCCCATTTCCAACGAAGACTTCAAAGAGGTCCAAATATCCACTTGCAGATTCTGCAAAAAGAGTGTTTCGAAACAACTGTATGAAAAGAAAGGTTAAACACTGTGAGTTGAACGCACACATTGCAAAGCAGTTTCTGAGAATGATTCCGTCTAATTATTATACGAAGGTATTTCCTTTTCTATCATTGGCCTCAAAGCGCTTGATACCTCCACCTGAAAATTCCACAAAAAGAGTGTTTCCAATCTACTCTGTCTAAAGGAACGTTCAACTCCGTGAGTTGAATACACACACACAGAAAGAATTCACTGAGAATTCTTCTGTCTGGCATTACATGAAGAAATCCCGTTTCCAACGAAGGCCTCAAAGAGGTCCAAATATCCACTTGCAGATTCTGCAAAAAGAGTGTTTCAAAACCGCTCCATTAAAAGGAATGTTGAACTCTGTGAGTTGAATGCAAACATCACAACTCAGTTTCTGAGAATGCTTCTGACTAGATTTTATGGTAAGATATTTCCTTTTCTACCGTAGGCTTCAATGCCCTGTAAATACACCCTTGCAAATTCAACAAAGAGACTGTTTCATAACTGCTCTATAGGAGGAAAGGTTCAACTCTGTGAGTTGAATGCAGAGATCACAACGTGGTTTCTGCGAATGATTCTTTGTAGTTTTTACATGAAGATATTTCGTTGTCTACCGTAGGCTTCAAAGCACTCAAAGTATTCACTTGGAACTTTTACAAAAAGAGTGTTAGAAAACTGCTCTTTCCAAAGTAAGGTTCAACTCTGTGAGTTGAATGCACACATAACAAACAAGAAGTTTCTGAGAATTCTTCTGTCCTGGTTTATATGAAAAATCCCGTTTCCAACGAAGGCCTCAAAGACGTTTAAATATCCACTTGCAGACTTCACAAACAGAGGGTTTCCAAACTGCTCTATGAAAAGAAAGGTTAAACTCTGTGAGTTGAACGCACACATCACAAAGTAGCTTCTGAGAATGATACTGTCTAGTTTTTATACGAAGATATTTCCTTTCTACCATTGGCGTCAAAGCGCTAGAATTCTCCACTTGCAAATTCCACAAAAAGAGTGTTTCCAATCTGCTCTGTCTAAAGGAAGGTTCAACTCTGTGAGTTGAATACACACACACAAAGAAGCTACTGAGAATTCTTTTGTCAAGAATTATAAGAAGAAATCCCGTTTCCAACGAAGGCCTCAAAGAGTTCCAAATATCCACTTGCACACTGCACAAACTAAGTCTTTCCAAACTGCTCTATGCAAAGAAATGTTCAACTCTGTGAGTTTAATACACACATCACAAAGCAGTTTCTGAGAATGATACTGTCTAGTTTTTATACGAAGATATTTCCTTTTGTACCATTGGCCTCATACTGCTAGAATTTTCCACTTGCAAATTCCACAAAAAGAGTGTTTCCAATCCGCTCTGTCTAAAGGAAGGTTCAACTCTCTGATTTGAATACATACATCCCAAAAGAAGTTACTGAGAATTCTTCTGTCTAGCATTATGTGAAGAAATCCCGTTTCCAACGAAAGCCTCAAAGAGGTCCAAATATCCAGTTGCAGAATTTACAAACTGACTGTTTCCAAACTCATGTATGAAAAGAAAGGTTAAACTCTGGGAGTTGAATGCACATATCACAAAGTAGTTCCTGAGAATGATTCTGTCTAGTTTTTATACGAAGATATTTCCTTTTCCACCAATGGCCTCAAAGTGCTTGAAATCTCCCCTTGCAAATTCCACAGACAAGTGTTTCAAATCTGCACTGTCTAAAGGAAGGTTCAACCCTGTGAGTTGAATACACACACACAGAAAAAAATTCACTGAGAATTCTATTGTCTATCATTACACGAAGAAATCCCGTTTACTACGAAGGCCTCAAAGAGGTCCAAATATCCAGCTGCAGACATTACAAACTGAGTGTTTCCAAAGTGCTCTATGAAAAGAAGTGTTAAACACTGTGAGTTCAATGCACACATCCCAAAGCAGTTTCTGAGAATGATTCCGTCTATTTTTTCTACGAAGATATTTCCTTTTCTGCCGTTGGCCTCAAAGCGCTTGAAATCTCCACTTGCAAATTCCACAAAAAGAGAGTTTCAAATCTGCTCTGTCTAAAGGAAGGTTCAACTCTGTGAGTTGAATACACACCACAAAAAGAAGTTACTGAGAATTCTTCTGTCTAGCATTATATGAAAAATCCCGTTTCCAACGAAGGCCACAAAGAGGTCCAAATATCCACTTGCAGATTCTGCAAAAAGAGTGTTTCCAAACTGCTCTATGAAAAGAAACGTTAAACTCTGTGAGTTGAACGCAAACATCACAAAGTAGTTTCTGAGAATGACTCCGTCTAGTTTTTATACGAAGATATTTCCTTTCCTACCATTCACTTCAAAGCGCTTGAAGTCTCCCCCTGAAAATTCCACAAAAAGTGTTTCCAATCTGCTCCGCCTAAAGGAAGCTTCAACTCTGTGACTTGAATACCCACAACCCAAAGAAGTTACTGAGAATTCTTCTGTCTAGCATTATATGAAGAAATCCCGTTTCCAACGAAGGCCTCAAATACATCCAAATATCCAGTTGCTGACTTTACAAACTGAGTGTTTCCAAACTGCTCTATGAAAAGAAAGGTTAAACACTGTGAGTTGAACACACACGTACCAAAGTAGTTTCTGAGAATGATTCTGTCTAGTTTGCATACAAAGATATTTCCTTTTCTACCACTGGCCTCAAAGCTTTGAAATCTCCACTTGCAAATTCCACAAAAAGAGAGTTTCAAATCTGCTGTTCCTAAAGGAAAGTTCAACTCTGAGAGTTGAATACACACCAGAAAAAGCAGTTACTGAGAAGTCTTCTGTCTAGCATTATATGAAGAAATCCCATTTCCAACGAAGACTTCAAAGAGGTCCAAATATCCACTTGCAGATTCTGCAAAAAGAGTGTTTCGAAACAACTGTATGAAAAGAAAGGTTAAACACTGTGAGTTGAACGCACACATTGCAAAGCAGTTTCTGAGAATGATTCCGTCTAATTATTATACGAAGGTATTTCCTTTTCTATCATTGGCCTCAAAGCGCTTGATACCTCCACCTGAAAATTCCACAAAAAGAGTGTTTCCAGTCTACTCTGTCTAAAGGAACGTTCAACTCTGTGAGTTGAATACACACACACAGAAAGAATTCACTGAGAATTCTTCTGTCTGGCATTACATGAAGAAATCCCGTTTCCAACGAAGGCCTCAAAGAGGTCCAAATATCCACTTGCAGATTCTGCAAAAAGAGTGTTTCAAAACCGCTCCATTAAAAGGAATGTTGAACTCTGTGAGTTGAATGCAAACATCACAACTCAGTTTCTGAGAATGCTTCTGACTAGATTTTATGGTAACATATTTCCTTTTCTACCGTAGGCTTCAATGCCCTCTAAATACACCCTTGCAAATTCTACAAAGAGACTGTTTCATAACTGCTCTATAGGAAGAAAGATTCAACTCTGTGAGTTGAATGCAGAGATCACAACGTGGTTTCTGCGAATGATTCTTTGTAGTTTTTACATGAAGATATTTCGTTGTCTACCGTAGGTTTCAAAGCACTCAAAGTATTCACGTGGAACTTTTACAAAAAGAGTGTTAGAAAACTGCTCTTTCCAAAGTAAGGTTCAACTCTGTGAGTTGAATGCACACATAACAAACAAGAAGTTTCTGAGGATTCTTCTGTCCTGGTTTATATGAAGAAATCCCGTTTCCAACGAAGGCCTCAAAGACGTTTAAATATCCACTTGCAGACTTCACAAACAGAGTGTTTCCAAACTGCTCTATGAAAAGAAAGGGTAAACACTGTGAGTTGAACGCACACCTCACAAAGTAGTTTCCTGAGAATGATTACTGTCTAGTTTTTATACGAAGATATTTCCTTTCTACCATTGGCGTCAAAGCGCTAGAATTCTCCACTTGCAAATTCCACAAAAAGAGTGTTTCCAATCTGCTCTGTCTAAAGGAAGGTTCAACTCTGTGAGTTGAATACACACACACAAAGAAGCTACTGAGAATTCTTTTGTCAAGAATTATAAGAAGAAATCCCGTTTCCAACGAAGGCCTCAAAGAGTTCCAAATATCCACTTGCACACTGCACAAACTAAGTCTTTCCAAACTGCTCTATGCAAAGAAATGTTCAACTCTGTGAGTTTAATACACACATCACAAAGCAGTTTCTGAGAATGATACTGTCTAGTTTTTATACGAAGATATTTCCTTTTGTACCATTGGCCTCATACTGCTAGAATTTTCCACTTGCAAATTCCACAAAAAGAGTGTTTCCAATCCGCTCTGTCTAAAGGAAGGTTCAACTCTCTGATTTGAATACATACATCCCAAAAGAAGTTACTGAGAATTCTTCTGTCTAGCATTATGTGAAGAAATCCCGTTTCCAACGAAAGCCTCAAAGAGGTCCAAATATCCAGTTGCAGAATTTACAAACTGACTGTTTCCAAACTCATCTATGAAAAGAAAGGTTAAACTCTGTGAGTTGAATGCACATATCACAAAGTAGTTCCTGAGAATGATTCTGTCTAGTTTTTATACGAAGATATTTCCTTTTCCACCAATGGCCTCAAAGTGCTTGAAATCTCCCCTTGCAAATTCCACAGACAAGTGTTTCAAATCTGCACTGTCTAAAGGAAGGTTCAACCCTGTGAGTTGAATACACACACACAGAAACAAATTCACTGAGAATTCTATTGTCTATCATTACACGAAGAAATCCCGTTTACTACGAAGGCCTCAAAGAGGTCCAAATATCCAGCTGCAGACATTACAAACTGAGTGTTTCCAAAGTGCTCTATGAAAAGAAGTGTTAAACACTGTGAGTTCAATGCACACATCCCAAAGCAGTTTCTGAGAATGATTCCGTCTATTTTTTCTACGAAGATATTTCCTTTTCTGCCGTTGGCCTCAAAGCGCTTGAAATCTCCACTTGCAAATTCCACAAAAAGAGAGTTTCAAATCTGCTCTGTCTAAAGGAAGGTTCAACTCTGTGAGTTGAATACACACCACAAAAAGAAGTTACTGAGAATTCTTCTGTCTAGCATTATATGAAAAATCCCGTTTCCAACGAAGGCCACAAAGAGGTCCAAATATCCACTTGCAGATTCTGCAAAAAGAGTGTTTCCAAACTGCTCTATGAAAAGAAACGTTAAACTCTGTGAGTTGAACGCAAACATCACAAAGTAGTTTCTGAGAATGACTTCCGTCTAGTTTTTATACGAAGCATATTTCCTTTCCTACCATTCACTTCAAAGCGCTTGAAGTCTCCCCCTGAAAATTCCACAAAAAGTGTTTCCAATCTGCTCCGCCTAAAGGAAGCTTCAACTCTGTGACTTGAATACCCACAACCCAAAGAAGTTACTGAGAATTCTTCTGTCTAGCATTATATGAAGAAATCCCGTTTCCAACGAAGGCCTCAAATACATCCAAATATCCAGTTGCTGACTTTACAAACTGAGTGTTTCCAAACTGCTCTATGAAAAGAAAGGTTAAACACTGTGAGTTGAACACACACGTACCAAAGTAGTTTCTGAGAATGATTCTGTCTAGTTTGCATACAAAGATATTTCCTTTTCTACCACTGGCCTCAAAGCTTTGAAATCTCCACTTGCAAATTCCACAAAAAGAGAGTTTCAAATCTGCTGTTCCTAAAGGAAAGTTCAACTCTGAGAGTTGAATACACACCAGAAAAAGCAGTTACTGAGAAGTCTTCTGTCTAGCATTATATGAAGAAATCCCATTTCCAACGAAGACTTCAAAGAGGTCCAAATATCCACTTGCAGATTCTGCAAAAAGAGTGTTTCGAAACAACTGTATGAAAAGAAAGGTTAAACACTGTGAGTTGAACGCACACATTGCAAAGCAGTTTCTGAGAATGATTCCGTCTAATTATTATACGAAGGTATTTCCTTTTCTATCATTGGCCTCAAAGCGCTTGATACCTCCACCTGAAAATTCCACAAAAAGAGTGTTTCCAATCTACTCTGTCTAAAGGAACGTTCAACTCTGTGAGTTGAATACACACACACAGAAAGAATTCACTGAGAATTCTTCTGTCTGGCATTACATGAAGAAATCCCGTTTCCAACGAAGGCCTCAAAGAGGTCCAAATATCCACTTGCAGATTCTGCAAAAAGAGTGTTTCAAAACCGCTCTATTAAAAGGAATGTTGAACTCTGTGAGTTGAATGCAAACATCACAACTCAGTTTACTGAGAATGCTTCTGACTAGTATTTTATGGTAAGATATTTCCTTTTCTACCGTAGGCTTCAATGCCCTCTAAATACACCCTTGCAAATTCTACAAAGAGACTGTTTCATAACTGCTCTATAGGAAGAAAGGTTCAACTCTGTGAGTTGAATGCAGAGATCACAACGTGGTTTCTGCGAATGATTCTTTGTAGTTTTTACATGAAGATATTTCGTTGTCAACCGTAGGCTTCAAAGCACTCAAAGTATTCACTTGGAACTTTTACAAAAAGAGTGTTAGAAAACTGCTCTTTCCAAAGTAAGGTTCAACTCTGTGAGTTGAATGCACACATAACAATCAAGAAGTTTCTGAGAATTCTTCTGTCCTGGTTTATATGAAAAAATCCCGTTTCCAACGAAGGCCTCAAAGACGTTTAAATATCCACTTGCAGACTTCACAAACAGAGGGTTTCCAAACTGCTCTATGAAAAGAAAGGTTAAACTCTGTGAGTTGAACGCACACATCACAAAGTAGCTTCTGAGAATGATACTGTCTAGTTTTTATACGAAGATATTTCCTTTCTACCATTGGCGTCAAAGCGCTAGAATTCTCCACTTGCAAATTCCACAAAAAGAGTGTTTCCAATCTGCTCTGTCTCAAGGCAGGTTTCAACTCTGTGAGTTGAATACACACACACAAAGAAGCTACTGAGAATTCTTTTGTCAAGAATTATAAGAAGAAATCCCGTTTCCAACGAAGGCCTCAAAGAGTTCCAAATATCCACTTGCACACTGCACAAACTAAGTCTTTCCAAACTGCTCTATGCAAAGAAATGTTCAACTCTGTGAGTTTAATACACACATCACAAAGCAGTTTCTGAGAATGATACTGTCTAGTTTTTATACGAAGATATTTCCTTTTGTACCATTGGCCTCATACTGCTAGAATTTTCCACTTGCAAATTCCACAAAAAGAGTGTTTCCAATCCGCTCTGTCTAAAGGAAGGTTCAACTCTCTGATTTGAATACATACATCCCAAAAGAAGTTACTGAGAATTCTTCTGTCTAGCATTATGTGAAGAAATCCCGTTTCCAACGAAAGCCTCAAAGAGGCCCAAATATCCAGTTGCAGAATTTACAAACTGACTGTTTCCAAACTCATCTATGAAAAGAAAGGTTAAACTCTGTGAGTTGAATGCGCATATCACAAAGTAGTTCCTGAGAATGATTCTGTCTAGTTTTTATACGAAGATATTTCCTTTTCCACCAATGGCCTCAGAGTGCTTGAAATCTCCCCTTGCAAATTCCACAGACAAGTGTTTCAAATCTGCACTGTCTAAAGGAAGGTTCAACCCTGTGAGTTGAATACACACACAGAGAAAAAAATTCACTGAGAATTCTATTGTCTATCATTACACGAAGAAATCCCGTTTACTACGAAGGCCTCAAAGAGGTCCAAATATCCAGCTGCAGACATTACAAACTGAGTGTTTCCAAAGTGCTCTATGAAAAGAAGTGTTAAACACTGTGAGTTCAATGCACACATCCCAAAGCAGTTTCTGAGAATGATTCCGTCTATTTTTTCTACGAAGATATTTCCTTTTCTGCCGTTGGCCTCAAAGCGCTTGAAATCTCCACTTGCAAATTCCACAAAAAGAGAGTTTCAAATCTGCTCTGTCTAAAGGAAGGTTCAACTCTGTGAGTTGAATACACACCACAAAAAGAAGTTACTGAGAATTCTTCTGTCTAGCATTATATGAAAAATCCCGTTTCCAACGAAGGCCACAAAGAGGTCCAAATATCCACTTGCAGATTCTGCAAAAAGAGTGTTTCCAAACTGCTCTATGAAAAGAAACGTTAAACTCTGTGAGTTGAACGCAAACATCACAAAGTAGTTTCTGAGAATGACTCCGTCTAGTTTTTATACGAAGATATTTCCTTTCCTACCATTCACTTCAAAGCGCTTGAAGTCTCCCCCTGAAAATTCCACAAAAAGTGTTTCCAATCTGCTCCGCCTAAAGGAAGCTTCAACTCTGTGACTTGAATACCCACAACCCAAAGAAGTTACTGAGAATTCTTCTGTCTAGCATTATATGAAGAAATCCCGTTTCCAACGAAGGCCTCAAATACATCCAAATATCCAGTTGCTGACTTTACAAACTGAGTGTTTCCAAACTGCTCTATGAAAAGAAAGGTTAAACACTGTGAGTTGAACACACACGTACCAAAGTAGTTTCTGAGAATGATTCTGTCTAGTTTGCATACGAAGATATTTCCTTTTCTACCATTGGCCTCAAAGCTCTGAAATCTCCACTTGCAAATTCCACAAAAAGAGAGTTTCAAATCTGCTGTTTCTAAAGGAAAGTTCAACTCTGAGAGTTGAATACACACCAGAAAAAGCAGTTACTGAGAAGTCTTCTGTCTAGCATTATATGAAGAAATCCCATTTCCAACGAAGACTTCAAAGAGGTCCAAATATCCACTTGCAGATTCTGCAAAAAGAGTGTTTCGAAACAACTGTATGAAAAGAAAGGTTAAACACTGTGAGTTGAACGCACACATTGCAAAGCGGTTTCTGAGAATGATTCCGTCTAATTATTATACGAAGGTATTTCCTTTTCTATCATTGGCCTCAAAGCGCTTGATACCTCCACCTGAAAATTCCACAAAAAGAGTGTTTCCAATCTACTCTGTCTAAAGGAACGTTCAACTCTGTGAGTTGAATACACACACACAGAAAGAATTCACTGAGAATTCTTCTGTCTGGCATTACATGAAGAAATCCCGTTTCCAACGAAGGCCTCAAAGAGGTCCAAATATCCACTTGCAGATTCTGCAAAAAGAGTGTTTCAAAACCGCTCCATGAAAAGGAATGTTGAACTCTGTGAGTTGAATGCAAACATCACAACTCAGTTGCTGAGAATGCTTCTGACTAGATTTTATGGTAAGATATTTCCTTTTCTACCGTAGGCTTCAATGCCCTCTAAATACACCCTTGCAAATTCTACAAAGAGACTGTTTCATAACTGCTCTATAGGAAGAAAGGTTGAACTCTGTGAGTTGAATGCAGAGATCACAACGTGGTTTCTGCGAATGATTCTTTGTAGTTTTTACATGAAGATATTTCGTTGTCAACCGTAGGCTTCAAAGCACTCAAAGTATTCACTTGGAACTTTTACAAAACGAGTGTTAGGAAACTGCTCTTTCCAAAGTAAGGTTCAACTCTGTGAGTTGAATGCACACATAACAATCAAGAAGTTTCTGAGAATTCTTCTGTCCTGGTTTATATGAAAAAATCCCGTTTCCAACGAAGGCCTCAAAGACGTTTAAATATCCACTTGCAGACTTCACAAACAGAGGGTTTCCAAACTGCTCTATGAAAAGAAAGGTTAAACTCTGTGAGTTGAACGCACACATCACAAAGTAGCTTCTGAGAATGATACTGTCTAGTTTTTATACGAAGATATTTCCTTTCTACCATTGGCGTCAAAGCGCTAGAATTCTCCACTTGCAAATTCCACAAAAAGAGTGTTTCCAATCTGCTCTGTCTAAAGGAAGGTTCAACTCTGTGAGTTGAATACACACACACAAAGAAGCTACTGAGAATTCTTTTGTCAAGAATTATAAGAAGAAATCCCGTTTCCAACGAAGGCCTCAAAGAGTTCCAAATATCCACTTGCACACTGCACAAACTAAGTCTTTCCAAACTGCTCTATGCAAAGAAATGTTCAACTCTGTGAGTTTAATACACACATCACAAAGCAGTTTCTGAGAATGATAACTGTCTAGGTTTTATACGAAGATATTTCCTTTTGTACCATTGGCCTCATACTGCTAGAATTTTCCACTTGCAAATTCCACAAAAAGAGTGTTTCCAATCCGCTCTGTCTAAAGGAAGGTTCAACTCTCTGATTTGAATACATACATCCCAAAAGAAGTTACTGAGAATTCTTCTGTCTAGCATTATGTGAAGAAATCCCGTTTCCAACGAAAGCCTCAAAGAGGTCCAAATATCCAGTTGCAGAATTTACAAACTGACTCTTTCCAAACTCATCTATGAAAAGAAAGGTTAAACTCTGTGAGTTGAATGCACATATCACAAAGTAGTTCCTGAGAATGATTCTGTCTAGTTTTCATACGAAGATATTTCCTTTTCCACCAATGGCCTCAAAGTGCTTGAAATCTCCCCTTGCAAATTCCACAGACAAGTGTTTCAAATCTGCACTGTCTAAAGGAAGGTTCAACCCTGTGAGTTGAATACACACACACAGAAAAAAATTCACTGAGAATTCTATTGTCTATCATTACACGAAGAAATCCCGTTTACTACGAAGGCCTCAAAGAGGTCCAAATATCCAGCTGCAGACATTACAAACTGAGTGTTTCCAAAGTGCTCTATGAAAAGAAGTGTTAAACACTGTGAGTTCAATGCACACATCCCAAAGCAGTTTCTGAGAATGATTCCGTCTATTTTTTCTACGAAGATATTTCCTTTTCTGCCGTTGGCCTCAAAGCGCTTGAAATCTCCACTTGCAAATTCCACAAAAAGAGAGTTTCAAATCTGCTCTGTCTAAAGGAAGGTTCAACTCTGTGAGTTGAATACACACCACAAAAAGAAGTTACTGAGAATTCTTCTGTCTAGCATTATATGAAAAATCCCGTTTCCAACGAAGGCCACAAAGAGGTCCAAATATCCACTTGCAGATTCTGCAAAATGAGTGTTTCCAAACTGCTCTATGAAAAGAAACGTTAAACTCTGTGAGTTGAACGCAAACATCACAAAGTAGTTTCTGAGAATGACTCCGTCTAGTTTTTATACGAAGAATATTACCTTTCCTAACATTCACTTCAAAGCGCTTGAAGTCTCCCCCTGAAAATTCCACAAAAAGTGTTTCCAATCTGCTCCGCCTAAAGGAAGCTTCAACTCTGTGAGTTGAATACCCACAACCCAAAGAAGTTACTGAGAATTCTTCTGTCTAGCACTATATGACGAAATCCCGTTTCCAACGAAGGCCTCAAATACATCCAAATATCCAGTTGCTGACTTTACAAACTGGGTGTTTCCAAACTGCTCTATGAAAAGAAAGGTTAAACACTGTGAGTTGAACACACAAGTACCAAAGTAGTTTCTGAGAATGATTCTGTCTAGTTTGCATACGAAGATATTTCCTTTTCTACCATTGGCCTCAAAGCTTTGAAATCTCCACTTGCAAATTCCACAAAAAGAGAGTTTCAACTCTGCTGTTTCTAAAGGAAAGTTCAACTCTGAGAGTTGAATACACACCAGAAAAAGCAGTTACTGAGAAGTCTTCTGTCTAGCATTATATGAAGAAATCCCATTTCCAACGAAGACTTCAAAGAGGTCCAAATATCCACTTGCAGATTCTGCAAAAAGAGTGTTTCGAAACAACTCTATGAAAAGAAAGGTTAAACACTGTGAGTTGAACGCACACATTGCAAAGCAGTTTCTGAGAATGATTCCGTCTAATTATTATACGAAGGTATTTCCTTTTCTATCATTGGCCTCAAAGCGCTTGATACCTCCACCTGAAAATTCCACAAAAAGAGTGTTTCCAATCTACTCTGTCTAAAGGAACGTTCAACTCTGTGAGTTGAATACACACACACAGAAAGAATTCACTGAGAATTCTTCTGTCTGGCATTACATGAAGAAATCCCGTTTCCAACGAAGGCCTCAAAGAGGTCCAAATATCCACTTGCAGATTCTGCAAAAAGAGTGTTTCAAAACCGCTCCATTAAAAGGAATGTTGAACTCTGTGAGTTGAATGCAAACATCACAACTCAGTTGCTGAGAATGCTTCTGACTAGATTTTATGGTAAGATATTTCCTTTTCTACCGTAGGCTTCAATGCCCTCTAAATACACCCTTGCAAATTCTACAAAGAGACTGTTTCATAACTGCTCTATAGGAAGAAAGGTTCAACTCTGTGAGTTGAATGCAGAGATCACAACGTGGTTTCTGCGAATGATTCTTTGTAGTTTTTACATGAAGATATTTCGTTGTCAACCGTAGGCTTCAAAGCACTCAAAGTATTCACTTGGAACTTTTACAAAAAGAGTGTTAGAAAACTGCTCTTTCCAAAGTAAGGTTCAACTCTGTGAGTTGAATGCACACATAACAATCAAGAAGTTTCTGAGAATTCTTCTGTCCTGGTTTATAGGAACAAATCCCGTTTCCAACGAAGGCCTCAAAGACGTTTAAATATCCACTTGCAGACTTCACAAACAGAGGGTTTCCAAACTGCTCTATGAAAAGAAAGGTTAAACTCTGTGAGTTGAACGCACACATCACAAAGTAGCTTCTGAGAATGATACTGTCTAGTTTGCATACGAAGATATTTCCTTTCTACCATTGGCGTCAAAGCGCTAGAATTCTCCACTTGCAAATTCCACAAAAAGAGTGTTTCCAATCTGCTCTGTCTAAAGGAAGGTTCAACTCTGTGAGTTGAATACACACACACAAAGAAGCTACTGAGAATTCTTTTGTCAAGAATTATAAGAAGAAATCCCGTTTCCAACGAAGGCCTCAAAGAGTTCCAAATATCCACTTGCACACTGCACAAACTAAGTCTTTCCAAACTGCTCTATGCAAAGAAATGTTCAACTCTGTGAGTTTAATACACACATCACAAAGCAGTTTCTGAGAATGATACTGTCTAGTTTTTATACGAAGATATTTCCTTTTGTACCATTGGCCTCATACTGCTAGAATTTTCCACTTGCAAATTCCACAAAAAGAGTGTTTCCAATCCGCTCTGTCTAAAGGAAGGTTCAACTCTCTGATTTGAATACATACATCCCAAAAGAAGTTACTGAGAATTCTTCTGTCTAGCATTATGTGAAGTAAATCCCGTTTCCAACGAAAGCCTCAAAGAGGTCCAAATATCCAGTTGCAGAATTTACAAACTGACTGTTTCCAAACTCATCTATGAAAAGAAAGGTTAAACTCTGGGAGTTGAATGCACATATCACAAAGTAGTTCCTGAGAATGATTCTGTCTAGTTTTTATACGAAGATATTTCCTTTTCCACCAATGGCCTCAAAGTGCTTGAAATCTCCCCTTGCAAATTCCACAGACAAGTGTTTCAAATCTGCACTGTCTAAAGGAAGGTTCAACCCTGTGAGTTGAATACACACACACAGAAACAAATTCACTGAGAATTCTATTGTCTATCATTACACGAAGAAATCCCGTTTACTACGAAGGCCTCAAAGAGGTCCAAATATCCAGCTGCAGACATTACAAACTGAGTGTTTCCAAAGTGCTCTATGAAAAGAAGTGTTAAACACTGTGAGTTCAATGCACACATCCCAAAGCAGTTTCTGAGAATGATTCCGTCTATTTTTTCTACGAAGATATTTCCTTTTCTACCGTTGGCCTCAAAGCGCTTGAAATCTCCACTTGCAAATTCCACAAAAAGAGAGTTTCAAATCTGCTCTGTCTAAAGGAAGGTTCAACTCTGTGAGTTGAATACACACCACAAAAAGAAGTTACTGAGAATTCTTCTGTCTAGCATTATATGAAAAATCCCGTTTCCAACGAAGGCCACAAAGAGGTCCAAATATCCACTTGCAGATTCTGCAAAAAGAGTGTTTCCAAACTGCTCTATGAAAAGAAACGTTAAACTCTGTGAGTTGAACGCAAACATCACAAAGTAGTTTCTGAGAATGACTCCGTCTAGTTTTTATACGAAGATATTTCCTTTTCTACCATTCACTTCAAAGCGCTTGAAGTCTCCCCCTGAAAATTCCACAAAAAGTGTTTCCAATCTGCTCCGCCTAAAGGAAGCTTCAACTCTGTGAGTTGAATACCCACAACCCAAAGAAGTTACTGAGAATTCTTCTGTCTAGCATTATATGAAGAAATCCCGTTTCCAACGAAGGCCTCAAATACATCCAAATATCCAGTTGCTGACTTTACAAACTGAGTGTTTCCAAACTGCTCTATGACAAGAAAGGTTAAACACTGTGAGTTGAACACACACGTACCAAAGTAGTTTCTGAGAATGATTCTGTCTAGTTTGCATACGAAGATATTTCCTTTTCTACCATTGGCCTCAAAGCTTTGAAATCTCCACTTGCAAATTCCACAAAAAGAGAGTTTCAACTCTGCTGTTTCTAAAGGAAAGTTCAACTCTGAGAGTTGAATACACACCAGAAAAAGCAGTTACTGAGAAGTCTTCTGTCTAGCATTATATGAAGAAATCCCATTTCCAACGAAGACTTCAAAGAGGTCCAAATATCCACTTGCAGATTCTGCAAAAAGAGTGTTTCGAAACAAAACTGTATGAAAAGAAAGGTTAAACACTGTGAGTTGAACGCACACATTGCAAAGCAGTTTCTGAGAATGATTCCGTCTAATTATTATACGAAGGTATTTCCTTTTCTATCATTGGCCTCAAAGCGCTTGATACCTCCACCAGAAAATTCCACAAAAAGAGTGTTTCCAATCTACTCTGTCTAAAGGAACGTTCAACTCTGTGAGTTGAATACACACACACAGAAAGAATTCACTGAGAATTCTTCTGTCTGGCATTACATGAAGAAATCCCGTTTCCAACGAAGACCTCAAAGAGGTCCAAATATCCACTTGCAGATTCTGCAAAAAGAGTGTTTCAAAACCGCTCCATTAAAAGGAATGTTGAACTCTGTGAGTTGAATGCAAACATCACAACTCAGTTGCTGAGAATGCTTCTGACTAGATTTTATGGTAAGATATTTCCTTTTCTACCGTAGGCTTCAATGCCCTCTAAATACACCCTTGCAAATTCTACAAAGAGACTGTTTCATAACTGCTCTATAGGAAGAAAGGTTCAACTCTGTGAGTTGAATGCAGAGATCACAACGTGGTTTCTGCGAATGATTCTTTGTAGTTTTTACATGAAGATATTTCGTTGTCAACCGTAGGCTTCAAAGCACTCAAAGTATTCACTTGGAACTTTTACAAAAAGAGTGTTAGAAAACTGCTCTTTCCAAAGTAAGGTTCAACTCTGTGAGTTGAATGCACACATAACAATCAAGAAGTTTTCTGAGAATTATTCTGTCCTGGTTTATATGAAAAAATCCCGTTTCCAACGAAGGCCTCAAAGACGTTTAAATATCCACTTGCAGACTTCACAAACAGAGGGTTTCCAAACTGCTCTATGAAAAGAAAGGTTAAACTCTGTGAGTTGAACGCACACATCACAAAGTAGTTTTTGAGAATGATACTGTCTAGTTTTTATACGAAGATATTTCCTTTCTACCATTGGCGTCAAAGCGCTAGAATTCTCCACTTGCAAATTCCACAAAAAGAGTGTTTTCAATCTGCTCTGTCTAAAGGAAGGTTCAACTCTGTGAGTTGAATACACACACACAAAGAAGCTACTGAGAATTCTTTTGTCAAGAATTATAAGAAGAAATCCCGTTTCCAACGAAGGCCTCAAAGAGTTCCAAATATCCACTTGCACACTGCACAAACTAAGTCTTTCCAAACTGCTCTATGCAAAGAAATGTTCAACTCTGTGAGTTTAATACACACATCACAAAGCAGTTTCTGAGAATGATACTGTCTAGTTTTTATACGAAGATATTTCCTTTTGTACCATTGGCCTCATACTGCTAGAATTTTCCACTTGCAAATTCCACAAAAAGAGTGTTTCCAATCCGCTCTGTCTAAAGGAAGGTTCAACTCTCTGATTTGAATACATACATCCCAAAAGAAGTTACTGAGAATTCTTCTGTCTAGCATTATGTGAAGAAATCCCGTTTCCAACGAAAGCCTCAAAGAGGTCCAAATATCCAGTTGCAGAATTTACAAACTGACTGTTTCCAAACTCATCTATGAAAAGAAAGGTTAAACTCTGGGAGTTGAATGCACATATCACAAAGTAGTTCCTGAGAATGATTCTGTCTAGTTTTCATACGAAGATATTTCCTTTTCCACCAATGGCCTCAAAGTGCTTGAAATCTCCCCTTGCAAATTCCACAGACAAGTGTCTCAAATCTGCACTGTCTAAAGGAAGGTTCAACCCTGTGAGTTGAATACACACACACAGAAAAAAATTCACTGAGAATTCTATTGTCTATCATTACACGAAGAAATCCCGTTTACCACGAAGGCCTCAAAGAGGTCCAAATATCCAGCTGCAGACATTACAACCTGAGTGTTTCCAAAGTGCTCTATGAAAAGAAGTGTTAAACACTGTGAGTTCAATGCACACATCCCAAAGCAGTTTCTGAGAATGATTCCGTCTATTTTTTCTACGAAGATATTTCCTTTTCTGCCGTTGGCCTCAAAGCGCTTGAAATCTCCACTTGCAAATTCCACAAAAAGAGAGTTTCAAATCTGCTCTGTCTAAAGGAAGGTTCAACTCTGTGAGTTGAATACACACCACAAAAAGAAGTTACTGAGAATTCTTCTGTCTAGCATTATATGAAAAATCCCGTTTCCAACGAAGGCCACAAAGAGGACCAAATATCCACTTGCAGATTCTGCAAAAAGAGTGTTTCCAAACTGCTCTATGAAAAGAAACGTTAAACTCTGTGAGTTGAACGCAAACATCACAAAGTAGTTTCTGAGAATGACTCCGTCTAGTTTTTATACGAAGATATTTCCTTTCCTACCATTCACTTCAAAGCGCTTGAAGTCTCCCCCTGAAAATTCCACAAAAAGTGTTTCCAATCTGCTCCGCCTAAAGGAAGCTTCAACTCTGTGACTTGAATACCCACAACCCAAAGAAGTTACTGAGAATTCTTCTGTCTAGCACTATATGAAGAAATCCCGTTTCCAACGAAGGCCTCAAATACATCCAAATATCCAGTTGCTGACTTTACAAACTGAGTGTTTCCAAACTGCTCTATGAAAAGAAAGGTTAAACACTGTGAGTTGAACACACACGTACCAAAGTAGTTTCTGAGAATGATTCTGTCTAGTTTGCATACGAAGATATTTCCTTTTCTACCATTGGCCTCAAAGCTCTGAAATCTCCACTTGCAAATTCCACAAAAAGAGAGTTTCAAATCTGCTGTTTCTAAAGGAAAGTTCAACTCTGAGAGTTGAATACACACCAGAAAAAGCAGTTACTGAGAAGTCTTCTGTCTAGCATTATATGAAGAAATCCCATTTCCAACGAAGACTTCAAAGAGGTCCAAATATCCACTTGCAGATTCTGCAAAAAGAGTGTTTCGAAACAACTGTATGAAAAGAAAGGTTAAACACTGTGAGTTGAACGCACACATTGCAAAGCAGTTTCTGAGAATGATTCCGTCTAATTATTATACGAAGGTATTTCCTTTTCTATCATTGGCCTCAAAGCGCTTGATACCTCCACCTGAAAATTCCACAAAAAGAGTGTTTCCAATCTACTCTGTCTAAAGGAACGTTCAACTCTGTGAGTTGAATACACACACACAGAAAGAATTCACTGAGAATTCTTCTGTCTGGCATTACATGAAGAAATCCCGTTTCCAACGAAGGCCTCAAAGAGGTCCAAATATCCACTTGCAGATTCTGCAAAAAGAGTGTTTCAAAACCGCTCCATTAAAAGGAATGTTGAACTCTGTGAGTTGAATGCAAACATCACAACTCAGTTGCTGAGAATGCTTCTGACTAGATTTTATGGTAAGATATTTCCTTTTCTACCGTAGGCTTCAATGCCCTCTAAATACACCCTTGCAAATTCTAGAAAGAGACTGTTTCATAACTGCTCTATAGGAAGAAAGGTTGAACTCTGTGAGTTGAATGCAGAGATCACAACGTGGTTTCTGCGAATGATTCTTTGTAGTTTTTACATGAAGATATTTCGTTGTCAACCGTAGGCTTCAAAGCACTCAAAGTATTCACTTGGAACTTTTACAAAAAGAGTATTAGAAAACTGCTCTTTCCAAAGTAAGGTTCAACTCTGTGAGTTGAATGCACACATAACAATCAAGAAGTTTCTGAGAATTCTTCTGTCCTGGTTTATATGAAAAAATCCCGTTTCCAACGAAGGCCTCAAAGACGTTTAAATATCCACTTGCAGACTTCACAAACAGAGTGTTTCCAAACTGCTCTATGAAAAGAAAGGTTAAACTCTGTGAGTTGAACGCACACATCACAAAGTAGCTTCTGAGAATGATACTGTCTAGTTTTTATACGAAGATATTTCCTTTCTACCATTGGCGTCAAAGCGCTAGAATTCTCCACTTGCAAATTCCACAAAAAGAGTGTTTCCAATCTGCTCTGTCTAAAGGAAGGTTCAACTCTGTGAGTTGAATACACACACACAAAGAAGCTACTGAGAATTCTTTTGTCAAGAATTATAAGAAGAAATCCCGTTTCCAACGAAGGCCTCAAAGAGTTCCAAATATCCACTTGCACACTGCACAAACTAAGTCTTTCCAAACTGCTCTATGCAAAGAAATGTTCAACTCTGTGAGTTTAATACACACATCACAAAGCAGTTTCTGAGAATGATACTGTCTAGTTTTTATACGAAGATATTTCCTTTTGTACCATTGGCCTCATACTGCTAGAATTTTCCACTTGCAAATTCCACAAAAAGAGTGTTTCCAATCCGCTCTGTCTAAAGGAAGGTTCAACTCTCTGATTTGAATACATACATCCCAAAAGAAGTTACTGAGAATTCTTGTCTAGCATTATGTGAAGAAATCCCGTTTCCAACGAAAGCCTCAAAGAGGTCCAAATATCCAGTTGCAGAATTTACAAACTGACTGTTTCCAAACTCATCTATGAAAAGAAAGGTTAAACTCTGTGAGTTGAATGCACATATCACAAAGTAGTTCCTGAGAATGATTCTGTCTAGTTTTTATACGAAGTTATTTCCTTTTCCACCAATGGCCTCAAAGTGCTTGAAATCTCCCCTTGCAAATTCCACAGACAAGTGTTTCAAATCTGCACTGTCTAAAGGAAGGTTCAACCCTGTGAGTTGAATACACACACACAGAAAAAAATTCACTGAGAATTCTATTGTCTATCATTACACGAAGAAATCCCGTTTACTACGAAGGCCTCAAAGAGGTCCAAATATCCAGCTGCAGACATTACAAACTGAGTGTTTCCAAAGTGCTCTATGAAAAGAAGTGTTAAACACTGTGAGTTCAATGCACACATCCCAAAGCAGTTTCTGAGAATGATTCCGTCTATTTTTTCTACGAAGATATTTCCTTTTCTGCCGTTGGCCTCAAAGCGCTTGAAATCTCCACTTGCAAATTCCACAAAAAGAGAGTTTCAAATCTGCTCTGTCTAAAGGAAGGTTCAACTCTGTGAGTTGAATACACACCACAAAAAGAAGTTACTGGAGAATTCTTCTGTCTAGCATTATATGAAAAATCCCGTTTCCAACGAAGGCCACAAAGAGGTCCAAATATCCACTTGCAGATTCTGCAAAAAGAGTGTTTCCAAACTGCTCTATGAAAAGAAACGTTAAACTCTGTGAGTTGAACGCAAACATCACAAAGTAGTTTCTGAGAATGACTCCGTCTAGTTTTTATACGAAGATATTTCCTTTCCTACCATTCACTTCAAAGCGCTTGAAGTCTCCCCCTGAAAATTCCACAAAAAGTGTTTCCAATCTGCTCCGCCTAAAGGAAGCTTCAACTCTGTGACTTGAATACCCACAACCCAAAGAAGTTACTGAGAATTCTGCTGCCTAGCATTATATGAAGAAATCCCGTTTCCAACGAAGGCCTCAAATACATCCAAATATCCAGTTGCTGACTTTACAAACTGAGTGTTTCCAAACTGCTCTATGAAAAGAAAGGTTAAACACTGTGAGTTGAACACACACGTACCAAAGTAGTTTCTGAGAATGATTCTGTCTAGTTTGCATACGAAGATATTTCCTTTTCTACCATTGGCCTCAAAGCTCTGAAATCTCCACTTGCAAATTCCACAAAAAGAGAGTTTCAAATCTGCTGTTTCTAAAGGAAAGTTCAACTCTGAGAGTTGAATACACACCAGAAAAAGCAGTTACTGAGAAGTCTTCTGTCTAGCATTATATGAAGAAATCCCATTTCCAACGAAGACTTCAAAGAGGTCCAAATATCCACTTGCAGATTCTGCAAAAAGAGTGTTTCGAAACAACTGTATGAAAAGAAAGGTTAAACACTGTGAGTTGAACGCACACATTGCAAAGCGGTTTCTGAGAATGATTCCGTCTAATTATTATACGAAGGTATTTCCTTTTCTATCATTGGCCTCAAAGCGCTTGATACCTCCACCTGAAAATTCCACAAAAAGAGTGTTTCCAATCTACTCTGTCTAAAGGAACGTTCAACTCTGTGAGTTGAATACACACACACAGAAAGAATTCACTGAGAATTCTTCTGTCTGGCATTACATGAAGAAATCCCGTTTCCAACGAAGGCCTCAAAGAGGTCCAAATATCCACTTGCAGATTCTGCAAAAAGAGTGTTTCAAAACCGCTCCATTAAAAGGAATGTTGAACTCTGTGAGTTGAATGCAAACATCACAACTCAGTTTCTGAGAATGCTTCTGACTAGATTTTATGGTAAGATATTTCCTTTTCTACCGTAGGCTTCAATGCCCTCTAAATACACCCTTGCAAATTCTACAAAGAGACTGTTTCATAACTGCTCTATAGGAAGAAAGGTTCAACACTGTGAGTTGAATGCAGAGATCACAACGTGGTTTCTGCGAATGATTCTTTGTAGTTTTTACAAGAAGATATTTCGTTGTCAACCGTAGGCTTCAAAGCACTCAAAGTATTCACTTGGAACTTTTACAAAAAGAGTGTTAGAAAACTGCTCTTTCCAAAGTAAGGTTCAACTCTGTGAGTTGAATGCACACATAACAATCAAGAAGTTTCTGAGAATTCTTCTGTCCTGGTTTATATGAAAAAATCCCGTTTCCAACGAAGGCCTCAAAGACGTTTAAATATCCACTTGCAGACTTCACAAACAGAGGGTTTCCAAACTGCTCTATGAAAAGAAAGGTTAAACTCTGTGAGTTTAATACACACATCACAAAGCAGTTTCTGAGAATGATACTGTCTAGTTTTTATACGAAGATATTTCCTTTTGTACCATTGGCCTCATACTGCTAGAATTTTCCACTTGCAAATTCCACAAAAAGAGTGTTTCCAATCCGCTCTGTCTAAAGGAAGGTTCAACTCTCTGATTTGAATACATACATCCCAAAAGAAGTTACTGAGAATTCTTCTGTCTAGCATTATGTGAAGAAATCCCGTTTCCAACGAAAGCCTCAAAGAGGTCCAAATATCCAGTTGCAGAATTTACAAACTGACTGTTTCCAAACTCATCTATGAAAAGAAAGGTTAAACTCTGTGAGTTGAATGCACATATCACAAAGTAGTTCCTGAGAATGATTCTGTCTAGTTTTCATACGAAGATATTTCCTTTTCCACCAATGGCCTCAAAGTGCTTGAAATCTCCCCTTGCAAATTCCACAGACAAGTGTTTCAAATCTGCACTGTCTAAAGGAAGGTTCAACCCTGTGAGTTGAATACACACACACAGAAACAAATTCACTGAGAATTCTATTGTCTATCATTACACGAAGAAATCCCGTTTACTACGAAGGCCTCAAAGAGGTCCAAATATCCAGCTGCAGACATTACAAACTGAGTGTTTCCAAAGTGCTCTAGGAAAAGAAGTGTTAAACACTGTGAGTTCAATGCACACATCCCAAAGCAGTTTCTGAGAATGATTCCGTCTATTTTTTCTACGAAGATATTTCCTTTTCTGCCGTTGGCCTCAAAGCGCTTGAAATCTCCACTTGCAAATTCCACAAAAAGAGAGTTTCAAATCTGCTCTGTCTAAAGGAAGGTTCAACTCTGTGAGTTGAATACACACCACAAAAAGAAGTTACTGAGAATTCTTCTGTCTAGCATTATATGAAAAATCCCGTTTCCAACGAAGGCCACAAAGAGGTCCAAATATCCACTTGCAGATTCTGCAAAAAGAGTGTTTCCAAACTGCTCTATGAAAAGAAACGTTAAACTCTGTGAGTTGAACGCAAACATCACAAAGTAGTTTCTGAGAATGACTCCGTCTAGTTTTTATACGAAGATATTTCCTTTCCTACCATTCACTTCAAAGCGCTTGACGTCTCCCCCTGAAAATTCCACAAAAAGTGTTTCCAATCTGCTCCGCCTAAAGGAAGCTTCAACTCTGTGACTTGAATACCCACAACCCAAAGAAGTTACTGAGAATTCTTCTGTCTAGCATTATATGAAGAAATCCCGGTTTCCAACGAAGGCCTCAAATACATCCAAATATCCAGTTGCTGACTTTACAAACTGAGTGTTTCCAAACTGCTCTATGAAAAGAAAGGTTAAACACTCTGAGTTGAACACACACGTACCAAAGTAGTTTCTGAGAATGATTCTGTCTAGTTTGCATACGAAGATATTTCCTTTTCTACCAGTGGCCTCAAAGCTCTGAAATCTCCACTTGCAAATTCCACAAAAAGAGAGTTTCAAATCTGCTGTTTCTAAAGGAAAGTTCAACTCTGAGAGTTGAATACACACCAGAAAAAGCAGTTACTGAGAAGTCTTCTGTCTAGCATTATATGAAGAAATCCCATTTCCAACGAAGACTTCAAAGAGGTCCAAATATCCACTTGCAGATTCTGCAAAAAGAGTGTTTCGAAACAACTGTATGAAAAGAAAGGTTAAACACTGTGAGTTGAACGCACACATTGCAAAGCAGTTTCTGAGAATGATTCCGTCTAATTATTATACCGAAGGTATTTCCTTTTCTATCATTGGCCTCAAAGCGCTTGATACCTCCACCTGAAAATTCCACAAAAAGAGTGTTTCCAATCTACTCTGTCTAAAGGAACGTTCAACTCTGTGAGTTGAATACACACACACAGAAAGAATTCACTGAGAATTCTTCTGTCTGGCATTACATGAAGAAATCCCGTTTCCAACGAAGGCCTCAAAGAGGTCCAAATATCCACTTGCAGATTCTGCAAAAAGAGTGTTTCAAAACCGCTCCATTAAAAGGAATGTTGAACTCTGTGAGTTGAATGCAAACATCACAACTCAGTTTCTGAGAATGCTTCTGACTAGATTTTATGGTAAGATATTTCCTTTTCTACCGTAGGCTTCAATGCCCTGTAAACACACCCTTGCAAATTCTACAAAGAGACTGCTTCATAACTGCTCTATAGGAGGAAAGGTTCAACTCTGTGAGTTGAATGCAGAGATCACAACGTGGTTTCTGCGAATGATTCTTTGTAGTTTTTACATGAAGATATTTCGTTGTCTACCGTAGGCTTCAAAGCACTCAAAGTATTCACTTGGAACTTTCACAAAAAGAGTGTTAGAAAACTGCTCTTTCCAAAGTAAGGTTCAACTCTGTGAGTTGAATGCACACATAACAAACAAGAAGTTTCTGAGAATTCTTCTGTCCTGGTTTATATGAAGAAATCCCGTTTCCAACGAAGGCCTCAAAGACGTTTAAATATCCACTAGCAGACTTCACAAACAGAGTGTTTCCAAACTGCTCTATGAAAAGAAAGGGTAAACACTGTGAGTTGAACGCACACATCACAAAGTAGTTTCTGAGAATGATACTGTCTAGTTTTTATACGAAGTATATTTCCTTTCTACCATTGGCGTCAAAGCGCTAGAATTCTCCACTTGCAAATTCCACAAAAAGAGTGTTTCCAATCTGCTCTGTCTAAAGGAAGGTTCAACTCTGTGAGTTGAATACACACACACAAAGAAGCTACTGAGAATTCTTTTTTCAAGAAATTATAAGAAGAAATCCCGTTTCCAACGAAGGCCTCAAAGAGTTCCAAATATCCACTTGCACACTGCACAAACTAAGTCTTTCCAAACTGCTCTATGCAAAGAAATGTTCAACTCTGTGAGTTTAATACACACATCACAAAGCAGTTTCTGAGAATGATACTGTCTAGTTTTTATACGAAGATATTTCCTTTTGTACCATTGGCCTCATACTGCTAGAATTTTCCACTTGCAAATTCCACAAAAAGAGTGTTTCCAATCCGCTCTGTCTAAAGGAAGGTTCAACTCTCTGATTTGAATACATACATCCCAAAAGAAGTTACTGAGAATTCTTCTGTCTAGCATTATGTGAAGAAATCCCGTTTCCAACGAAAGCCTCAAAGAGGTCCAAATATCCAGTTGCAGAATTTACAAACTGACTGTTTCCAAACTCATCTATGAAAAGAAAGGTTAAACTCTGTGAGTTGAATGCACATATCACAAAGTAGTTCCTGAGAATGATTCTGTCTAGTTTTTATACGAAGATATTTCCTTTTCCACCAATGGCCTCAAAGTGCTTGAAATCTCCCCTTGCAAATTCCACAGACAAGTGTTTCAAATCTGCACTGTCTAAAGGAAGGTTCAACCCTGTGAGTTGAATACACACACACAGAAAAAAATTCACTGAGAATTCTATTGTCTATCATTACACGAAGAAATCCCGTTTACTACGAAGGCCTCAAAGAGGTCCAAATATCCAGCTGCAGACATTACAAACTGAGTGTTTCCAAAGTGCTCTATGAAAAGAAGTGTTAAACACTGTGAGTTCAATGCACACATCCCAAAGCAGTTTCTGAGAATGATTCCGTCTATTTTTTCTACGAAGATATTTCCTTTTCTGCCGTTGGCCTCAAAGCGCTTGAAATCTCCACTTGCAAATTCCACAAAAAGAGAGTTTCAAATCTGCTCTGTCTAAAGGAAGGTTCAACTCTGTGAGTTGAATACACACCACAAAAAGAAGTTACTGAGAATTCTTCTGTCTGGCATTACATGAAGAAATCCCGTTTCCAACGAAGGCCTCAAAGAGGTCCAAATATCCACTTGCAGATTCTGCAAAAAGAGTGTTTCAAAACCGCTCCATTAAAAGGAATGTTGAACTCTGTGAGTTGAATGCAAACATCACAACTCAGTTGCTGAGAATGCTTCTGACTAGATTTTATGGTAAGATATTTCCTTTTCTACCGTAGGCTTCAATGCCCTCTAAATACACCCTTGCAAATTCTACAAAGAGACTGTTTCATAACTGCTCTATAGGAAGAAAGGTTGAACTCTGTGAGTTGAATGCAGAGATCACAACGTGGTTTCTGCGAATGATTCTTTGTAGTTTTTACATGAAGATATTTCGTTGTCAACCGTAGGCTTCAAAGCACTCAAAGTATTCACTTGGAACTTTTACAAAAAGAGTATTAGAAAACTGCTCTTTCCAAAGTAAGGTTCAACTCTGTGAGTTGAATGCACACATAACAATCAAGACGTTTCTGAGAATTCTTCTGTCCTGGTTTATATGAAAAAATCCCGTTTCCAACGAAGGCCTCAAAGACGTTTAAATATCCACTTGCAGACTTCACAAACAGAGTGTTTCCAAACTGCTCTATGAAAAGAAAGGTTAAACTCTGTGAGTTGAACGCACACATCACAAAGTAGCTTCTGAGAATGATACTGTCTAGTTTTTATACGAAGATATTTCCTTTCTACCATTGGCGTCAAAGCGCTAGAATTCTCCACTTGCAAATTCCACAAAAAGAGTGTTTCCAATCTGCTCTGTCTAAAGGAAGGTTCAACTCTGTGAGTTGAATACACACACACAAAGAAGCTACTGAGAATTCTTTTTTCAAGAAATTATAAGAAGAAATCCCGTTTCCAACGAACGCCTCAAAGAGTTCCAAATATCCACTTGCACACTGCACAAACTAAGTCTTTCCAAACTGCTCTATGCAAAGAAATGTTCAACTCTGTGAGTTTAATACACACATCACAAAGCAGTTTCTGAGAATGATACTGTCTAGTTTTTATACGAAGATATTTCCTTTCTACCATTGGCGTCAAAGCGCTAGAATTCTCCACTTGCAAATTCCACAAAAAGAGTGTTTCCAATCTGCTCTGTCTAAAGGAAGGTTCAACTCTGTGAGTTGAATACACACACACAAAGAAGCTACTGAGAATTCTTTTGTCAAGAATTATAAGAAGAAATCCCGTTTCCAACGAAGGCCTCAAAGAGTTCCAAATATCCACTTGCACACTGCACAAACTAAGTCTTTCCAAACTGCTCTATGCAAAGAAATGTTCAACTCTGTGAGTTTAATTCACACATCACAAAGCAGTTTCTGAGAACGATTACTGTCTAGTTTTTATACGAAAGATATTTCCTTTTGTACCATTGGCCTCATACTGCTAGAATTTTCCACTTGCAAATTCCACAAAAAGAGTGTTTCCAATCCGCTCTGTCTAAAGGAAGGTTCAACTCTCTGATTTGAATACATACATCCCAAAAGAAGTTCCTGAGAATTCTTCTGTCTAGCATTATGTGAAGAAATCCCGTTTCCAACGAAAGCCTCAAAGAGGTCCAAATATCCAGTTGCAGAATTTACAAACTGACTGTTTCCAAACTCATCTATGAAAAGAAAGGTTAAACTCTGTGAGTTGAATGCACATATCACAAAGTAGTTCCTGAGAATGATTCTGTCTAGTTTTTATACGAAGATATTTCCTTTTCCACCAATGGTCTCAAAGTGCTTGAAATCTCCCCTTGCAAATTCCACAGACAAGTGTTTCAAATCTGCACTGTCTAAAGGAAGGTTCAACCCTGTGAGTTGAATACACACACACAGAAAAAAATTCACTGAGAATTCTATTGTCTATCATTACACGAAGAAATCCCGTTTACTACGAAGGCCTCAAAGAGGTCCAAATATCCAGCTGCAGACATTACAAACTGAGTGTTTCCAAAGTGCTCTATGAAAAGAAGTGTTAAACACTGTGAGTTCAATGCACACATCCCAAAGCAGTTTCTGAGAATGATTCCGTCTATTTTTTCTACGAAGATATTTCCTTTTCTGCCGTTGGCCTCAAAGCGCTTGAAATCTCCACTTGCAAATTCCACAAAAAGAGAGTTTCAAATCTGCTCTGTCTAAAGGAAGGTTCAACTCTGTGAGTTGAATACACACCACAAAAAGAAGTTACTGAGAATTCTTCTGTCTGGCATTACATGAAGAAATCCCGTTTCCAACGAAGGCCTCAAAGAGGTCCAAATATCCACTTGCAGATTCTGCAAAAAGAGTGTTTCAAAACCGCTCCATTAAAAGGAATGTTGAACTCTGTGAGTTGAATGCAAACATCACAACTCAGTTGCTGAGAATGCTTCTGACTAGATTTTATGGTAAGATATTTCCTTTTCTACCGTAGGCTTCAATGCCCTCTAAATACACCCTTGCAAATTCTACAAAGAGACTGTTTCATAACTGCTCTATAGGAAGAAAGGTTGAACTCTGTGAGTTGAATGCAGAGATCACAACGTGGTTTCTGCGAATGATTCTTTGTAGTTTTTACATGAAGATATTTCGTTGTCAACCGTAGGCTTCAAAGCACTCAAAGTATTCACTTGGAACTTTTACAAAAAGAGTGTTAGAAAACCGCTCTTTCCAAAGTAAGGTTCAACTCTGTGAGTTGAATGCACCCATAACAATCAAGAAGTTTGCTGAGAATTCTTCTGTCCTGGGTTTATATGAAAAAATCCCGTTTCCAACGAAGAGGCCTCAAAGACGTTTAAATATCCACTTGCAGACTTCACAAACAGAGGGTTTCCAAACTGCTCTATGAAAAGAAAGGTTAAACTCTGTGAGTTGAACGCACACATCACAAAGTAGCTTCTGAGAATGATAACTGTCTAGTTTTTATACGAAGATATTTCCTTTCTACCATTGGCGTCAAAGCGCTAGAATTCTCCACTTGCAAATTCCACAAAAAGAGTGTTTCCAATCTGCTCTGTCTAAAGGAAGGTTCAACTCTGTGAGTTGAATACACACACACAAAGAAGCTACTGAGAATTCTTTTGTCAAGAATTATAAGAAGAAATCCCGTTTCCAACGAAGGCCTCAAAGAGTTCCAAATATCCACTTGCACACTGCACAAACTAAGTCTTTCCAAACTGCTCTATGCAAAGAAATGTTCAACTCTGTGAGTTTAATACACACATCACAAAGCAGTTTCTGAGAATGATACTGTCTAGTTTTTATACGAAGATATTTCCTTTTGTACCATTGGCCTCATACTGCTAGAATTTTCCACTTGCAAATTCCACAAAAAGAGTGTTTCCAATCCGCTCTGTCTAAAGGAAGGTTCAACTCTCTGATTTGAATACATACATCCCAAAAGAAGTTACTGAGAATTCTTCTGTCTAGCATTATGTGAAGAAATCCAGTTTCCAACGAAAGCCTCAAAGAGGTCCAAATATCCAGTTGCAGAATTTACAAACTGACTGTTTCCAAACTCATCTATGAAAAGAAAGGTTAAACTCTGGGAGTTGAATGCACATATCACAAAGTAGTTCCTGAGAATGATTCTGTCTAGTTTTCATACGAAGATATTTCCTTTTCCACCAATGGCCTCAAAGTGCTTGAAATCTCCCCTTGCAAATTCCACAGACAAGTGTTTCAAATCTGCACTGTCTAAAGGAAGGTTCAACCCTGTGAGTTGAATACACACACACAGAAAAAAATTCACTGAGAATTCTATTGTCTATCATTACACGAAGAAATCCCGTTTACTACGAAGGCCTCAAAGAGGTCCAAATATCCAGCTGCAGACATTACAAACTGAGTGTTTCCAAAGTGCTCTATGAAAAGAAGTGTTAAACACTGTGAGTTCAATGCACACATCCCAAAGCAGTTTCTGAGAATGATTCCGTCTATTTTTTCTACGAAGATATTTCCTTTTCTGCCGTTGGCCTCAAAGCGCTTGAAATCTCCACTTGCAAATTCCACAAAAAGAGAGTTTCAAATCTGCTCTGTCTAAAGGAAGGTTCAACTCTGTGAGTTGAATACACACCACAAAAAGAAGTTACTGAGAAGTCTTCTGTCTAGCATTATATGAAAAATCCCGTTTCCAACGAAGGCCACAAAGAGGTCCAAATATCCACTTGCAGATTCTGCAAAAAGAGTGTTTCCAAACTGCTCTATGAAAAGAAACGTTAAACTCTGTGAGTTGAACGCAAACATCACAAAGTAGTTTCTGAGAATGACTCCGTCTAGTTTTTATACGAAGATATTTCCTTTCCTACCATTCACTTTCAAAGCGCTTGAAGTCTCCCCCTGAAAATTCCACAAAAAGTGTTTCCAATCTGCTCCGCCTAAAGGAAGCTTCAACTCTGTGAGTTGAATACCCACAACCCAAAGAAGTTACTGAGAATTCTTCTGTCTAGCATTATATGAAGAAATCCCGTTTCCAACGAAGGCCTCAAATACATCCAAATATCCAGTTGCTGACTTTACAAACAGTGTTTCCAAACTGCTCTATGAAAAGAAAGGTTAAACACTGTGAGTTGAACACACACGTACCAAAGTAGTTTCTGAGAATGATTCTGTCTAGTTTGCATATGAAGATATTTCCTTTTCTACCATTGGCCTCAAAGCTCTGAAATCTCCACTTGCAAATTCCACAAAAAGAGAGTTTCAACTCTGCTGTTTCTAAAGGAAAGTTCAACTCTGAGAGTTGAATACACACCAGAAAAAGCAGTTACTGAGAAGTCTTCTGTCTAGCATTATATGAAGAAATCCCATTTCCAACGAAGACTTCAAAGAGGTCCAAATATCCACTTGCAGATTCTGCAAAAAGAGTGTTTCGAAACAACTGTATGAAAAGAAAGGTTAAACACTGTGAGTTGAACGCACACATTGCAAAGCAGTTTCTGAGAATGATTCCGTCTAATTATTATACGAAGGTATTTCCTTTTCTATCATTGGCCTCAAAGCGCTTGATACCTCCACCTGAAAATTCCACAAAAAGAGTGTTTCCAATCTACTCTGTCTAAAGGAACGTTCAACTCTGTGAGTTGAATACACACACAGAGAAAGAATTCACTGAGAATTCTTCTGTCTGGCATTACATGAAGAAATCCCGTTTCCAACGAAGGCCTCAAAGAGGTCCAAATATCCACTTGCAGATTCTGCAAAAAGAGTGTTTCAAAACCGCTCCATTAAAAGGAATGTTGAACTCTGTGAGTGGAATGGAAACATCACAACTCAGTTGCTGAGAATGCTTCTGACTAGATTTTATGGTAAGATATTTCCTTTTCTACCGTAGGCTTCAATGCCCTCTAAATACACCCTTGCAAATTCTACAAAGAGACTGTTTCATAACTGCTCTATAGGAAGAAAGGTTGAACTCTGTGAGTTGAATGCAGAGATCACAACGTGGTTTCTGCGAATGATTCTTTGTAGTTTTTACAGGAAGATATTTCGTTGTCAACCGTAGGCTTCAAAGCACTCAAAGTATTCACTTGGAACTTTTACAAAAAGAGTGTTAGAAAACTGCTCTTTCCAAAGTAAGGTTCAACTCTGTGAGTTGAATGCACACATAACAATCAAGAAGTTTCTGAGAATTCTTCTGTCCTGGTTTATATGAAAAAATCCCGTTTCCAACGAAGGCCTCAAAGACGTTTAAATATCCACTTGCAGACTTCACAAACAGAGGGTTTCCAAACTGCTCTATGAAAAGAAAGGTTAAACTCTGTGAGTTGAACGCACACATCACAAAGTAGCTTCTGAGAATGATACTGTCTAGTTTTTATACGAAGATATTTCCTTTCTACCATTGGCGTCAAAGCGCTAGAATTCTCCACTTGCAAATTCCACAAAAAGAGTGTTTCCAATCTGCTCTGTGTAAAGGAAGGTTCAACTCTGTGAGTTGAATACACACACACAAAGAAGCTACTGAGAATTCTTTTTTCAAGAAATTATAAGAAGAAATCCCGTTTCCAACGAAGGCCTCAAAGAGTTCCAAATATCCACTTGCACACTGCACAAACTAAGTCTTTCCAAACTGCTCTATGCAAAGAAATGTTCAACTCTGTGAGTTTAATACACACATCACAAAGCAGTTTCTGAGAATGGTACTGTCTAGTTTTTATACGAAGATATTTCCTTTTGTACCATTGGCCTCATACTGCTAGAATTTTCCACTTGCAAATTCCACAAAAAGAGTGTTTCCAATCCGCTCTGTCTAAAGGAAGGTTCAACTCTCTGATTTGAATACATACATCCCAAAAGAAGTTACTGAGAATTCTTCTGTCTAGCATTATGTGAAGAAATCCCGTTTCCAACGAAAGCCTCAAAGAGGTCCAAATATCCAGTTGCAGAATTTACAAACTGACTGTTTCCAAACTCATCTATGAAAAGAAAGGTTAAACTCTGGGAGTTGAATGCACATATCACAAAGTAGTTCCTGAGAATGATTCTGTCTAGTTTTTATACGAAGATATTTCCTTTTCCACCAATGGCCTCAAAGTGCTTGAAATCTCCCCTTGCAAATTCCACAGACAAGTGTCTCAAATCTGCACTGTCTAAAGGAAGGTTCAACCCTGTGAATTGAATACACACACACAGAAAAAAATTCACTGAGAATTCTATTGTCTATCATTACACGAAGAAATCCCGTTTACTACGAAGGCCTCAAAGAGGTCCAAATATCCAGCTGCAGACATTACAAACTGAGTGTTTCCAAAGTGCTCTATGAAAAGAAGTGTTAAACACTGTGAGTTCAATGCACACATCCCAAAGCAGTTTCTGAGAATGATTCCGTCTATTTTTTCTACGAAGATATTTCCTTTTCTACCGTTGGCCTCAAAGCGCTTGAAATCTCCACTTGCAAATTCCACAAAAAGAGAGTTTCAAATCTGCTCTGTCTAAAGGAAGGTTCAACTCTGTGAGTTGAATACACACCACAAAAAGAAGTTACTGAGAATTCTTCTGTCTAGCATTATATGAAAAATCCCGTTTCCAACGAAGGCCACAAAGAGGTCCAAATATCCACTTGCAGATTCTGCAAAAAGAGTGTTTCCAAACTGCTCTATGAAAAGAAACGTTAAACTCTGTGAGTTGAACGCAAACATCACAAAGTAGTTTCTGAGAATGACTCCGTCTAGTTTTTATACGAAGATATTTCCTTTCCTACCATTCACTTCAAAGCGCTTGACGTCTCCCCCTGAAAATTCCACAAAAAGTGTTTCCAATCTGCTCCGCCTAAAGGAAGCTTCAACTCTGTGACTTGAATACCCACAACCCAAAGAAGTTACTGAGAATTCTTCTGTCTAGCATTATATGAAGAAATCCCCGTTTCCAACGAAGGCCTCAAATACATCCAAATATCCAGTTGCTGACTTTACAAACTGAGTGTTTCCAAACTGCTCTATGAAAAGAAAGGTTAAACACTGTGAGTTGAACACACACGTACCAAAGTAGTTTCTGAGAATGATTCTGTCTAGTTTGCATACGAAGATATTTCCTTTTCTACCATTGGCCTCAAAGCTCTGAAATCTCCACTTGCAAATTCCACAAAAAGAGAGTTTCAAATCTGCTGTTTCTAAAGGAAAGTTCAACTCTGAGAGTTGAATACACACCAGAAAAAGCAGTTACTGAGAAGTCTTCTGTCTAGCATTATATGAAGAAATCCCATTTCCAACGAAGACTTCAAAGAGGTCCAAATATCCACTTGCAGATTCTGCAAAAAGAGTGTTTTGAAACAACTGTATGAAAAGAAAGGTTAAACACTGTGAGTTGAACGCACACATTGCAAAGCAGTTTCTGAGAATGATTCCGTCTAATTATTATACGAAGGTATTTCCTTTTCTATCATTGGCCTCAAAGCGCTTGATACCTCCACCTGAAAATTCCACAAAAAGAGTGTTTCCAATCTACTCTGTCTAAAGGAACGTTCAACTCTGTGAGTTGAATACACACACACAGAAAGAATTCACTGAGAATTCTTCTGTCTGGCATTACATGAAGAAATCCCGTTTCCAACGAAGGCCTCAAAGAGGTCCAAATATCCACTTGCAGATTCTGCAAAAAGAGTGTTTCAAAACCGCTCCATTAAAAGGAATGTTGAACTCTGTGAGTTGAATGCAAACATCACAACTCAGTTTCTGAGAATGCTTCTGACTAGATTTTATGGTAAGATATTTCCTTTTCTACCGTAGGCTTCAATGCCCTCTAAATACACCCTTGCAAATTCTACAAAGAGACTGTTTCATAACTGCTCTATAGGAAGAAAGGTTGAACTCTGTGAGTTGACTGCAGAGATCACAACGTGGTTTCTGCGAATGATTCTTTGTAGTTTTTACATGAAGATATTTCGTTGTCAACCGTAGGCTTCAAAGCACTCAAAGTATTCACTTGGAACTTTTACAAAAAGAGTGTTAGAAAACTGCTCTTTCCAAAGTAAGGTTCAACTCTGTGAGTTGAATGCACACATAACAATCAAGAAGTTTCTGAGAATTCTTCTGTCCTGGTTTATATGAAAAAATCCCGTTTCCAACGAAGGCCTCAAAGACGTTTAAATATCCACTTGCAGACTTCACAAACAGAGGGTTTCCAAACTGCTCTATGAAAAGAAAGGTTAAACTCTGTGAGTTGAACGCACACATCACAAAGTAGCTTCTGAGAATGATACTGTCTAGTTTTTATACGAAGATATTTCCTTTCTACCATTGGCGTCAAAGCGCTAGAATTCTCCACTTGCAAATTCCACAAAAAGAGTGTTTCCAATCTGCTCTGTCTAAAGGAAGGTTCAACTCTGTGAGTTGAATACACACACACAAAGAAGCTACTGAGAATTCTTTTGTCAAGAAATTATAAGAAGAAATCCCGTTTCCAACGAAGGCCTCAAAGAGTTCCAAATATCCACTTGCACACTGCACAAACTAAGTCTTTCCAAACTGCTCTATGCAAAGAAATGTTCAACTCTGTGAGTTTAATACACACATCACAAAGCAGTTTCTGAGAATGATACTGTCTAGTTTTTATACGAAGATATTTCCTTTTGTACCATTGGCCTCATACTGCTAGAATTTTCCACTTGCAAATTCCACAAAAAGAGTGTTTCCAATCTGCTCTGTCTAAAGGAAGGTTCAACTCTCTGATTTGAATACATACATCCCAAAAGAAGTTACTGAGAATTCTTCTGTCTAGCATTATGTGAAGAAATCCCGTTTCCAACGAAAGCCTCAAAGAGGTCCAAATATCCAGTTGCAGAATTTACAAACTGACTGTTTCCAAACTCATCTATGAAAAGAAAGGTTAAACTCTGTGAGTTGAATGCACATATCACAAAGTAGTTCCTGAGAATGATTCTGTCTAGTTTTCATACGAAGATATTTCCTTTTCCACCAATGGCCTCAAAGTGCTTGAAATCTCCCCTTGCAAATTCCACAGACAAGTGTCTCAAATCTGCACTGTCTAAAGGAAGGTTCAACCCTGTGAGTTGAATACACACACACAGAAAAAAATTCACTGAGAATTCTATTGTCTATCATTACACGAAGAAATCCCGTTTACTACGAAGGCCTCAAAGAGGTCCAAATATCCAGCTGCAGACATTACAACCTGAGTGTTTCCAAAGTGCTCTAGGAAAAGAAGTGTTAAACACTGTGAGTTCAATGCACACATCCCAAAGCAGTTTCTGAGAATGATTCCGTCTATTTTTTCTACGAAGATATTTCCTTTTCTGCCGTTGGCCTCAAAGCGCTTGAAATCTCCACTTGCAAATTCCACAAAAAGAGAGTTTCAAATCTGCTCTGTCTAAAGGAAGGTTCAACTCTGTGAGTTGAATACACACCACAAAAAGAAGTTACTGAGAATTCTTCTGTCTAGCATTATATGAAAAATCCCGTTTCCAACGAAGGCCACAAAGAGGTCCAAATATCCACTTGCAGATTCTGCAAAAAGAGTGTTTCCAAACTGCTCTATGAAAAGAAACGTTAAACTCTGTGAGTTGAACGCAAACATCACAAAGTAGTTTCTGAGAATGACTCCGTCTAGTTTTTATACGAAGATATTTCCTTTCCTACCATTCACTTCAAAGCGCTTGAAGTCTCCCCCTGAAAATTCCACAAAAAGTGTTTCCAATCTGCTCCGCCTAAAGGAAGCTTCAACTCTGTGACTTGAATACCCACAACCCAAAGAAGTTACTGAGAATTCTTCTGTCTAGCACTATATGAAGAAATCCCGTTTCCAACGAAGGCCTCAAATACATCCAAATATCCAGTTGCTGACTTTACAAACTGAGTGTTTCCAAACTGCTCTATGAAAAGAAAGGTTAAACACTGTGAGTTGAACACACACGTACCAAAGTAGTTTCTGAGAATGATTCTGTCTAGTTTGCATACGAAGATATTTCCTTTTCTACCATTGGCCTCAAAGCTCTGAAATCTCCACTTGCAAATTCCACAAAAAGAGAGTTTCAAATCTGCTGTTTCTAAAGGAAAGTTCAACTCTGAGAGTTGAATACACACCAGAAAAAGCAGTTACTGAGAAGTCTTCTGTCTAGCATTATATGAAGAAATCCCATTTCCAACGAAGACTTCAAAGAGGTCCAAATATCCACTTGCAGATTCTGCAAAAAGAGTGTTTCGAAACAACTGTATGAAAAGAAAGGTTAAACACTGTGAGTTGAACGCACACATTGCAAAGCGGTTTCTGAGAATGATTCCGTCTAATTATTATACGAAGGTATTTCCTTTTCTACCATTGGCCTCAAAGCGCTTGATACTTCCACCTGAAAATTCCACAAAAAGAGTGTTTCCAATCTACTCTGTCTAAAGGAACGTTCAACTCTGTGAGTTGAATACACACACACAGAAAGAATTCACTGAGAATTCTTCTGTCTGGCATTACATGAAGAAATCCCGTTTCCAACGAAGGCCTCAAAGAGGTTCAAATATCCACTTGCAGATTCTGCAAAAAGAGTGTTTCAAAACCGCTCCATTAAAAGGAATGTTGAACTCTGTGAGTTGAATGGAAACATCACAACTCAGTTGCTGAGAATGCTTCTGACTAGATTTTATGGTAAGATATTTCCTTTTCTACCGTAGGCTTCAATGCCCTCTAAATACACCCTTGCAAATTCTACAAAGAGACTGTTTCATAACTGCTCTATAGGAAGAAAGGTTGAATTCTGTGAGTTGAATGCAGGGATCACAACGTGGTTTCTGCGAATGATTCTTTGTAGTTTTTACATGAAGATATTTCGTTGTCAACCGTAGGCTTCAAAGCACTCAAAGTATTCACTTGGAACTTTTACAAAAAGAGTGTTAGAAAACTGCTCTTTCCAAAGTAAGGTTCAACTCTGTGAGTTGAATGCACACATAACAATCAAGAAGTTTCTGAGAATTCTTCTGTCCTGGTTTATATGAACAAATCCCGTTTCCAACGAAGGCCTCAAAGACGTTTAAATATCCACTTGCAGACTTCACAAACAGAGTGTTTCCAAACTGCTCTATGAAAAGAAAGGTTAAACTCTGTGAGTTGAATGCACACATCACAAAGTAGTTTCTGAGAATGATACTGTCTAGTTTTTATACGAAGATATATCCTTTCTACCATTGGCGTCAAAGCGCTAGAATTCTCCACTTGCAAATTCCACAAAAAGAGTGTTTCCAATCTGCTCTGTCTCAAGGAAGGTTCAACTCTGTGAGTTGAATACACACACACAAAGAAGCTACTGAGAATTCTTTTGTCAAGAATTATAAGAAGAAATCCCGTTTCCAAAGAAGGCCTCAAAGAGTTCCAAATATCCACTTGCACACTGCACAAACTAAGTCTTTCCAAACTGCTCTATGCAAAGAAATGTTCAACTCTGTGAGTTTAATACACACATCACGAAGCAGTTTCTGAGAATGATACTGTCTAGTTTTTATACGAAGATATTTCCTTTTGTACCATTGGCCTCATACTGCTAGAATTTTCCACTTGCAAATTCCACAAAAAGAGTGTTTCCAATCCGCTCTGTCTAAAGGAAGGTTCAACTCTCTGATTTGAATACATACATCCCAAAAGAAGTTACTGAGAATTCTTCTGTCTAGCATTATGTGAAGAAATCCCGTTTCCAACGAAAGCCTCAAAGAGGTCCAAATATCCAGTTGCAGAATTTACAAACTGACTGTTTCCAAACTCATCTATGAAAAGAAAGGTTAAACTCTGTGAGTTGAATGCACATATCACAAAGTAGTTCCTGAGAATGATTCTGTTTGGTTTTCATACGAAGATATTTCCTTTTCCACCAATGGCCTCAAAGTGCTTGAAATCTCCCCTTGCAAATTCCACAGACAAGTGTTTCAAATCTGCACTGTCTAAAGGAAGGTTCAACCCTGTGAGTTGAATACACACACACAGAAAAAAATTCACTGAGAATTCTATTGTCTATCATTACACGAAGAAATCCCGTTTACTACGAAGGCCTCAAAGAGGTCCAAATATCCAGCTGCAGACATTACAAACTGAGTGTTTCCAAAGTGCTCTATGAAAAGAAGTGTTAAACACTGTGAGTTCAATGCACACATCCCAAAGCAGTTTCTGAGAATGATTCCGTCTATTTTTTCTACGAAGATATTTCCTTTTCTGCCGTTGGCCTCAAAGCGCTTGAAATCTCCACTTGCAAATTCCACAAAAAGAGAGTTTCAAATCTGCTCTGTCTAAAGGAAGGTTCAACTCTGTGAGTTGAATACACACCACAAAAAGAAGTTACTGAGAATTCTTCTGTCTAGCATTATATGAAAAATCCCGTTTCCAACGAAGGCCACAAAGAGGTCCAAATATCCACTTGCAGATTCTGCAAAAAGAGTGTTTCCAAACTGCTCTATGAAAAGAAACGTTAAACTCTGTGAGTTGAACGCAAACATCACAAAGTAGTTTCTGAGAATGACTCCGTCTAGTTTTTATACGAAGATATTTCCTTTCCTACCATTCACTTCAAAGCGCTTGAAGTCTCCCCCTGAAAATTCCACAAAAAGTGTTTCCAATCTGCTCCGCCTAAAGGAAGCTTCAACTCTGTGACTTGAATACCCACAACCCAAAGAAGTTACTGAGAATTCTTCTGTCTAGCATTATATGAAGAAATCCCGTTTCCAACGAAGGCCTCAAATACATCCAAATATCCAGTTGCTGACTTTACAAACTGAGTGTTTCCAAACTGCTCTATGAAAAGAAAGGTTAAACACTGTGAGTTGAACACACACGTACCAAAGTAGTTTCTGAGAATGATTCTGTCTAGTTTGCATACGAAGATATTTCCTTTTCTACCATTGGCCTCAAAGCTCTGAAATCTCCACTTGCAAATTCCACAAAAAGAGAGTTTCAAATCTGCTGTTTCTAAAGGAAAGTTCAACTCTGAGAGTTGAATACACACCAGAAAAAGCAGTTACTTGAGAAGTCTTCTGTCTAGCATTATATGAAGAAATCCCATTTCCAACGAAGTACTTCAAAGAGGTCCAAATATCCACTTGCAGATTCTGCAAAAAGAGTGTTTCGAAACAACTGTATGAAAAGAAAGGTTAAACACTGTGAGTTGAACGCACACATTGCAAAGCAGTTTCTGAGAATGATTCCGTCTAATTATTATACGAAGGTATTTCCTTTTCTATCATTGGCCTCAAAGCGCTTGATACCTCCACCTGAAAATTCCACAAAAAGAGTGTTTCCAATCTACTCTGTCTAAAGGAACGTTCAACTCTGTGAGTTGAATACACACACACAGAAAGAATTCACTGAGAATTCTTCTGTCTGGCATTACATGAAGAAATCCCGTTTTCAACGAAGGCCTCAAAGAGGTCCAAATATCCACTTGCAGATTCTGCAAAAAGAGTGTTTCAAAACCGCTCCATGAAAAGGAATGTTGAACTCTGTGAGTTGAATGCAAACATCACAACTCAGTTTCTGAGAATGCTTCTGACTAGATTTTATGGTAAGATATTTCCTTTTCTACCGTAGGCTTCAATGCCCTCTAAATACACCCTTGCAAATTCTACAAAGAGACTGTTTCATAACTGCTCTATAGGAAGAAAGGTTGAACTCTGTGAGTTGAATGCAGAGATCACAACGTGGTTTCTGCGAATGATTCTTTGTAGTTTTTACATGAAGATATTTCGTTGTCAACCGTAGGCTTCAAAGCACTCAAAGTATTCACTTGGAACTTTTACAAAAAGAGTGTTAGAAAACTGCTCTTTCCAAAGTAAGGTTCAACTCTGTGAGTTGAATGCACACATAACAATCAAGAAGTTTCTGAGAATTCTTCTGTCCTGGTTTATATGAAAAAATCCCGTTTCCAACGAAGGCCTCAGAGACGTTTAAATATCCACTTGCAGACTTCACAAACAGAGTGTTTCCAAACTGCTCTATGAAAAGAAAGGTTAAACTCTGTGAGTTGAACGCACACATCACAAAGTTGTTTCTGAGAAAGATACTGTCTAGTTTTTATACGAAGATATTTCCTTTCTACCATTGGCGTCAAAGCGTTAGAATTCTCCACTTGCAAATTCCACAAAAAGAGTGTTTCCAATCTGCTCTGTCTAAAGGAAGGTTCAACTCTGTGAGTTGAATACACACACACAAAGAAGCTACTGAGAATTCTTTTGTCAAGAATTATAAGAAGAAATCCCGTTTCCAACGAAGGCCTCAAAGAGTTCCAAATATCCACTTGCACACTGCACAAACTAAGTCTTTCCAAACTGCTCTATGCAAAGAAATGTTCAACTCTGTGAGTTTAATTCACACATCACAAAGCAGTTTCTGAGAACGATACTGTCTAGTTTTTATACGAAGATATTTCCTTTTGTACCATTGGCCTCATACTGCTAGAATTTTCCACTTGCAAATTCCACAAAAAGAGTGTTTCCAATCCGCTCTGTCTAAAGGAAGGTTCAACTCTGTGATTTGAATACATACATCCCAAAAGAAGTTACTGAGAATTCTTCTGTCTAGCATTATGTGAAGAAATCCCGTTTCCAACGAAAGCCTCAAAGAGGCCCAAATATCCAGTTGCAGCATTTACAAACTGACTGTTTCCAAACTCATCTATGAAAAGAAAGGTTAAACTCTCTGAGTTGAATGCACATATCACAAAGTAGTTCCTGAGAATGATTCTGTCTAGTTTTTATACGAAGATATTTCCTTTTCCACCAATGGCCTCAAAGTGCTTGAAATCTCCCCTTGCAAATTCCACAGACAAGTGTCTCAAATCTGCACTGTCTAAAGGAAGGTTCAACCCTGTGAGTTGAATACACACACACAGAAAAAAATTCACTGAGAATTCTATTGTCTATCATTACACGAAGAAATCCCGTTTACTACGAAGGCCTCAAAGAGGTCCAAATATCCAGCTGCAGACATTACAAACTGAGTGTTTCCAAAGTGCTCTATGAAAAGAAGTGTTAAACACTGTGAGTTCAATGCACACATCCCAAAGCAGTTTCTGAGAATGATTCCGTCTATTTTTTCTACGAAGATATTTACTTTTCTACCGTTGGCCTCAAAGCGCTTGAAATCTCCACTTGCAAATTCCACAAAAAGAGAGTTTCAAATCTGCTCTGTCTAAAGGAAGGTTCAACTCTGTGAGTTGAATACACACCACAAAAAGAAGTTACTGAGAATTCTTCTGTCTAGCATTATATGAAAAATCCCGTTTCCAACGAAGGCCACAAAGAGGTCCAAATATCCACTTGCAGATTCTGCAAAAAGAGTGTTTCCAAACTGCTCTATGAAAAGAAACGTTAAACTCTGTGAGTTGAACGCAAACATCACAAAGTAGTTTCTGAGAATGACTCCGTCTAGTTTTTATACGAAGATATTTCCTTTCCTACCATTCACTTCAAAGCGCTTGAAGTCTCCCCCGGAAAATTCCACAAAAAGTGTTTCCAATCTGCTCCGCCTAAAGGAAGCTTCAACTCTGTGAGTTGAATACCCACAACCCAAAGAAGTTACTGAGAATTCTTCTGTCTAGCATTATATGAAGAAATCCCGTTTCCAACGAAGGCCTCAAATACATCCAAATATCCAGTTGCTGACTTTACAAACTGAGTGTTTCCAAACTGCTCTATGAAAAGAAAGGTTAAACACTGTGAGTTGAACACACACGTACCAAAGTAGTTTCTGAGAATGATTCTGTCTAGTTTGCATACGAAGATATTTCCTTTTCTACCATTGGCCTCAAAGCTCTGAAATCTCCACTTGCAAATTCCACAAAAAGAGAGTTTCAAATCTGCTGTTTCTAAAGGAAAGTTCAACTCTGAGAGTTGAATACACACCAGAAAAAGCAGTTACTGAGAAGTCTTCTGTCTAGCATTATATGAAGAAATCCCATTTCCAACGAAGACTTCAAAGAGGTCCAAATATCCACTTGCAGATTCTGCAAAAAGAGTGTTTCGAAACAACTGTATGAAAAGAAAGGTTAAACACTGTGAGTTGAACGCACACATTGCAAAGCGGTTTCTGAGAATGATTCCGTCTAATTATTATACGAAGGTATTTCCTTTTCTATCATTGGCCTCAAAGCGCTTGATACCTCCACCTGAAAATTCCACAAAAAGAGTGTTTCCAATCTACTCTGTCTAAAGGAACGTTCAACTCTGTGAGTTGAATACACACACACAGAAAGAATTCACTGAGAATTCTACTGTCTGGCATTACATGAAGAAATCCCGTTTCCAACGAAGGCCTCAAAGAGGTCCAAATATCCACTTGCAGATTCTGCAAAAAGAGTGTTTCAAAACCGCTCCATTAAAAGGAATGTTGAACTCTGTGAGTTGAATGCAAACATCACAACTCAGTTTCTGAGAATGCTTCTGACTAGATTTTATGGTAAGATATTTCCTTTTCTACCGTAGGCTTCAATGCCCTCTAAATACACCCTTGCAAATTCTACAAAGAGACTGTTTCATAACTGCTCTATAGGAAGAAAGGTTCAACTCTTGTGAGTTGAATGCAGAGATCACAACGTGGTTTCTGCAAATGATTCTTTGTAGTTTTTACATGAAGATATTTCGTTGTCAACCGTAGGCTTCAAAGCACTCAAAGTATTCACTTGGAACTTTTACAAAAAGAGTGTTAGAAAACTGCTCTTTCCAAAGTAAGGTTCAACTCTGTGAGTTGAATGCACACATAACAATCAAGAAGTTTCTGAGAATTCTTCTGTCCTGGTTTATATGAAAAAATCCCGTTTCCAACGAAGGCCTCAAAGACGTTTAAATATCCACTTGCAGACTTCACAAACAGAGGGTTTCCAAACTGCTCTATGAAAAGAAAGGTTAAACTCTGTGAGTTGAACGCACACATCACAAAGTAGCTTCTGAGAATGATTACTGTCTAGTTTTTATACGAAGATATTTCCTTTCTACCATTGGCGTCAAAGCGCTAGAATTCTCCACTTGCAAATTCCACAAAAAGAGTGTTTCCAATCTGCTCTGTCTAAAGGAAGGTTCAACTCTGTGAGTTGAATACACACACACACAAAGAAGCTACTGAGAATTCTTTTGTCAAGAATTATAAGAAGAAATCCCGTTTCCAACGAAGGCCTCAAAGAGTTCCAAATATCCACTTGCACACTGCACAAACTAAGTCTTTCCAAACTGCTCTATGCAAAGAAATGTTCAACTCTGTGAGTTTAATACACACATCACAAAGCAGTTTCTGAGAATGATACTGTCTAGTTTTTATACGAAGATATTTCCTTTTGTACCATTGGCCTCATACTGCTAGAATTTTCCACTTGCAAATTCCACAAAAAGAGTGTTTCCAATCCGCTCTCTCTAAAGGAAGGTTCAACTCTCTGATTTGAATACATACATCCCAAAAGAAGTTACTGAGAATTCTTCTGTCTAGCATTATGTGAAGAAATCCCGTTTCCAACGAAAGCCTCAAAGAGGTCCAAATATCCAGTTGCAGAATTTACAAACTGACTGTTTCCAAACTCATCTATGAAAAGAAAGGTTAAACTCTGGGAGTTGAATGCACATATCACAAAGTAGTTCCTGAGAATGATTCTGTCTAGTTTTCATACGAAGATATTTCCTTTTCCACCAATGGCCTCAAAGTGCTTGAAATCTCCCCTTGCAAATTCCACAGACAAGTGTCTCAAATCTGCACTGTCTAAAGGAAGGTTCAACCCTGTGAGTTGAATACACACACACAGAAAAAAATTCACTGAGAATTCTATTGTCTATCATTACACGAAGAAATCCCGTTTACTACGAAGGCCTCAAAGAGGTCCAAATATCCAGCTGCAGACATTACAACCTGAGTGTTTCCAAAGTGCTCTATGAAAAGAAGTGTTAAACACTGTGAGTTCAATGCACACATCCCAAAGCAGTTTCTGAGAATGATTTCCGTCTATTTTTTCTACGAAGATATTTCCTTTTCTGCCGTTGGCCTCAAAGCGCTTGAAATCTCCACTTGCAAATTCCACAAAAAGAGAGTTTCAAATCTGCTCTGTCTAAAGGAAGGTTCAACTCTGTGAGTTGAATACACACCACAAAAAGAAGTTACTGAGAATTCTTCTGTCTAGCATTATATGAAAAATCCCGTTTCCAACGAAGGCCACAAAGAGGTCCAAATATCCACTTGCAGATTCTGCAAAAAGAGTGTTTCCAAACTGCTCTATGAAAAGAAACGTTAAACTCTGTGAGTTGAACGCAAACATCACAAAGTAGTTTCTGAGAATGACTCCGTCTAGTTTTTATACGAAGATATTTCCTTTCCTACCATTCACTTCAAAGCGCTTGAAGTCTCCCCCTGAAAATTCCACAAAAAGTGTTTCCAATCTGCTCCGCCTAAAGGAAGCTTCAACTCTGTGACTTGAATACCCACAACCCAAAGAAGTTACTGAGAATTCTTCTGTCTAGCATTATATGAAGAAATCCCGTTTCCAACGAAGGCCTCAAATACATCCAAATACCCAGTTGCTGTCTTTACAAACTGAGTGTTTCCAAACTGCTCTATGAAAAGAAAGGTTAAACACTGTGAGTTGAACACACACGTACCAAAGTAGTTTCTGAGAATGATTCTGTCTAGTTTGCATACGAAGTATATTTCCTTTTCTACCATTGGCCTCAAAGCTCTGAAATCTCCACTTGCAAATTCCACAAAAAGAGAGTTTCAAATCTGCTGTTTGTAAAGGAAAGTTCAACTCTGAGAGTTGAATACACACCAGAAAAAGCAGTTACTGAGAAGTCTTCTGTCTAGCATTATATGAAGAAATCCCATTTCCAACGAAGACTTCAAAGAGGTCCAAATATCCACTTGCAGATTCTGCAAAAAGAGTGTTTCGAAACAACTGTATGAAAAGAAAGGTTAAACACTGTGAGTTGAACGCACACATTGCAAAGCAGTTTCTGAGAATGATTCCGTCTAATTATTATACGAAGGTATTTCCTTTTCTATCATTGGCCTCAAAGCGCTTGATACCTCCACCTGAAAATTCCACAAAAAGAGTGTTTCCAATCTACTCTGTCTAAAGGAACGTTCAACTCTGTGAGTTGAATACACACACACAGAAAGAATTCACTGAGAATTCTTCTGTCTGGCATTACATGAAGAAATCCCGTTTCCAACGAAGGCCTCAAAGAGGTCCAAATATCCACTTGCAGATTCTGCAAAAAGAGTGTTTCAAAACCGCTCCATGAAAAGGAATGTTGAACTCTGTGAGTTGAATGCAAACATCACAACTCAGTTGCTGAGAATGCTTCTGACTAGATTTTATGGTAAGATATTTCCTTTTCTACCGTAGGCTTCAATGCCCTCTAAATACACCCTTGCAAATTCTACAAAGAGACTGTTTCATAACTGCTCTATAGGAAGAAAGGTTCAACACTGTGAGTTGAATGCAGAGATCACAACGTGGTTTCTGCGAATGATTCTTTGTAGTTTTTACATGAAGATATTTCGTTGTCGACCGTAGGCTTCAAAGCACTCAAAGTATTCACTTGGAACTTTTACAAAAAGAGTGTTAGAAAACTGCTCTTTCCAAAGTAAGGTTCAACTCTGTGAGTTGAATGCACACATAACAATCAAGAAGTTTCTGAGAATTCTTCTGTCCTGGTTTATATGAAAAAATCCCGTTTCCAACGAAGGCCTCAAAGACGTTTAAATATCCACTTGCAGACTTCACAAACAGAGGGTTTCCAAACTGCTCTATGAAAAGAAAGGTTAAACTCTGTGAGTTTAATACACACATCACAAAGCAGTTTCTGAGAATGATACTGTCTAGTTTTTATACGAAGATATTTCCTTTTGTACCATTGGCCTCATACTGCTAGAATTTTCCACTTGCAAATTCCACAAAAAGAGTGTTTCCAATCCGCTCTGTCTAAAGGAAGGTTCAACTCTCTGATTTGAATACATACATCCCAAAAGAAGTTACTGAGAATTCTTCTGTCTAGCATTATGTGAAGAAATCCCGTTTCCAACGAAAGCCTCAAAGAGGTCCAAATATCCAGTTGCAGAATTTACAAACTGACTGTTTCCAAACTCATCTATGAAAAGAAAGGTTAAACTCTGTGAGTTGAATGCACATATCACAAAGTAGTTCCTGAGAATGATTCTGTCTAGTTTTCATACGAAGATATTTCCTTTTCCACCAATGGCCTCAAAGTGCTTGAAATCTCCCCTTGCAAATTCCACAGACAAGTGTTTCAAATCTGCACTGTCTAAAGGAAGGTTCAACCCTGTGAGTTGAATACACACACACAGAAAAAAATTCACTGAGAATTCTATTGTCTATCATTACACGAAGAAATCCCGTTTACTACGAAGGCCTCAAAGAGGTCCAAATATCCAGCTGCAGACATTACAAACTGAGTGTTTCCAAAGTGCTCTACGAAAAGAAGTGTTAAACACTGTGAGTTCAATGCACACATCCCAAAGCAGTTTCTGAGAATCATTCCGTCTATTTTTTCTACGAAGATATTTCCTTTTCTGCCGTTGGCCTCAAAGCGCTTGAAATCTCCACTTGCAAATTCCACAAAAAGAGAGTTTCAAATCTGCTCTGTCTAAAGGAAGGTTCAACTCTGTGAGTTGAATACACACCACAAAAAGAAGTTACTGAGAAGTCTTCTGTCTAGCATTATATGAAAAATCCCGTTTCCAACGAAGGCCACAAAGAGGTCCAAATATCCACTTGCAGATTCTGCAAAAAGAGTGTTTCCAAACTGCTCTATGAAAAGAAACGTTAAACTCTGTGAGTTGAACGCAAACATCACAAAGTAGTTTCTGAGAATGACTCCGTCTAGTTTTTATACGAAGATATTTCCTTTCCTACCATTCACTTCAAAGCGCTTGAAGTCTCCCCCTGAAAATTCCACAAAAAGTGTTTCCAATCTGCTCCGCCTAAAGGAAGCTTCAACTCTGTGAGTTGAATACCCACAACCCAAAGAAGTTACTGAGAATTCTTCTGTCTAGCACTATATGAAGAAATCCCGTTTCCAACGAAGGCCTCAAATACATCCAAATATCCAGTTGCTGACTTTACAAACTGAGTGTTTCCAAACTGCTCTATGAAAAGAAAGGTTAAACACTGTGAGTTGAACACACACGTACCAAAGTAGTTTCTGAGAATGATTCTGTCTAGTTTGCATACGAAGATATTTCCTTTTCTACCAGTGGCCTCAAAGCTCTGAAATCTCCACTTCCAAATTCCACAAAAAGAGAGTTTCAAATCTGCTGTTTCTAAAGGAAAGTTCAACTCTGAGAGTTGAATACACACCAGAAAAAGCAGTTACTGAGAAGTCTTCTGTCTAGCATTATATGAAGAAATCCCATTTCCAACGAAGACTTCAAAGAGGTCCAAATATCCACTTGCAGATTCTGCCAAAAGAGTGTTTCGAAACAACTGTATGAAAAGAAAGGTTAAACACTGTGAGTTGAACGCACACATTGCAAAGCAGTTTCTGAGAATGATTCCGTCTAATTATTATACGAAGGTATTTCCTTTTCTATCATTGGCCTCAAAGCGCTTGATACCTCCACCTGAAAATTCCACAAAAAGAGTGTTTCCAATCTACTCTGTCTAAAGGAACGTTCAACTCTGTGAGTTGAATACACACACACAGAAAGAATTCACTGAGAATTCTTCTGTCTGGCATTACATGAAGAAATCCCGTTTCCAACGAAGGCCTCAAAGAGGTCCAAATATCCACTTGCAGATTCTGCAAAAAGAGTGTTTCAAAACCGCTCCATTAAAAGGAATGTTGAACTCTGTGAGTTGAATGCAAACATCACAACTCAGTTTCTGAGAATGCTTCTGACTAGATTTTATGGTAAGATATTTCCTTTTCTACCGTAGGCTTCAATGCCCTCTAAATACACCCTTGCAAATTCTACAAAGAGACTGTTTCATAACTGCTCTATAGGAAGAAAGGTTCAACTCTGTGAGTTGAATGCAGAGATCACAACGTGGTTTCTGCGAATGATTCTTTGTAGTTTTTACATGAAGATATTTCGTTGTCAACCGTAGGCTTCAAAGCACTCAAAGTATTCACTTGGAACTTTTACAAAAAGAGTGTTAGAAAACTGCTCTTTCCAAAGTAAGGTTCAACTCTGTGAGTTGAATGCACACATAACAATCAAGAAGTTTCTGAGAATTCTTCTGTCCTGGTTTATATGAAGAAATCCCGTTTCCAACGAAGGCCTCAAAGACGTTTAAATATCCACTTGCAGACTTCACAAACAGAGGGTTTCCAAACTGCTCTATGAAAAAAAAGGTTAAACTCTGTGAGTTGAACGCACACATCACAAAGTAGCTTCTGAGAATGATACTGTCTAGTTTTTATACGAAGATATTTCCTTTCTACCACTGGCGTCAAAGCGCTAGAATTCTCCACTTGCAAATTCCACAAAAAGAGTGTTTCCAATCTGCTCTGTCTAAAGGAAGGTTCAACTCTGTGAGTTGAATACACACACACAAAGAATCTACTGAGAATTCTTTTGTCAAGAATTACAAGAAGAAATCCCGTTTCCAACGAAGGCCTCAAAGAGTTCCAAATATCCACTTGCACACTGCACAAACTAAGTCTTTCCAAACTGCTCTATGCAAAGAAATGTTCAACTCTGTGAGTTTAATACGCACATCACAAAGCAGTTTCTGAGAATGATACTGTCTAGTTTTTATACGAAGATATTTCCTTTTGTACCATTGGCCTCATACTGCTAGAATTTTCCACTTGCAAATTCCACAAAAAGAGTGTTTCCAATCCGCTCTGTCTAAAGGAAGGTTCAACTCTCTGATTTGAATACATACATCCCAAAAGAAGTTACTGAGAATTCTTCTGTCTAGCATTATGTGAAGAAATCCCGTTTCCAACGAAAGCCTCAAAGAGGTCCAAATATCCAGTTGCAGAATTTACAAACTGACTGTTTCCAAACTCATCTATGAAAAGAAAGGTTAAACTCTGTGAGTTGAATGCACATATCACAAAGTAGTTCCTGAGAATGATTCTGTCTAGTTTTCATACGAAGTATATTTCCTTTTCCACCAATGGCCTCAAAGTGCTTGAAATCTCCCCTTGCAAATTCCACAGACAAGTGTTTCAAATCTGCACTGTCTAAAGGATGGTTCAACCCTGTGAGTTGAATACACACACACAGAAAAAAATTCACTGAGAATTCTATTGTCTATCATTACACGAAGAAATCCCGTTTACTACGAAGGCCTCAAAGAGGTCCAAATATCCAGCTGCAGACATTATAAACTGAGTGTTTCCAAAGTGCTCTATGAAAAGAAGTGTTAAACACTGTGAGTTCAATGCACACATCCCAAAGCAGTTTCTGAGAATGATTCCGTCTATTTTTTCTACGAAGATATTTCCTTTTCTGCCGTTGGCCTCAAAGCGCTTGAAATCTCCACTTGCAAATTCCACAAAAAGAGAGTTTCAAATCTGCTCTGTCTAAAGGAAGGTTCAACTCTGTGAGTTGAATACACACCACAAAAAGAAGTTACTGAGAATTCTTCTGTCTAGCATTATATGAAAAATCCCGTTTCCAACGAAGGCCACAAAGAGGTCCAAATATCCACTTGCAGATTCTGCAAAAAGAGTGTTTCCAAACTGCTCTATGAAAAGAAACGTTAAACTCTGTGAGTTGAACGCAAACATCACAAAGTAGTTTCTGAGAATGACTCCGTCTAGTTTTTATACGAAGATATTTCCTTTCCTACCATTCACTTCAAAGCGCTTGAAGTCTCCCCCTGAAAATTCCACAAAAAGTGTTTCCAATCTGCTCCGCCTAAAGGAAGCTTCAACTCTGTGAGTTGAATACCCACAACCCAAAGAAGTTACTGAGAATTACTCTGTCTCGCATTATAGGAAGAAATCCCGTTTCCAACGAAGGCCTCAAATACATCCAAATATCCAGTGGCTGACTTTACAAACTGAGTGTTTCCAAGCTGCTCTATGAAAGGAAAGGTTAAACACTGTGAGTTGAACACACACGTACCAAAGTAGTTTCTGAGAATGATTCTGTCTAGTTTGCATACGAAGATATTTCCTTTTCTACCATTGGCCTCAAAGCTCTGAAATCTCCACTTGCAAATTCCACAAAAAGAGAGTTTCAACTCTGCTGTTTCTAAAGGAAAGTTCAACTCTGAGAGTTGAATACACACCAGAAAAAGCAGTTACTGAGAAGTCTTCTGTCTAGCATTATATGAAGAAATCCCATTTCCAACGAAGACTTCAAAGAGGTCCAAATATCCACTTGCAGATTCTGCAAAAAGAGTGTTTCGAAACAACTGTATGAAAAGAAAGGTTAAACACTGTGAGTTGAACGCACACATTGCAAAGCAGTTTCTGAGAATGATTCCGTCTAATTATTATACGAAGGTATTTCCTTTTCTATCATTGGCCTCAAAGCGCTTGATACCTCCACCTGAAAATTCCACAAAAAGAGTGTTTCCAATCTACTCTGTCTAAAGGAACGTTCAACTCTGTGAGTTGAATACACACACACAGAAAGAATTCACTGAGAATTCTTCTGTCTGGCATTACATGAAGAAATCCCGTTTCCAACGAAGGCCTCAAAGAGGTCCAAATATCCACTTGCAGATTCTGCAAAAAGAGTGTTTCAAAACCGCTCCATTAAAAGGAATGTTGAACTCTGTGAGTTGAATGCAAACATCACAACTCAGTTGCTGAGAATGCTTCTGACTAGATTTTATGGTAAGATATTTCCTTTTCTACCGTAGGCTTCAATGCCCTCTAAATACACCCTTGCAAATTCTACAAAGAGACTGTTTCATAACTGCTCTACAGGAAGAAAGGTTCAACTCTGTGAGTTGAATGCAGAGATCACAACGTGGTTTCTGCGAATGATTTCTTTGTAGTTTTTACATGAAGATATTTCGTTGTCAACCGTAGGCTTCAAAGCACTCAAAGTATTCACTTGGAACTTTTACAAAAAGAGTGTTAGAAAACTGCTCTTTCCAAAGTAAGGTTCAACTCTGTGAGTTGAATACACACCACAAAAAGAAGTTACTGAGAATTCTTCTGTCTAGCATTATATGAAAAATCCCGTTTCCAACGAAGGCCACAAAGAGGTCCAAATATCCACTTGCAGATTCTGCAAAAAGAGTGTTTCCAAACTGCTCTATGAAAAGAAACGTTAAACTCTGTGAGTTGAACGCAAACATCACAAAGTAGTTTCTGAGAATGACTCCGTCTAGTTTTTATACGAAGATATTTCCTTTCCTACCATTCACTTCAAAGCGCTTGAAGTCTCCCCCTGAAAATTCCACAAAAAGTGTTTCCAATCTGCTCCGCCTAAAGGAAGCTTCAACTCTGTGAGTTGAATACCCACAACCCAAAGAAGTTACTGAGAATTCTTCTGTCTAGCATTATATGAAGAAATCCCGTTTCCAACGAAGGCCTCAAATACATCCAAATATCCAGTTGCTGACTTTACAAACTGAGTGTTTCCAAACTGCTCTATGAAAAGAAAGGTTAAACACTGTGAGTTGAACACACACGTACCAAAGTAGTTTCTGAGAATGATTCTGTCTAGTTTGCATACGAAGATATTTCCTTTTCTACCATTGGCCTCAAAGCTCTGAAATCTCCACTTGCAAATTCCACAAAAAGAGAGTTTCAAATCTGCTGTTTCTAAAGGAAAGTTCAACTCTGAGAGTTGAATACACACCAGAAAAAGCAGTTACTGAGAAGTCTTCTGTCTAGCATTATATGAAGAAATCCCATTTCCAACGAAGACTTCAAAGAGGTCCAAATATCCACTTGCAGATTCTGCAAAAAGAGTGTTTCGAAACAACTGTATGAAAAGAAAGGTTAAACACTGTGAGTTGAACGCACACATTGCAAAGCAGTTTCTGAGAATGATTCCGTCTAATTATTATACGAAGGTATTTCCTTTTCTATCTTTGGCCTCAAAGCGCTTGATACCTCCACCTGAAAATTCCACAAAAAGAGTGTTTCCAATCTACTCTGTCTAAAGGAACGTTCAACTCTGTGAGTTGAATACACACACACAGAAAGAATTCACTGAGAATTCTTCTGTCTGGCATTACATGAAGAAATCCCGTTTCCAACGAAGGCCTCAAAGAGGTCCAAATATCCACTTGCAGATTCTGCAAAAAGAGTGTTTCAAAACCGCTCCATGAAAAGGAATGTTGAACTCTGTGAGTTGAATGCAAACATCACAACTCAGTTTCTGAGAATGCTTCTGACTAGATTTTATGGTAAGATATTTCCTTTTCTACCGTAGGCTTCAATGCCCTCTAAATACACCCTTGCAAATTCTACAAAGAGACTGTTTCATAACTGCTCTATAGGAAGAAAGGTTGAACTCTGTGAGTTGAATGCAGAGATCACAACGTGGTTTCTGCGAATGATTCTTTGTAGTTTTTACATGAAGATATTTCGTTGTCAACCGTAGGCTTCAAAGCACTCAAAGTATTCACTTGGAACTTTTACAAAAAGAGTGTTAGAAAACTGCTCTTTCCAAAGTAAGGTTCAACTCTGTGAGTTGAATGCACACATAACAATCAAGAAGTTTCTGAGAATTCTTCTGTCCTGGTTTATATGAAGAAATCCCGTTTCCAACGAAGGCCTCAAAGACGTTTATATATCCACTTGCAGACTTCACAAACAGAGGGTTTCCAAACTGCTCTATGAAAAGAAAGGTTAAACTCTGTGAGTTGAACGCACACATCACAAAGTAGTTTCTGAGAATGATACTGTCTAGTTTTTATACGAAGATATTTCCTTTCTACCATTGGCGTCAAAGCGCTAGAATTCTCCACTTGCAAATTCCACAAAAAGAGTGTTTCCAATCTGCTCTGTCTAAAGGAAGGTTCAACTCTGTGAGTTGAATACACACACACAAAGAAGCTACTGAGAATTCTTTTGTCAAGAATTATAAGAAGAAATCCCGTTTCCAACGAAGGCCTCAAAGAGTTCCAAATATCCACTTGCACACTGCACAAACTAAGTCTTTCCAAACTGCTCTATGCAAAGAAATGTTCAACTCTGTGAGTTTAATACACACATCACAAAGCAGTTTCTGAGAATGATACTGTCTAGTTTTTATAAGAAGATATTTCCTTTTGTACCATTGGCCTCATACTGCTAGAATTTTCCACTTGCAAATTCCACAAAAAGAGTGTTTCCAATCCGCTCTGTCTAAAGGAAGGTTCAACTCTCTGATTTGAATACATACATCCCAAAAGAAGTTACTGAGAATTCTTCTGTCTAGCATTATGTGAAGAAATCCCGTTTCCAACGAAAGCCTCAAAGAGGTCCAAATATCCAGTTGCAGAATTTACAAACTGACTGTTTCCAAACTCATCTATGAAAAGAAAGGTTAAACTCTGGGAGTTGAATGCACATATCACAAAGTAGTTCCTGAGAATGATTCTGTCTAGTTTTTATACGAAGATATTTCCTTTTCCACCAATGGCCTCAAAGTGCTTGAAATCTCCCCTTGCAAATTCCACAGACAAGTGTTTCAAATCTGCACAGTCTAAAGGAAGGTTCAACCCTGTGAGTTGAATACACACACACAGAAAAAAATTCACTGAGAATTCTATTGTCTATCATTACACGAAGAAATCCCGTTTACTACGAAGGCCTCAAAGAGGTCCAAATATCCAGCTGCAGACATTACAAACTGAGTGTTTCCAAAGTGCTCTATGAAAAAAAGTGTTAAACACTGTGAGTTCAATGCACACATCCCAAAGCAGTTTCTGAGAATGATTCCGTCTATTTTTTCTACGAAGATATTTCCTTTTCTGCCGTTGGCCTCAAAGCGCTTGAAATCTCCACTTGCAAATTCCACAAAAAGAGAGTTTCAAATCTGCTCTGTCTAAAGGAAGGTTCAACTCTGTGAGTTGAATACACACCACAAAAAGAAGTTACTGAGAATTCTTCTGTCTAGCATTATATGAAAAATCCCGTTTCCAACGAAGGCCACAAAGAGGTCCAAATATCCACTTGCAGATTCTGCAAAAAGAGTGTTTCCAAACTGCTCTATGAAAAGAAACGTTAAACTCTGTGAGTTGAACGCAAACATCACAAAGTAGTTTCTGAGAATGACTCCGTCTAGTTTTTATACGAAGATATTTCCTTTCCTACCATTCACTTCAAAGCGCTTGAAGTCTCCCCCTGAAAATTCCACAAAAAGTGTTTCCAATCTGCTCCGCCTAAAGGAAGCTTCAACTCTGTGACTTGAATACCCACAACCCAAAGAAGTTACTGAGAATTCTTCTGTCTAGCATTATATGAAGAAATCCCGTTTCCAACGAAGGCCTCAAATACATCCAAATATCCAGTTGCTGACTTTACAAACTGAGTGTTTCCAAACTGCTCTATGAAAAGAAAGGTTAAACACTGTGAGTTGAACACACACGTACCAAAGTAGTTTCTGAGAATGATTCTGTCTAGTTTGCATACGAAGATATTTCCTTTTCTACCATTGGCCTCAAAGCTCTGAAATCTCCACTTGCAAATTCCACAAAAAGAGAGTTTCAAATCTGCTGTTTCTAAAGGAAAGTTCAACTCTGAGAGTTGAATACACACCAGAAAAAGCAGTTACTGAGAAGTCTTCTGTCTAGCATTATATGAAGAAATCCCATTTCCAACGAAGACTTCAAAGAGGTCCAAATATCCACTTGCAGATTCTGCAAAAAGAGTGTTTCGAAACAACTCTATGAAAAGAAAGGTTAAACACTGTGAGTTGAACGCACACATTGCAAAGCAGTTTCTGAGAATGATTCCGTCTAATTATTATACGAAGGTATTTCCTTTTCTATCATTGGCCTCAAAGCGCTTGATACCTCCACCTGAAAATTCCACAAAAAGAGTGTTTCCAATCTACTCTGTCTAAAGGAACGTTCAACTCTGTGAGTTGAATACACACACACAGAAAGAATTCACTGAGAATTCTTCTGTCTGGCATTACATGAAGAAATCCCGTTTCCAACGAAGGCCTCAAAGAGGTCCAAATATCCACTTGCAGATTCTGCAAAAAGAGTGTTTCAAAACCGCTCCATTAAAAGGAATGTTGAACTCTGTGAGTTGAATGCAAACATCACAACTCAGTTGCTGAGAATGCTTCTGACTAGATTTTATGGTAAGATATTTCCTTTTCTACCGTAGGCTTCAATGCCCTCTAAATACACCCTTGCAAATTCTACAAAGAGACTGTTTCATAACTGCTCTATAGGAAGAAAGGTTCAACTCTGTGAGTTGAATGCAGAGATCACAACGTGGTTTCTGCGAATGATTCTTTGTAGTTTTTACAGGAAGATATTTCGTTGTCAACCGTAGGCTTCAAAGCACTCAAAGTATTCACTTGGAACTTTTACAAAAAGAGTGTTAGAAAACTGCTCTTTCCAAAGTAAGGTTCAACTCTGTGAGTTGAATGCACACATAACAATCAAGAAGTTTCTGAGAATTCTTCTGTCCTGGTTTATATGAAAAAATCCCGTTTCCAACGAAGGCCTCAAAGACGTTTAAATATCCACTTGCAGACTTCACAAACAGAGTGTTTCCAAACTGCTCTATGAAAATAAAGGTTAAACTCTGTGAGTTGAACGCACACATCACAAAGTAGCTTCTGAGAATGATACTGTCTAGTTTTTATACGAAGATATTTCCTTTCTACCATTGGTGTCAAAGCGCTAGAATTCTCCACTTGCAAATTCCACAAAAAGAGTGTTACCAATCTGCTCTGTCTAAAGGAAGGTTCAACTCTGTGAGTTGAATACACACACACAAAGAAGCTACTGAGAATTCTTTTGTCAAGAATTATAAGAAGAAATCCCGTTTCCAACGAAGGCCTCAAAGAGTTCCAAATATCCACTTGCACACTGCACAAACTAAGTCTTTCCAAACTGCTCTATGCAAAGAAATGTTCAACTCTGTGAGTTTAATACACACATCACAAAGCAGTTTCTGAGAATGATACTGTCTAGTTTTTATACGAAGATATTTCCTTTTGTACCATTGGCCTCATACTGCTAGAATTTTCCACTTGCAAATTCCACAAAAAGAGTGTTTCCAATCCGCTCTGTCTAAAGGAAGGTTCAACTCTCTGATTTGAATACATACATCCCAAAAGAATTTACTGAGAATTCTTCTGTCTAGCATTATGTGAAGAAATCCCGTTTCCAACGAAAGCCTCAAAGAGGTCCAAATATCCAGTTGCAGAATTTACAAACTGACTGTTTCCAAACTCATCTATGAAAAGAAAGGTTAAACTCTGTGAGTTGAATGCACATATCACAAAGTAGTTCCTGAGAATGATTCTGTCTAGTTTTCATACGAAGATATTTCCTTTTCCACCAATGGCCTCAAAGTGCTTGAAATCTCCCCTTGCAAATTCCACAGACAAGTGTTTCAAATCTGCACTGTCTAAAGGAAGGTTCAACCCTGTGAGTTGAATACACACACACAGAAAAAAATTCACTGAGAATTCTATTGTCTATCATTACACGAAGAAATCCCGTTTACTACGAAAGCCTCAAAGAGGTCCAAATATCCAGCTGCAGACATTACAAACTGAGTGTTTCCAAATTGCTCTATGAAAAGAAGTGTTAAACACTGTGAGTTCAATGCACACATCCCAAAGCAGTTTCTGAGAATGATTCCGTCTATTTTTTCTACGAAGATATTTCCTTTTCTGCCGTTGGCCTCAAAGCGCTTGAAATCTCCACTTGCAAATTCCACAAAAAGAGAGTTTCAAATCTGCTCTGTCTAAAGGAAGGTTCAACTCTGTGAGTTGAATACACACCACAAAAAGAAGTTACTGAGAATTCTTCTGTCTAGCATTATATGAAAAATCCCGTTTCCAACGAAGGCCACAAACAGGTCCAAATATCCACTTGCAGATTCTGCAAAAAGAGTGTTTCCAAACTGCTCTATGAAAAGAAACGTTAAACTCTGTGAGTTGAACGCAAACATCACAAAGTAGTTTCTGAGAATGACTCCGTCTAGTTTTTATACGAAGATATTTCCTTTTCTACCGTTGGCCTCAAAGCGCTTGAAGTCTCCCCCTGAAAATTCCACAAAAAGTGTTTCCAATCTGCTCCGCCTAAAGGAAGCTTCAGCTCTGTGAGTTGAATACCCACAACCCAAAGAAGTTACTGAGAATTCTTCTGTCTAGCATTATATGAAGAAATCCCGTTTCCAACGAAGGCCTCAAATACATCCAAATATCCAGTTGCTGACTTTACAAACTGAGTGTTTCCAAACTGCTCTATGAAAAGAAAGGTTAAACACTGTGAGTTGAACACACACGTACCAAAGTAGTTTCTGAGAATGATTCTGTCTAGTTTGCATACGAAGATATTTCCTTTTCTACCATTGGCCTCAAAGCTCTGAAATCTCCACTTGCAAATTCCACAAAAAGAGAGTTTCAAATCTGCTGTTTCTAAAGGAAAGTTCAACTCTGAGAGTTGAATACACACCAGAAAAAGCAGTTACTGAGAAGTCTTCTGTCTAGCATTATATGAAGAAATCCCATTTCCAACGAAGACTTCAAAGAGGTCCAAATATCCACTTGCAGATTCTGCAAAAAGAGTGTTTCGAAACAACTGTATGAAAAGAAAGGTTAAACACTGTGAGTTGAATGCACACATTGCAAAGCAGTTTCTGAGAATGATTCCGTCTAATTATTATACGAAGGTATTTCCTTTTCTATCATTGGCCTCAAAGCGCTTGATACCTCCACCTGAAAATTCCACAAAAAGAGTGTTTCCAATCTACTCTGTCTAAAGGAACGTTCAACTCTGTGAGTTGAATACACACACACAGAAAGAATTCATTGAGAATTCTTCTGTCTGGCATTACATGAAGAAATCCCGTTTCCAACGAAGGCCTCAAAGAGGTCCAAATATCCACTTGCAGATTCTGCAAAAAGAGTGTTTCAAAACCGCTCCATTAAAAGGAATGTTGAACTCTGTGAGTTGAATGCAAACATCACAACTCAGTTTCTGAGAATGCTTCTGACTAGATTTTATGGTAAGATATTTCCTTTTCTACCGTAGGCTTCAATGCCCTCTAAATACACCCTTGCAAATTCTACAAAGAGACTGTTTCATAACTGCTCTATAGGAAGAAAGGTTCAACTCTGTGAGTTGAATGCAGAGATCACAACGTGGTTTCTGCGAATGATTCTTTGTAGTTTTTACATGAAGATATTTCGTTGTCAACCGTAGGCTTCAAAGCACTCAAAGTATTCACTTGGAACTTTTACAAAAAGAGTGTTAGAAAACTGCTCTTTCCAAAGTAAGGTTCAACTCTGTGAGTTGAATGCACACATAACAATCAAGAAGTTTCTGAGAATTCTTCTGTCCTGGTTTATATGAAAAAATCCCGTTTCCAACGAAGGCCTCAAAGACGTTTAAATATCCACTTGCAGACTTCACAAACAGAGGGTTTCCAAACTGCTCTATGAAAAGAAAGGTTAAACTCTGTGAGTTGAACGCACACATCACAAAGTAGCTTCTGAGAATGATACTGTCTAGTTTTTATACGAAGATATTTCCTTTCTACCATTGGCGTCAAAGCGCTAGAATTCTCCACTTGCAAATTCCACAAAAAGAGTGTTTCCAATCTGCTCTGTCTAAAGGAAGGTTCAACTCTGTGAGTTGAATACACACACACAAAGAAGCTACTGAGAATTCTTTTTTCAAGAAATTATAAGAAGAAATCCCGTTTCCAACGAAGGCCTCAAAGAGTTCCAAATATCCACTTGCACACTGCACAAACTAAGTCTTTCCAAACTGCTCTATGCAAAGAAATGTTCAACTCTGTGAGTTTAATACACACATCACAAAGCAGTTTCTGAGAATGATACTGTCTAGTTTTTATACGAAGATATTTCCTTTTGTACCATTGGCCTCATACTGCTAGGAATTTTCCACTTGCAAATTCCACAAAAAGAGTGTTTCCAATCCGCTCTGTCTAAAGGAAGGTTCAACTCTCTGATTTGAATACATACATCCCAAAAGAAGTTACTGAGAATTCTTCTGTCTAGCATTATGTGAAGAAATCCCGTTTCCAACGAAAGCCTCAAAGAGGTCCAAATATCCAGTTGCAGAATTTACAAACTGACTGTTTCCAAACTCATCTATGAAAAGAAAGGTTAAACTCTGGGAGTTGAATGCACATATCACAAAGTAGTTCCTGAGAATGATTCTGTCTAGTTTTCATACGAAGATATTTCCTTTTCCACCAATGGCCTCAAAGTGCTTGAAATCTCCCCTTGCAAATTCCACAGACAAGTGTTTCAAATCTGCACTGTCTAAAGGAAGGTTCAACCCCTGTGAGTTGAATACACACACACAGAAAAAAATTCACTGAGAATTCTATTGTCTATCATTACACGAAGAAATCCCGTTTACTACGAAGGCCTCAAAGAGGTCCAAATATCCAGCTGCAGACATTTCAAACTGAGTGTTTCCAAAGTGCTCTATGAAAAGAAGTGTTAAACACTGTGAGTTCAATGCACACATCCCAAAGCAGTTTCTGAGAATGATTCCGTCTATTTTTTCTACGAAGATATTTACTTTTCTACCGTTGGCCTCAAAGCGCTTGAAATCTCCACTTGCAAATTCCACAAAAAGAGAGTTTCAAATCTGCTCTGTCTAAAGGAAGGTTCAACTCTGTGAGTTGAATACACACCACAAAAAGAAGTTACTGAGAATTCTTCTGTCTAGCATTATATGAAAAATCCCGTTTCCAACGAAGGCCACAAAGAGGTCCAAATATCCACTTGCAGATTCTGCAAAAAGAGTGTTTCCAAACTGCTCTATGAAAAGAAACGTTAAACTCTGTGAGTTGAACGCAAACATCACAAAGTAGTTTCTGAGAATGACTCCGTCTAGTTTTTATACGAAGATATTTCCTTTTCTACCATTCACTTCAAAGCGCTTGAAGTCTCCCCCTGAAAATTCCACAAAAAGTGTTTCCAATCTGCTCCGCCTAAAGGAAGCTTCAACTCTGTGAGTTGAATACCCACAACCCAAAGAAGTTACTGAAAATTCTTCTGTCTAGCATTATATGAAGAAATCCCGTTTCCAACGAAGGCCTCAAATACATCCAAATATCCAGTTGCTGACTTTACAAACTGAGTGTTTCCAAACTGCTCTATGAAAAGAAAGGTTAAACACTGTGAGTTGAACACACACGTACCAAAGTAGTTTCTGAGAATGATTCTGTCTAGTTTGCATACGAAGATATTTCCTTTTCTACCATTGACCTCAAAGCTTTGAAATCTCCACTTGCAAATTCCACAAAAAGAGAGTTTCAACTCTGCTGTTTCTAAAGGAAAGTTCAACTCTGAGAGTTGAATACACACCAGATAAAGCAGTTACTGAGAAGTCTTCTGTCTAGCATTATATGAAGAAATCCCATTTCCAACGAAGACTTCAAAGAGGTCCAAATATCCACTTGCAGATTCTGCAAAAAGAGTGTTTCGAAACAACTGTATGAAAAGAAAGGTTAAACACTGTGAGTTGAACGCACACATTGCAAAGCAGTTTCTGAGAATGATTCCGTCTAATTATTATACGAAGGTATTTCCTTTTCTATCATTGGCCTCAAAGCGCTTGATACCTCCACCTGAAAATTCCACAAAAAGAGTGTTTCCAATCTACTCTGTCTAAAGGAACGTTCAACTCCGTGAGTTGAATACACACACACAGAAAGAATTCACTGAGAATTCTTCTGTCTGGCATTACATGAAGAAATCCCGTTTCCAACGAAGGCCTCAAAGAGGTCCAAATATCCACTTGCAGATTCTGCAAAAAGAGTGTTTCAAAACCGCTCCATTAAAAGGAATGTTGAACTCTGTGAGTTGAATGCAAACATCACAACTCAGTTGCTGAGAATGCTTCTGACTAGATTTTATGGTAAGATATTTCCTTTTCTACCGTAGGCTTCAATGCCCTCTAAATACACCCTTGCAAATTCTACAAAGAGACTGTTTCATAACTGCTCTATAGGAGGAAAGGTTCAACTCTGTGAGTTGAATGCAGAGATCACAACGTGGTTTCTGCGAATGATTCTTTGTAGTTTTTACATGAAGATATTTCGTTGTCAACCGTAGGCTTCAAAGCACTCAAAGTATTCACTTGGAACTTTTACAAAAAGAGTGTTAGAAAACTGCTCTTTCCAAAGTAAGGTTCAACTCTGTGAGTTGAATGCACCCATAACAATCAAGAAGTTTCTGAGAATTCTTCTGTCCTGGTTTATATGAAGAAATCCCGTTTCCAACGAAGGCCTCAAAGACGTTTAAATATCCACTTGCAGACTTCACAAACAGAGGGTTTCCAAACTGCTCTATGAAAAGAAAGGTTAAACTCTGTGAGTTGAACGCACACATCACAAAGTAGCTTCTGAGAATGATACTGTCTAGTTTTTATACGAAGATATTTCCTTTCTACCATTGGCGTCAAAGCGCTAGAATTCTCCACTTGCAAATTCCACAAAAAGAGTGTTTCCAATCTGCTCTGTCTAAAGGAAGGTTCAACTGTGTGAGTTGAATACACACACACAAAGAAGCTACTGAGAATTCTTTTGTCAAGAATTATAAGAAGAAATCCCGTTTCCAACGAAGGCCTCAAAGAGTTCCAAATATCCACTTGCACACTGCACAAGCTAAGTCTTTCCAAACTGCTCTATGCAAAGAAATGTTCAACTCTGTGAGTTTAATACACACATCACAAAGCAGTTTCTGAGAATGATACTGTCTAGTTTTTATACGAAGATATTTCCTTTTGTACCATTGGCCTCATACTGCTAGAATTTTCCACTTGCAAATTCCACAAAAAGAGTGTTTCCAATCCGCTCTGTCTAAAGGAAGGTTCAACTCTCTGATTTGAATACATACATCCCAAAAGAAGTTACTGAGAATTCTTCTGTCTAGCATTATGTGAAGAAATCCCGTTTCCAACGAAAGCCTCAAAGAGGTCCAAATATCCAGTTGCAGAATTTACAAACTGACTGTTTCCAAACTCATCTATGAAAAGAAAGGTTAAACTCTGTGAGTTGAATGCACATATCACAAAGTAGTTCCTGAGAATGATTCTGTCTAGTTTTCATACGAAGATATTTCCTTTTCCACCAATGGCCTCAAAGTGCTTGAAATCTCCCCTTGCAAATTCCACAGACAAGTGTTTCAAATCTGCACTGTCTAAAGGAAGGTTCAACCCTGTGAGTTGAATACACACACACAGAAAAAAATTCACTGAGAATTCTATTGTCTATCATGACACGAAGAAATCCCGTTTACTACGAAGGCCTCAAAGAGGTCCAAATATCCAGCTGCAGACATTACAACCTGAGTGTTTCCAAAGTGCTCTATGAAAAGAAGTGTTAAACACTGTGAGTTCAATGCACACATCCCAAAGCAGTTTCTGAGAATGATTCCGTCTATTTTTTCTACGAAGATATTTCCTTTTCTGCCGTTGGCCTCAAAGCGCTTGAAATCTCCACTTGCAAATTCCACAAAGAGAGAGTTTCAAATCTGCTCTGTCTAAAGGAAGGTTCAACTCTGTGAGTTGAATACACACCACAAAAAGAAGTTACTGAGAATTCTTCTGTCTAGCATTATATGAAAAATCCCGTTTCCAACGAAGGCCACAAAGAGGTCCAAATATCCACTTGCAGATTCTGCAAAAAGAGTGTTTCCAAACTGCTCTATGAAAAGAAACGTTAAACTCTGTGAGTTGAACGCAAACATCACAAAGTAGTTTCTGAGAATGACTCCGTCTAGTTTTTATACGAAGATATTTCCTTTCCTACCATTCACTTCAAAGCGCTTGAAGTCTCCCCCTGAAAATTCCACAAAAAGTGTTTCCAATCTGCTCCGCCTAAAGGAAGCTTCAACTCTGTGACTTGAATACCCACAACCCAAAGAAGTTACTGAGAATTCTTTCTGTCTAGCATTATATGAAGAAATCCCCGTTTCCAACGAAGGCCTCAAATACATCCAAATATCCAGTTGCTGACTTTACAAACTGAGTGTTTCCAAACTGCTCTATGAAAAGAAAGGTTAAACACTGTGAGTTGAACACACACGTACCAAAGTAGTTTCTGAGAATGATTCTGTCTAGTTTGCATACGAAGATATTTCCTTTTCTACCATTGGCCTCAAAGCTCTGAAATCTCCACTTGCAAATTCCACAAAAAGAGAGTTTCAAATCTGCTGTTTCTAAAGGAAAGTTCAACTCTGAGAGTTGAATACACACCAGAAAAAGCAGTTACTGAGAAGTCTTCTGTCTAGCATTATATGAAGAAATCCCATTTCCAACGAAGACTTCAAAGAGGTCCAAATATCCACTTGCAGATTCTGCAAAAAGAGTGTTTCGAAACAACTGTATGAAAAGAAAGGTTAAACACTGTGAGTTGAACGCACACATTGCAAAGCGGTTTCTGAGAATGATTCCGTCTAATTATTATACGAAGGTATTTCCTTTTCTATCATTGGCCTCAAAGCGCTTGATACCTCCACCTGAAAATTCCACAAAAAGAGTGTTTCCAATCTACTCTGTCTAAAGGAACGTTCAACTCTGTGAGTTGAATACACACACACAGAAAGAATTCACTGAGAATTCTTCTGTCTGGCATTACATGAAGAAATCCCGTTTCCAACGAAGACCTCAAAGAGGTCCAAATATCCACTTGCAGATTCTGCAAAAAGAGTGTTTCAAAACCGCTCCATTAAAAGGAATGTTGAACTCTGTGAGTTGAATGCAAACATCACAACTCAGTTGCTGAGAATGCTTCTGACTAGATTTTATGGTAAGATATTTCCTTTTCTACCGTAGGCTTCAATGCCCTCTAAATACACCCTTGCAAATTCTACAAAGAGACTGTTTCATAACTGCTCTATAGGAAGAAAGGTTGAACTCTGTGAGTTGAATGCAGAGATCACAACGTGGTTTCTGCGAATGATTCTTTGTAGTTTTTACATGAAGATATTTCGTTGTCAACCGTAGGCTTCAAAGCACTCAAAGTATTCACTTGGAACTTTTACAAAAAGAGTGTTAGAAAACTGCTCTTTCCAAAGTAAGGTTCAACTCTGTGAGTTGAATGCACACATAACAATCAAGAAGTTTCTGAGAATTCTTCTGTCCTGGTTTATATGAAAAAATCCCGTTTCCAACGAAGGCCTCAAAGACGTTTAAATATCCACTTGCAGACTTCACAAACAGAGGGTTTCCAAACTGCTCTATGAAAAGAAAGGTTAAACTCTGTGAGTTGAACGCACACATCACAAAGTAGCTTCTGAGAATGATACTGTCTAGTTTTTATACGAAGATATTTCCTTTCTACCATTGGCGTCAAAGCGCTAGAATTCTCCACTTGCAAATTCCACAAAAAGAGTGTTTCCAATCTGCTCTGTCTAAAGGAAGGTTCAACTCTGTGAGTTGAATACACACACACAAAGAAGCTACTGAGAATTCTTTTGTCAAGAATTATAAGAAGAAATCCCGTTTCCAACGAAGGCCTCAAAGAGTTCCAAATATCCACTTGCACACTGCACAAACTAAGTCTTTCCAAACTGCTCTATGCAAAGAAATGTTCAACTCTGTGAGTTTAATACACACATCACAAAGCAGTTTCTGAGAATGATACTGTCTAGTTTTTATACGAAGATATTTCCTTTTGTACCATTGGCCTCATACTGCTAGAATTTTCCACTTGCAAATTCCACAAAAAGAGTGTTTCCAATCCGCTCTGTCTAAAGGAAGGTTCAACTCTGTGAGTTGAATACACACACACAAAGAAGCTACTGAGAATTCTTTTGTCAAGAATTATAAGAAGAAATCCCGTTTCCAACGAAGGCCTCAAAGAGTTCCAAATATCCACTTGCACACTGCACAAACTAAGTCTTTCCAAACTGCTCTATGCAAAGAAATGTTCAACTCTGTGAGTTTAATACACACATCACAAAGCAGTTTCTGAGAATGATTACTGTCTAGTTTTTATACGAAAGATATTTCCTTTTGTACCATTGGCCTCATACTGCTAGAATTTTCCACTTGCAAATTCCACAAAAAGAGTGTTTCCAATCCGCTCTGTCTAAAGGAAGGTTCAACTCTCTGATTTGAATACATACATCCCAAAAGAAGTTCCTGAGAATTCTTCTGTCTAGCATTATGTGAAGAAATCCCGTTTCCAACGAAAGCCTCAAAGAGGTCCAAATATCCAGTTGCAGAATTTACAAACTGACTGTTTCCAAACTCATCTATGAAAAGAAAGGTTAAACTCTGTGAGTTGAATGCACATATCACAAAGTAGTTCCTGAGAATGATTCTGTCTAGTTTTTATACGAAGATATTTCCTTTTCCACCAATGGCCTCAAAGTGCTTGAAATCTCCCCTTGCAAATTCCACAGACAAGTGTTTCAAATCTGCACTGTCTAAAGGAAGGTTCAACCCTGTGAGTTGAATACACACACACAGAAAAAAATTCACTGAGAATTCTATTGTCTATCATTACACGAAGAAATCCCGTTTACTACGAAGGCCTCAAAGAGGTCCAAATATCCAGCTGCAGACATTACAAACTGAGTGTTTCCAAAGTGCTCTATGAAAAGAAGTGTTAAACACTGTGAGTTCAATGCACACATCCCAAAGCAGTTTCTGAGAATGATTCCGTCTATTTTTTCTACGAAGATATTTCCTTTTCTGCCGTTGGCCTCAAAGCGCTTGAAATCTCCACTTGCAAATTCCACAAAAAGAGAGTTTCAAATCTGCTCTGTCTAAAGGAAGGTTCAACTCTGTGAGTTGAATACACACCACAAAAAGAAGTTACTGAGAATTCTTCTGTCTAGCATTATATGAAAAATCCCGTTTCCAACGAAGGCCACAAAGAGGTCCAAATATCCACTTGCAGATTCTGCAAAAAGAGTGTTTCCAAACTGCTCTATGAAAAGAGACGTTAAACTCTGTGAGTTGAACGCAAACATCACAAAGTAGTTTCTGAGAATGACTCCGTCTAGTTTTTATACGAAGATATATCCTTTCCTACCATTCACTTCAAAGCGCTTGAAGTCTCCCCCTGAAAATTCCACAAAAAGTGTTTCCAATCTGCTCCGCCTAAAGGAAGCTTCAACTCTGTGAGTTGAATACCCACAACCCAAAGAAGTTACTGAGAATTCTTCTGTCTAGCATTATATGAAGAAATCCCGTTTCCAACGAAGGCCTCAAATACATCCAAATATCCAGTTGCTGACTTTACAAACTGAGTGTTTCCAAACTGCTCTATGAAAAGAAAGGTTAAACACTGTGAGTTGAACACACACGTACCAAAGTAGTTTCTGAGAATGATTCTGTCTAGTTTGCATACGAAGATATTTCCTTTTCTACCATTGGCCTCAAAGCTCTGAAATCTCCACTTGCAAATTCCACAAAAAGAGAGTTTCAAATCTGCTGTTTCTAAAGGAAAGTTCAACTCTGAGAGTTGAATACACACCAGAAAAAGCAGTTACTGAGAAGTCTTCTGTCTAGCATTATATGAAGAAATCCCATTTCCAACGAAGACTTCAAAGAGGTCCAAATATCCACTTGCAGATTCTGCAAAAAGAGTGTTTCGAAACAACTGTATGAAAAGAAAGGTTAAACACTGTGAGTTGAACGCACACATTGCAAAGCGGTTTCTGAGAATGATTCCCGTCTAATTATTATACGAAGGTATTTCCTTTTCTATCATTGGCCTCAAAGCGCTTGATACCTCCACCTGAAAATTCCACAAAAAGAGTGTTTCCAATCTACTCTGTCTAAAGGAACGTTCAACTCTGTGAGTTGAATACACACACACAGAAAGAATTCACTGAGAATTCTTCTGTCTGGCATTACATGAAGAAATCCCGTTTCCAACGAAGGCCTCAAAGAGGTCCAAATATCCACTTGCAGATTCTGCAAAAAGAGTGTTTCAAAACCGCTCCATTAAAAGGAATGTTGAACTCTGTGAGTTGAATGCAAACATCACAACTCAGTTTCTGAGAATGCTTCTGACTAGATTTTATGGTAAGATATTTCCTTTTCTACCGTAGGCTTCAATGCCCTCTAAATACACCCTTGCAAATTCTACAAAGAGACTGTTTCATAACTGCTCTATAGGAAGAAAGGTTGAACTCTGTGAGTTGAATGCAGAGATCACAACGTGGTTTCTGCGAATGATTCTTTGTAGTTTTTACATGAAGGATATTTCGTTGTCAACCGTAGGCTTCAAAGCACTCAAAGTATTCACTTGGAACTTTTACAAAAAGAGTGTTAGAAAACTGCTCTTTCCAAAGTAAGGTTCAACTCTGTGAGTTGAATGCACACATAACAATCAAGAAGTTTCTGAGAATTCTTCTGTCCTGGTTTATATGAAAAAATCCCGTTTCCAACGAAGGCCTCAAAGACGTTTAAATATCCACTTGCAGACTTCACAAACAGAGGGTTTCCAAACTGCTCTATGAAAAGAAAGGTTAAACTCTGTGAGTTGAACGCACACATCACAAAGTAGCTTCTGAGAATGATACTGTCTAGTTTTTATACGAAGATATTTCCTTTCTACCATTGGCGTCAAAGCGCTAGAATTCTCCACTTGCAAATTCCACAAAAAGAGTGTTTCCAATCTGCTCTGTCTAAAGGAAGGTTCAACTCTGTGAGTTGAATACACACACACAAAGAAGCTACTGAGAATTCTTTTTTCAAGAAATTATAAGAAGAAATCCCGTTTCCAACGAAGGCCTCAAAGAGTTCCAAATATCCACTTGCACACTGCACAAACTAAGTCTTTCCAAACTGCTCTATGCAAAGAAATGTTCAACTGCTGTGAGTTTAATACACACATCACAAAGCAGTTTCTGAGAATGATCTGTCTAGTTTTTATACGAAGATATTTCCTTTTGTACCATTGGCCTCATACTGCTAGAATTTTCCACTTGCAAATTCCACAAAAAGAGTGTTTCCAATCCGCTCTGTCTAAAGGAAGGTTCAACTCTCTGATTTGAATACATACATCCCAAAAGAAGTTACTGAGAATTCTTCTGTCTAGCATTATGTGAAGAAATCCCGTTTCCAACGAAAGCCTCAAAGAGGCCCAAATATCCAGTTGCAGCATTTACAAACTGACTGTTTGCAAACTCATCTATGAAAAGAAAGGTTAAACTCTGTGAGTTGAATGCGCATATCACAAAGTAGTTCCTGAGAATGATTCTGTCTAGTTTTTATACGAAGATATTTCCTTTTCCACCAATGGCCTCAAAGTGCTTGAAATCTCCCCTTGCAAATTCCACAGACAAGTGTCTCAAATCTGCACTGTCTAAAGGAAGGTTCAACCCTGTGAGTTGAATACACACACACAGAAAAAAATTCACTGAGAATTCTATTGTCTATCATTACACGAAGAAATCCCGTTTACTACGAAGGCCTCAAAGAGGTCCAAATATCCAGCTGCAGACATTACAAACTGAGTGTTTCCAAAGTGCTCTATGAAAAGAAGTGTTAAACACTGTGAGTTCAATGCACACATCCCAAAGCAGTTTCTGAGAATGATTCCGTCTATTTTTTCTACGAAGATATTTCCTTTTCTACCGTTGGCCTCAAAGCGCTTGAAATCTCCACTTGCAAATTCCACAAAAAGAGAGTTTCAAATCTGCTCTGTCTAAAGGAAGGTTCAACTCTGTGAGTTGAATACACACCACAAAAAGAAGTTACTGAGAATTCTTCTGTCTAGCATTATATGAAAAATCCCGTTTCCAACGAAGGCCACAAAGAGGTCCAAATATCCACTTGCAGATTCTGCAAAAAGAGTGTTTCCAAACTGCTCTATGAAAAGAAACGTTAAACTCTGTGAGTTGAACGCAAACATCACAAAGTAGTTTCTGAGAATGACTCCGTCTAGTTTTTATACGAAGATATTTCCTTTTCTACCATTCACTTCAAAGCGCTTGAAGTCTCCCCCTGAAAATTCCACAAAAAGTGTTTCCAATCTGCTCCGCCTAAAGGAAGCTTCAACTCTGTGAGTTGAATACCCACAACCCAAAGAAGTTACTGAGAATTCTTCTGTCTAGCACTATATGAAGAAATCCCGTTTCCAACGAAGGCCTCAAATACATCCAAATATCCAGTTGCTGACTTTACAAACTGAGTGTTTCCAAACTGCTCTATGAAAAGAAAGGTTAAACACTGTGACTTGAACACACACGTACCAAAGTAGTTTCTGAGAATGATTCTGTCTAGTTTGCATACGAAGATATTTCCTTTTCTACCATTGGCCTCAAAGCTTTGAAATCTCCACTTGCAAATTCCACAAAAAGAGAGTTTCAACTCTGCTGTTTCTAAAGGAAAGTTCAACTCTGAGAGTTGAATACACACCAGAAAAAGCAGTTACTGAGAAGTCTTCTGTCTAGCATTATATGAAGATATCCCATTTCCAACGAAGACTTCAAAGAGGTCCAAATATCCACTTGCAGATTCTGCAAAAAGAGTGTTTCGAAACAACTGTATGAAAAGAAAGGTTAAACACTGTGAGTTGAACGCACACATTGCAAAGCAGTTTCTGAGAATGATTCCGTCTAATTATTATACGAAGGTATTTCCTTTTCTATCATTGGCCTCAAAGCGCTTGATACCTCCACCTGAAAATTCCACAAAAAGAGTGTTTCCAATCTACTCTGTCTAAAGGTACGTTCAACTCTGTGAGTTGAATACACACACACAGAAAGAATTCACTGAGAATTCTTCTGTCTGGCATTACATGAAGAAATCCCGTTTCCAACGAAGGCCTCAAAGAGGTCGAAATATCCACTTGCAGATTCTGCAAAAAGAGTGTTTCAAAACCGCTCCATTAAAAGGAATGTTGAACTCTGTGAGTTGAATGCAAACATCACAACTCAGTTTCTGAGAATGCTTCTGACTAGATTTTATGGTAAGATATTTCCTTTTCTACCGTAGGCTTCAATGCCCTGTAAATACACCCTTGCAAATTCTACAAAGAGACTGCTTCATAACTGCTCTATAGGAGGAAAGGTTCAACTCTGTGAGTTGAATGCAGAGATCACAACGTGGTTTCTGCGAATGATTCTTTGTAGTTTTTACATGAAGGATATTTCGTTGTCAACCGTAGGCTTCAAAGCACTCAAAGTATTCACTTGGAACTTTTACAAAAAGAGTGTTAGAAAACTGCTCTTTCCAAAGTAAGGTTCAACTCTGTGAGTTGAATGCACACATAACAATCAAGAAGTTTCTGAGAATTCTTCTGTCCTGGTTTATATGAAAAAATCCCGTTTCCAACGAAGGCCTCAAAGACGTTTAAATATCCACTTGCAGACTTCACAAACAGAGGGTTTCCAAACTGCTCTATGAAAAGAAAGGTTAAACTCTGTGAGTTTAATACACACATCACAAAGCAGTTTCTGAGAATGATACTGTCTAGTTTTTATACGAAGATATTTCCTTTTGTACCATTGGCCTCATACTGCTAGAATTTTCCACTTGCAAATTCCACAAAAAGAGTGTTTCCAATCCGCTCTGTCTAAAGGAAGGTTCAACTCTCTGATTTGAATACATACATCCCAAAAGAAGTTACTGAGAATTCTTCTGTCTAGCATTATGTGAAGAAATCCCGTTTCCAACGAAAGCCTCAAAGAGGTCCAAATATCCAGTTGCAGAATTTACAAACTGACTGTTTCCAAACTCATCTATGAAAAGAAAGGTTAAACTCTGTGAGTTGAATGCACATATCACAAAGTAGTTCCTGAGAATGATTCTGTCTAGTTTTCATACGAAGATATTTCCTTTTCCACCAATGGCCTCAAAGTGCTTGAAATCTCCCCTTGCAAATTCCACAGACAAGTGTCTCAAATCTGCACTGTCTAAAGGAAGGTTCAACCCTGTGAGTTGAATACACACACACAGAAAAAAATTCACTGAGAATTCTATTGTCTATCATTACACGAAGAAATCCCGTTTACTACGAAGGCCTCAAAGAGGTCCAAATATCCAGCTGCAGACATTACAACCTGAGTGTTTCCAAAGTGCTCTATGAAAAGAAGTGTTAAACACTGTGAGTTCAATGCACACATCCCAAAGCAGTTTCTGAGAATGATTCCGTCTATTTTTTCTACGAAGATATTTCCTTTTCTGCCGTTGGCCTCAAAGCGCTTGAAATCTCCACTTGCAAATTCCACAAAGAGAGAGTTTCAAATCTGCTCTGTCTAAAGGAAGGTTCAACTCTGTGAGTTGAATACACACCACAAAAAGAAGTTACTGAGAATTCTTCTGTCTAGCATTATATGAAAAATCCCGTTTCCAACGAAGGCCACAAAGAGGTCCAAATATCCACTTGCAGATTCTGCAAAAAGAGTGTTTCCAAACTGCTCTATGAAAAGAAACGTTAAACTCTGTGAGTTGAACGCAAACATCACAAAGTAGTTTCTGAGAATGACTCCGTCTAGTTTTTATACGAAGATATTTCCTTTCCTACCATTCACTTCAAAGCGCTTGAAGTCTCCCCCTGAAAATTCCACAAAAAGTGTTTCCAATCTGCTCCGCCTAAAGGAAGCTTCAACTCTGTGACTTGAATACCCACAACCCAAAGAAGTTACTGAGAATTCTTCTGTCTAGCACTATATGAAGAAATCCCGTTTCCAACGAAGGCCTCAAATACATCCAAATATCCAGTTGCTGACTTTACAAACTGAGTGTTTCCAAACTGCTCTATGAAAAGAAAGGTTAAACACTGTGAGTTGAACACACACGTACCAAAGTAGTTTCTGAGAATGATTCTGTCTAGTTTGCATACGAAGATATTTCCTTTTCTACCATTGGCCTCAAAGCTCTGAAATCTCCACTTGCAAATTCCACAAAAAGAGAGTTTCAAATCTGCTGTTTCTAAAGGAAAGTTCAACTCTGAGAGTTGAATACACACCAGAAAAAGCAGTTACTGAGAAGTCTTCTGTCTAGCATTATATGAAGAAATCCCATTTCCAACGAAGACTTCAAAGAGGTCCAAATATCCACTTGCAGATTCTGCAAAAAGAGTGTTTCGAAACAACTGTATGAAAAGAAAGGTTAAACACTGTGAGTTGAACGCACACATTGCAAAGCGGTTTCTGAGAATGATTCCGTCTAATTATTATACGAAGGTATTTCCTTTTCTATCATTGGCCTCAAAGTGCTTGATACCTCCACCTGAAAATTCCACAAAAAGAGTGTTTCCAATCTACTCTGTCTAAAGGAACGTTCAACTCTGTGAGTTGAATACACACACACAGAAAGAATTCACTGAGAATTCTTCTGTCTGGCATTACATGAAGAAATCCCGTTTCCAACGAAGGCCTCAAAGAGGTCCAAATATCCACTTGCAGATTCTGCAAAAAGAGTGTTTCAAAACCGCTCCATTAAAAGGAATGTTGAACTCTGTGAGTTGAATGCAAACATCACAACTCAGTTGCTGAGAATGCTTCTGACTAGATTTTATGGTAAGATATTTCCTTTTCTACCGTAGGCTTCAATGCCCTCTAAATACACCCTTGCAAATTCTACAAAGAGACTGTTTCATAACTGCTCTATAGGAAGAAAGGTTGAACTCTGTGAGTTGAATGCAGAGATCACAACGTGGTTTCTGCGAATGATTCTTTGTAGTTTTTACATGAAGATATTTCGTTGTCAACCGTAGGCTTCAAAGCACTCAAAGTATTCACTTGGAACTTTTACAAAAAGAGTGTTAGAAAACTGCTCTTTCCAAAGTAAGGTTCAACTCTGTGAGTTGAATGCACACATAACAATCAAGACGTTTCTGCGAATTCTTCTGTCCTGGTTTATATGAAAAAATCCCGTTTCCAACGAAGGCCTCAAAGACGTTTAAATATCCACTTGCAGACTTCACAAAGAGGGTTTCCAAACTGCTCTATGAAAAGAAAGGTTAAACTCTGTGAGTTGAACGCACACATCACAAAGTAGCTTCTGAGAATGATACTGTCTAGTTTTTATACGAAGATATTTCCTTTCTACCATTGGCGTCAAAGCGCTAGAATTCTCCACTTGCAAATTCCACAAAAAGAGTGTTTCCAATCTGCTCTGTCTAAAGGAAGGTTCAACTCTGTGAGTTGAATACACACACACAAAGAAGCTACTCAGAATTCTTTTGTCAAGAATTATAAGAAGAAATCCCGTTTCCAACGAAGGCCTCAAAGAGTTCCAAATATCCACTTGCACACTGCACAAACTAAGTCTTTCCAAACTGCTCTATGCAAAGAAATGTTCAACTCTGTGAGTTTAATCCACACATCACAAAGCAGTTTCTGAGAATGATACTGTCTAGTTTTTATACGAAGATATTTCCTTTTGTACCATTGGCCTCATACTGCTAGAATTTTCCACTTGCAAATTCCACAAAAAGAGTGTTTCCAATCCGCTCTGTCTAAAGGAAGGTTCAACTCTCTGATTTGAATACATACATCCCAAAAGAAGTTACTGAGAATTCTTCTGTCTAGCATTATGTGAAGAAATCCCGTTTCCAACGAAAGCCTCAAAGAGGTCCAAATATCCAGTTGCAGAATTTACAAACTGACTGTTTCCAAACTCATCTATGAAAAGAAAGGTTAAACTCTGGGAGTTGAATGCACATATCACAAAGTAGTTCCTGAGAATGATTCTGTCTAGTTTTCATACGAAGATATTTCCTTTTCCACCAATGGCCTCAAAGTGCTTGAAATCTCCCCTTGCAAATTCCACAGACAAGTGTTTCAAATCTGCACTGTCTAAAGGAAGGTTCAACCCTGTGAGTTGAATACACACACACAGAAAAAAATTCACTGAGAATTCTATTGTCTATCATTACACGAAGAAATCCCGTTTACTACGAAGGCCGCAAAGAGGTCCAAATATCCAGCTGCAGACATTTCAAACTGAGTGTTTCCAAAGTGCTCTATGAAAAGAAGTGTTAAACACTGTGAGTTCAATGCACACATCCCAAAGCAGTTTCTGAGAATGATTCCGTCTATTTTTTCTACGAAGATATTTCCTTTTCTGCCGTTGGCCTCAAAGCGCTTGAAATCTCCACTTGCAAATTCCACAAAAAGAGAGTTTCAAATCTGCTCTGTCTAAAGGAAGGTTCAACTCTGTGAGTTGAATACACACACACAGAAAGAATTCACTGAGAATTCTTCTGTCTGGCATTACATGAAGAAATCCCGTTTCCAACGAAGGCCTCAAAGAGGTCCAAATATCCACTTGCAGATTCTGCAAAAAGAGTGTTTCAAAACCGCTCCATTAAAAGGAATGTTGAACTCTGTGAGTTGAATGCAAACATCACAACTCAGTTGCTGAGAATGCTTCTGACTAGATTTTATGGTAAGATATTTCCTTTTCTACCGTAGGCTTCAATGCCCTCTAAATACACCCTTGCAAATTCTACAAAGAGACTGTTTCATAACTGCTCTATAGGAAGAAAGGTTCAACTCTGTGAGTTGAATGCAGAGATCACAACGTGGTTTCTGCGAATGATTCTTTGTAGTTTTTACATGAAGATATTTCGTTGTCAACCGTAGGCTTCAAAGCACTCAAAGTATTCACTTGGAACTTTTACAAAAAGAGTGTTAGAAAACTGCTCTTTCCAAAGTAAGGTTCAACTCTGTGAGTTGAATGCACACATAACAATCAAGAAGTTTCTGAGAATTCTTCTGTCCTGGTTTATATGAACAAATCCCGTTTCCAACGAAGTCCTCAAAGACGTTTAAATATCCACTTGCAGACTTCACAAACAGAGTGTTTCCAAACTGCTCTATGAAAAGAAAGGTTAAACTCTGTGAGTTGAACGCACACATCACAAAGTAGTTTCTGAGAATGATACTGTCTAGTTTTTATACGAAGATATTTCCTTTCTACCATTGGCGTCAAAGCGCTAGAATTCTCCACTTGCAAATTCCACAAAAAGAGTGTTTCCAATCTGCTCTGTCTCAAGGAAGGTTCAACTCTGTGAGTTGAATACACACACACAAAGAAGCTACTGAGAATTCTTTTGTCAAGAATTATAAGAAGAAATCCCGTTTCCAACGAAGGCCTCAAAGAGTTCCAAATATCCACTTGCACACTGCACAAACTAAGTCTTTCCAAACTGCTCTATGCAAAGAAATGTTCAACTCTGTGAGTTTAATACACACATCACAAAGCAGTTTCTGAGAATGATACTGTCTAGTTTTTATACGAAGATATTTCCTTTTGTACCATTGGCCTCATACTGCTAGAATTTTCCACTTGCAAATTCCACAAAAAGAGTGTTTCCAATCCGCTCTGTCTAAAGGAAGGTTCAACTCTCTGATTTGAATACATACATCCCAAAAGAAGTTACTGAGAATTCTTCTGTCTAGCATTATGTGAAGAAATCCCGTTTCCAACGAAAGCCTCAAAGAGGTCCAAATATCCAGTTGCAGAATTTACAAACTGACTGTTTCCAAACTCATCTATGAAAAGAAAGGTTAAACTCTGTGAGTTGAATGCACATATCACAAAGTAGTTCCTGAGAATGATTCTGTCTAGTTTTCATACGAAGATATTTCCTTTTCCACCAATGGCCTCAAAGTGCTTGAAATCTCCCCTTGCAAATTCCACAGACAAGTGTCTCAAATCTGCACTGTCTAAAGGAAGGTTCAACCCTGTGAGTTGAATACACACACACAGAAAAAAATTCACTGAGAATTCTATTGTCTATCATTACACGAAGAAATCCCGTTTACTACGAAGGCCTCAAAGAGGTCCAAATATCCAGCTGCAGACATTGCAAACTGAGTGTTTCCAAAGTGCTCTATGAAAAGAAGTGTTAAACACTGTGAGTTCAATGCACACATCCCAAAGCAGTTTCTGAGAATGATTCCGTCTATTTTTTCTACGAAGATATTTCCTTTTCTGCCGTTGGCCTCAAAGCGCTTGAAATCTCCACTTGCAAATTCCACAAAAAGAGAGTTTCAAATCTGCTCTGTCTAAAGGAAGGTTCAACTCTGTGAGTTGAATACACACCACAAAAAGAAGTTACTGAGAATTCTTCTGTCTAGCATTATATGAAAAATCCCGTTTCCAACGAAGGCCACAAAGAGGTCCAAATATCCACTTGCAGATTCTGCAAAAAGAGTGTTTCCAAACTGCTCTATGAAAAGAAACGTTAAACTCTGTGAGTTGAACGCAAACATCACAAAGTAGTTTCTGAGAATGACTCCGTCTAGTTTTTATACGAAGATATTTCCTTTCCTACCATTCACTTCAAAGCGCTTGAAGTCTCCCCCTGAAAATTCCACAAAAAGTGTTTCCAATCTGCTCCGCCTAAAGGAAGCTTCAACTCTGTGACTTGAATACCCACAACCCAAAGAAGTTACTGAGAATTCTTCTGTCTAGCATTATATGAAGAAATCCCGTTTCCAACGAAGGCCTCAAATACATCCAAATATCCAGTTGCTGACTTTACAAACTGAGTGTTTCCAAACTGCTCTATGAAAAGAAAGGTTAAACACTGTGAGTTGAACACACACGTACCAAAGTAGTTTCTGAGAATGATTCTGTCTAGTTTGCATACGAAGATATTTCCTTTTCTACCATTGGCCTCAAAGCTCTGAAATCTCCACTTGCAAATTCCACAAAAAGAGAGTTTCAAATCTGCTGTTTCTAAAGGAAAGTTCAACTCTGAGAGTTGAATACACACCAGAAAAAGCAGTTACTGAGAAGTCTTCTGTCTAGCATTATATGAAGAAATCCCATTTCCAACGAAGACTTCAAAGAGGTCCAAATATCCACTTGCAGATTCTGCAAAAAGAGTGTTTCGAAACAACTGTATGAAAAGAAAGGTTAAACACTGTGAGTTGAACGCACACATTGCAAAGCAGTTTCTGAGAATGATTCCGTCTAATTATTATACGAAGGTATTTCCTTTTCTATCATTGGCCTCAAAGCGCTTGATACCTCCACCTGAAAATTCCACAAAAAGAGTGTTTCCAATCTACTCTGTCTAAAGGAACGTTCAACTCTGTGAGTTGAATACACACACACAGAAAGAATTCACTGAGAATTCTTCTGTCTGGCATTACATGAAGAAATCCCGTTTCCAACGAAGGCCTCAAAGAGGTCCAAATATCCACTTGCAGATTCTGCAAAAAGAGTGTTTCAAAACCGCTCCATTAAAAGGAATGTTGAACTCTGTGAGTTGAATGCAAACATCACAACTCAGTTTCTGAGAATGCTTCTGACTAGATTTTATGGTAAGATATTTCCTTTTCTACCGTAGGCTTCAATGCCCTGTAAATACACCCTTGCAAATTCTACAAAGAGACTGTTTCATAACTGCTCTATTGGAGGAAAGGTTCAACTCTGTGAGTTGAATGCAGAGATCACAACGTGGTTTCTGCGAATGATTCTTTGTAGTTTTTACATGAAGATATTTCGTTGTCTACCGTAGGCTTCAAAGCACTCAAAGTATTCACTTGGAACTTTTACAAAAAGAGTGTTAGAAAACTGCTCTTTCCAAAGTAAGGTTCAACTCTGTGAGTTGAATGCACACATAACAAACAAGAAGTTTCTGAGAATTCTTCTGTCCTGGTTTATAGGAAGAAATCCCGTTTCCAACGAAGGCCTCAAAGACGTTTAAATATCCACTTGCAGACTTCACAAACAGAGTGTTTCCAAACTGCTCTATGAAAAGAAAGGGTAAACACTGTGAGTTGAACGCACACATCACAAAGTAGTTTCTGAGAATGATACTGTCTAGTTTTTATACGAAGATATTTCCTTTTGTACCACTGGCCTCAAATCGCTAGAATTCTCCACTTGCAAATTCCACAAAAAGAGTGTTTCCAATCTGCTCTGTCTAAAGGAAGGTTCAACTCTGTGAGTTGAACACACACACACACAAAGAAGCTACTGAGAATTCTTTTGTCAAGAATTATAAGAAGAAATCCCGTTTCCAACCAAGGCCTCAAAGAGTTCCAAATATCCACTTGCACACTGCACAAACTAAGTCTTTCCATACTGCTCTATGCAAAGAAATGTTCAAATCTGTGAGTTTAATACACACATCACAAAGCAGTTTCTGAGAATGATACTGTCTAGTTTTTATACGAAGATATTTCCTTTTGTACCATTGGCCTCATACTGCTAGAATTTTCCACTTGCAAATTCCACAAAAAGAGAGTTTCCAATCCGCTCTGTCTAAAGGAAGGTTCAACTCTCTGATTTGAATACATACATCCCAAAAGAAGTTACTGAGAATTCTTCTGTCTAGCATTATGTGAAGAAATCCCGTTTCCAACGAAAGCCTCAAAGAGGTCCAAATATCCAGTTGCAGAATTTACAAACTGACTGTTTCCAAACTCATCTATGAAAAGAAAGGTTAAACTCTGTGAGTTGAATGCACATATCACAAAGTAGTTCCTGAGAATGATTCTGTCTAGTTTTCATACGAAGATATTTCCTTTTCCACCAATGGCCTCAAAGTGCTTGAAATCTCCCCTTGCAAATTCCACAGACAAGTGTTTCAAATCTGCACTGTCTAAAGGAAGGTTCAACCCTGTGAGTTGAATACACACACACAGAAAAAAATTCACTGAGAATTCTATTGTCTATCATTACACGAAGAAATCCCGTTTACCACGAAGGCCTCAAAGAGGTCCAAATATCCAGCTGCAGACATTACAAACTGAGTGTTTCCAAAGTGCTCTATGAAAAGAAGTGTTAAACACTGTGAGTTCAATGCACACATCCCAAAGCAGTTTCTGAGAATGATTCCGTCTATTTTTTCTACGAAGATATTTCCTTTTCTGCCGTTGGCCTCAAAGCGCTTGAAATCTCCACTTGCAAATTCCACAAAAAGAGAGTTTCAAATCTGCTCTGTCTAAAGGAAGGTTCAACTCTGTGAGTTGAATACACACCACAAAAAGAAGTTACTGAGAATTCTTCTGTCTAGCATTATATGAAAAATCCCGTTTCCAACGAAGGCCACAAAGAGGTCCAAATATCCACTTGCAGATTCTGCAAAAAGAGTGTTTCCAAACTGCTCTATGAAAAGAAACGTTAAACTCTGTGAGTTGAACGCAAACATCACAAAGTAGTTTCTGAGAATGACTCCGTCTAGTTTTTATACGAAGATATTTCCTTTCCTACCATTCACTTCAAAGCGCTTGAAGTCTCCCCCTGAAAATTCCACAAAAAGTGTTTCCAATCTGCTCCGCCTAAAGGAAGCTTCAACTCTGTGACTTGAATACCCACAACCCAAAGAAGTTACTGAGAATTCTTCTGTCTAGCATTATATGAAGAAATCCCGTTTCCAACGAAGGCCTCAAATACATCCAAATATCCAGTTGCTGACTTTACAAACTGAGTGTTTCCAAACTGCTCTATGAAAAGAAAGGTTAAACACTGTGAGTTGAACACACACGTACCAAAGTAGTTTCTGAGAATGATTCTGTCTAGTTTGCATACGAAGATATTTCCTTTTCTACCATTGGCCTCAAAGCTCTGAAATCTCCACTTGCAAATTCCACAAAAAGAGAGTTTCAAATCTGCTGTTTCTAAAGGAAAGTTCAACTCTGAGAGTTGAATACACACCAGAAAAAGCAGTTACTGAGAAGTCTTCTGTCTAGCATTATATGAAGAAATCCCATTTCCAACGAAGACTTCAAAGAGGTCCAAATATCCACTTGCAGATTCTGCAAAAAGAGTGTTTCGAAACAACTGTATGAAAAGAAAGGTTAAACACTGTGAGTTGAACGCACACATTGCAAAGCAGTTTCTGAGAATGATTCCGTCTAATTATTATACGAAGGTATTTCCTTTTCTATCATTGGCCTCAAAGCGCTTGATACCTCCACCTGAAAATTCCACAAAAAGAGTGTTTCCAATCTACTCTGTCTAAAGGAACGTTCAACTCTGTGAGTTGAATACACACACAGAGAAAGAATTCACTGAGAATTCTTCTGTCTGGCATTACATGAAGAAATCCCGTTTTCAACGAAGGCCTCAAAGAGGTCCAAATATCCACTTGCAGATTCTGCAAAAAGAGTGTTTCAAAACCGCTCCATGAAAAGGAATGTTGAACTCTGTGAGTTGAATGCAAACATCACAACTCAGTTTCTGAGAATGCTTCTGACTAGATTTTATGGTCAGATATTTCCTTTTCTACCGTAGGCTTCAATGCCCTCTAAATACACCCTTGCAAATTCTACAAAGAGACTGTTTAATAACTGCTCTATAGGAAGAAAGGTTGAACTCTGTGAGTTGAATGCAGAGATCACAACGTGGTTTCTGCGAATGATTCTTTGTAGTTTTTACATGAAGATATTTCGTTGTCAACCGTAGGCTTCAAAGCACTCAAAGTATTCACTTGGAACTTTTACAAAACGAGTGTTAGGAAACTGCTCTTTCCAAAGTAAGGTTCAACTCTGTGAGTTGAATGCACACATAACAATCAAGAAGTTTCTGAGAATTCTTCTGTCCTGGTTTATATGAAGAAATCCCGTTTCCAACGAAGGCCTCAAAGACGTTTAAATATCCACTTGCAGACTTCACAAACAGAGTGTTTCCAAACTGCTCTATGAAAAGAAAGGTTAAACTCTGTGAGTTGAACGCACACCTCACAAAGTAGTTTCTGAGAATGATACTGTCTAGTTTTTATACGAAGATATTTCCTTTTGTACCATTGGCCTCATACTGCTAGAATTTTCCACTTGCAAATTCCACAAAAAGAGTGTTTCCACTCTGCTCTGTCTAAAGGAAGGTTCAACTCTGTGAGTTGAGTACACACACACAAAGAAGCTACTGAGAATTCTTTTGTCAAGAATTATAAGAAGAAATCCCGTTTCCAACCAAGGCCTCAAAGAGTTCCAAATATCCACTTGCACACTGCACAAACTAAGTCTTTCCATACTGCTCTATGCAAAGAAATGTTCAAATCTGTGAGTTTAATACACACATCACAAAGCAGTTTCTGAGAATGATACTGTCTAGTTTTTATACGAAGATATTTCCTTTTGTACCATTGGCCTCATACTGCTAGAATTTTCCACTTGCAAATTCCACAAAAAGAGTGTTTCCAATCCGCTCTGTCTAAAGGAAGGTTCAACTCTCTGATTTGAATACATACATCCCAAAAGAAGTTACTGAGAATTCTTCTGTCTAGCATTATGTGAAGAAATCCCGTTTCCAACGAAAGCCTCAAAGAGGCCCAAATATCCAGTTGCAGCATTTACAAACTGACTGTTTCCAAACTCATCTATGAAAAGAAAGGTTAAACTCTGTGAGTTGAATGCACATATCACAAAGTAGTTCCTGAGAATGATTCTGTCTAGTTTTTATACGAAGATATTTCCTTTTCCACCAATGGCCTCAAAGTGCTTGAAATCTCCCCTTGCAAATTCCACAGACAAGTGTCTCAAATCTGCACTGTCTAAAGGAAGGTTCAACCCTGTGAGTTGAATACACACACACAGAAAAAAATTCACTGAGAATTCTATTGTCTATCATTACCCGAAGAAATCCCGTTTACTACGAAGGCCTCAAAGAGGTCCAAATATCCAGCTGCAGACATTACAAACTGAGTGTTTCCAAAGTGCTCTATGAAAAGAAGTGTTAAACACTGTGAGTTCAATGCACACATCCCAAAGCAGTTTCTGAGAATGATTCCGTCTATTTTTTCTACGAAGATATTTCCTTTTCTACCGTTGGCCTCAAAGCGCTTGAAATCTCCACTTGCAAATTCCACAAAAAGAGAGTTTCAAATCTGCTCTGTCTAAAGGAAGGTTCAACTCTGTGAGTTGAATACACACCACAAAAAGAAGTTACTGAGAATTCTTCTGTCTAGCATTATATGAAAAATCCCGTTTCCAACGAAGGCCACAAAGAGGTCCAAATATCCACTTGCAGATTCTGCAAAAAGAGTGTTTCCAAACTGCTCTATGAAAAGAAACGTTAAACTCTGTGAGTTGAACGCAAACATCACAAAGTAGTTTCTGAGAATGACTCCGTCTAGTTTTTATACGAAGATATTTCCTTTTCTACCATTCACTTCAAAGCGCTTGAAGTCTCCCCCTGAAAATTCCACAAAAAGTGTTTCCAATCTGCTCCGCCTAAAGGAAGCTTCAACTCTGTGAGTTGAATACCCACAACCCAAAGAAGTTACTGAGAATTCTTCTGTCTAGCACTATATGAAGAAATCCCGTTTCCAACGAAGGCCTCAAATACATCCAAATATCCAGTTGCTGACTTTACAAACTGAGTGTTTCCAAACTGCTCTATGAAAAGAAAGGTTAAACACTGTGACTTGAACACACACGTACCAAAGTAGTTTCTGAGAATGATTCTGTCTAGTTTGCATACGAAGATATTTCCTTTTCTACCATTGGCCTCAAAGCTTTGAAATCTCCACTTGCAAATTCCACAAAAAGAGAGTTTCAACTCTGCTGTTTCTAAAGGAAAGTTCAACTCTGAGAGTTGAATACACACCAGAAAAAGCAGTTACTGAGAAGTCTTCTGTCTAGCATTATATGAAGAAATCCCATTTCCAACGAAGACTTCAAAGAGGTCCAAATATCCACTTGCAGATTCTGCAAAAAGAGTGTTTCGAAACAACTGTATGAAAAGAAAGGTTAAACACTGTGAGTTGAACGCACACATTGCAAAGCAGTTTCTGAGAATGATTCCGTCTAATTATTATACGAAGGTATTTCCTTTTCTATCATTGGCCTCAAAGCGCTTGATACCTCCACCTGAAAATTCCACAAAAAGAGTGTTTCCAATCTACTCTGTCTAAAGGAACGTTCAACTCTGTGAGTTGAATACACACACACAGAAAGAATTCACTGAGAATTCTTCTGTCTGGCATTACATGAAGAAATCCCGTTTCCAACGAAGGCCTCAAAGAGGTCCAAATATCCACTTGCAGATTCTGCAAAAAGAGTGTTTCAAAACCGCTCCATTAAAAGGAATGTTGAACTCTGTGAGTTGAATGCAAACATCACAACTCAGTTGCTGAGAATGCTTCTGACTAGATTTTATGGTAAGATATTTCCTTTTCTACCGTAGGCTTCAATGCCCTCTAAATACACCCTTGCAAATTCTACAAAGAGACTGTTTCATAACTGCTCTATAGGAAGAAAGGTTGAACTCTGTGAGTTGAATGCAGAGATCACAACGTGGTTTCTGCGAATGATTCTTTGTAGTTTTTACATGAAGATATTTCGTTGTCAACCGTAGGCTTCAAAGCACTCAAAGTATTCACTTGGAACTTTTACAAAAAGAGTGTTAGAAAACTGCTCTTTCCAAAGTAAGGTTCAACTCTGTGAGTTGAATGCACACATAACAATCAAGAAGTTTCTGAGAATTCTTCTGTCCTGGTTTATATGAAAAAATCCCGTTTCCAACGAAGGCCTCAGAGACTTTTAAATATCCACTTGCAGACTTCACAAACAGAGTGTTTCCAAACTGCTCTATGAAAAGAAAGGTTAAACTCTGTGAGTTGAACGCACACATCACAAAGTTGTTTCTGAGAAAGATACTGTCTAGTTTTTATACGAAGATATTTCCTTTCTACCATTGGCGTCAAAGCGTTAGAATTCTCCACTTGCAAATTCCACAAAAAGAGTGTTTCCAATCTGCTCTGTCTAAAGGAAGGTTCAACTCTGTGAGTTGAATACACACACACAAAGAAGCTACTGAGAATTCTTTTGTCAAGAATTATAAGAAGAAATCCCGTTTCCAACGAAGGCCTCAAAGAGTTCCAAATATCCACTTGCACACTGCACAAACTAAGTCTTTCCAAACTGCTCTATGCAAAGAAATGTTCAACTCTGTGAGTTTAATTCACACATCACAAAGCAGTTTCTGAGAACGATACTGTCTAGTTTTTATACGAAGATATTTCCTTTTGTACCATTGGCCTCATACTGCTAGAATTTTCCACTTGCAAATTCCACAAAAAGAGTGTTTCCAATCCGCTCTGTCTAAAGGAAGGTTCAACTCTCTGATTTGAATACATACATCCCAAAAGAAGTTACTGAGAATTCTTCTGTCTAGCATTATGTGAAGAAATCCCGTTTCCAACGAAAGCCTCAAAGAGGTCCAAATATCCAGTTGCAGAATTTACAAACTGACTGTTTCCAAACTCATCTATGAAAAGAAAGGTTAAACTCTGGGAGTTGAATGCCCATATCACAAAGTAGTTCCTGAGAATGATTCTGTATAGTTTTCATACGAAGATATTTCCTTTTCCACCAATGGCCTCAAAGTGCTTGAAATCTCCCCTTGCAAATTCCACAGACAAGTGTTTCAAATCTGCACTGTCTAAAGGATGGTTCAACCCTGTGAGTTGAATACACACACACAGAAAAAAATTCACTGAGAATTCTATTGTCTATCATTACACGAAGAAATCCCGTTTACTACGAAGGCCTCAAAGAGGTCCAAATATCCAGCTGCAGACATTACAAACTGAGCGTTTCCAAAGTGCTCTATGAAAAGAAGTGTTAAACACTGTGAGTTCAATGCACACATCCCAAAGCAGTTTCTGAGAATGATTCCGTCTATTTTTTCTACGAAGATATTTCCTTTTCTGCCGTTGGCCTCAAAGCGCTTGAAATCTCCACTTGCAAATTCCACAAAAAGAGAGTTTCAAATCTGCTCTGTCTAAAGGAAGGTTCAACTCTGTGAGTTGAATACACACCACAAAAAGAAGTTACTGAGAATTCTTCTGTCTAGCATTATATGAAAAATCCCGTTTCCAACGAAGGCCACAAAGAGGTCCAAATATCCACTTGCAGATTCTGCAAAAAGAGTGTTTCCAAACTGCTCTATGAAAAGAAACGTTAAACTCTGTGAGTTGAACGCAAACATCACAAAGTAGTTTCTGAGAATGACTCCGTCTAGTTTTTATACGAAGATATTTCCTTTCCTACCATTCACTTCAAAGCGCTTGACGTCTCCCCCTGAAAATTCCACAAAAAGTGTTTCCAATCTGCTCCGCCTAAAGGAAGCTTCAACTCTGTGACTTGAATACCCACAACCCAAAGAAGTTACTGAGAATTCTTCTGTCTAGCATTATATGAAGAAATCCCGTTTCCAACGAAGGCCTCAAATACATCCAAATATCCAGTTGCTGACTTTACAAACTGAGTGTTTCCAAACTGCTCTATGAAAAGAAAGGTTAAACACTCTGAGTTGAACACACACGTACCAAAGTAGTTTCTGAGAATGATTCTGTCTAGTTTGCATACGAAGATATTTCCTTTTCTACCATTGGCCTCAAAGCTCTGAAATCTCCACTTGCAAATTCCACAAAAAGAGAGTTTCAAATCTGCTGTTTCTAAAGGAAAGTTCAAATCTGGGAGTTGAATACACACCAGAAAAAGCAGTTACTGAGAAGTCTTCTGTCTAGCATTATATGAAGAAATCCCATTTCCAACGAAGACTTCAAAGAGGTCCAAATATCCACTTGCAGATTCTGCAAAAAGAGTGTTTCGAAACAACTGTATGAAAAGAAAGGTTAAACACTGTGAGTTGAACGCACACATTGCAAAGCAGTTTCTGAGAATGATTCCGTCTAATTATTATACGAAGGTATTTCCTTTTCTATCATTGGCCTCAAAGCGCTTGATACCTCCACCTGAAAATTCCACAAAAAGAGTGTTTCCAATCTACTCTGTCTAAAGGAACGTTCAACTCTGTGAGTTGAATACACACACACAGAAAGAATTCACTGAGAATTCTTCTGTCTGGCATTACATGAAGAAATCCCGTTTCCAACGAAGGCCTCAAAGCAGGTCCAAATATCCACTTGCAGATTCTGCAAAAAGAGTGTTTCAAAACCGCTCCATTAAAAGGAATGTTGAACTCTGTGAGTTGAATGGAAACATCACAACTCAGTTGCTGAGAATGCTTCTGACTAGATTTTATGGTAAGATATTTCCTTTTCTACCGTAGGCTTCAATGCCCTCTAAATACACCCTTGCAAATTCTACAAAGAGACTGTTTCATAACTGCTCTATAGGAAGAAAGGTTGAACTCTGTGAGTTGACTGCAGAGATCACAACGTGGTTTCTGCGAATGATTCTTTGTAGTTTTTACATGAAGATATTTCGTTGTCAACCGTAGGCTTCAAAGCACTCAAAGTATTCACTTGGAACTTTTACAAAAAGAGTGTTAGAAAACTGCTCTTTCCAAAGTAAGGTTCAACTCTGTGAGTTGAATGCACACATAACAATCAAGAAGTTTCTGAGAATTCTTTCTGTCCTGGTTTATATGAAGAAATCCCGTTTCCAACGAAGGCCTCAAAGACGTTTAAATATCCACTTGCAGACTTCACAAACAGAGGGTTTCCAAACTGCTCTATGAAAAGAAAGGTTAAACTCTGTGAGTTGAACGCACACATCACAAAGTAGCTTCTGAGAATGATACTGTCTAGTTTTTATACGAAGATATTTCCTTTCTACCATTGGCGTCAAAGCGCTAGAATTCTCCACTTGCAAATTCCACAAAAAGAGTGTTTCCAATCTGCTCTGTCTAAAGGAAGGTTCAACTCTGTGAGTTGAATACACACACACAAAGAAGCTACTGAGAATTCTTTTGTCAAGAATTATAAGAAGAAATCCCGTTTCCAACGAAGGCCTCAAAGAGTTCCAAATATCCACTTGCACACTGCACAAACTAAGTCTTTCCAAACTGCTCTATGCAAAGAAATGTTCAACTCTGTGAGTTTAATACACACATCACAAAGCAGTTTCTGAGAATGATACTGTCTAGTTTTTATACGAAGATATTTCCTTTTGTACCATTGGCCTTATACTGCTAGAATTTTCCACTTGCAAATTCCACAAAAAGAGTGTTTCCAATCGGCTCTGTCTAAAGGAAGGTTCAACTCTCTGATTTGAATACATACATCCCAAAAGAAGTTACTGAGAATTCTTCTGTCTAGCTTTATGTGAAGAAATCCCGTTTCCAACGAAAGCCTCAAAGAGGTCCAAATATCCAGTTGCAGAATTTACAAACTGACTGTTTCCAAACTCATCTATGAAAAGAAAGGTTAAACTCTGGGAGTTGAATGCACATATCACAAAGTAGTTCCTGAGAATGATTCTGTCTAGTTTTCATACGAAGATATTTCCTTTTCCACCAATGGCCTCAAAGTGCTTGAAATCTCCCCTTGCAAATTCCACAGACAAGTGTCTCAAATCTGCACTGTCTAAAGGAAGGTTCAACCCTGTGAGTTGAATACACACACACAGAAAAAAATTCACTGAGAATTCTATTGTCTATCATTACACGAAGAAATCCCGTTTACTACGAAGGCCTCAAAGAGGTCCAAATATCCAGCTGCAGACATTACAAACTGAGTGTTTCCAAAGTGCTCTATGAAAAGAAGTGTTAAACACTGTGAGTTCAATGCACACATCCCAAAGCAGTTTCTGAGAATGATTCCGTCTATTTTTTCTACGAAGATATTTCCTTTTCTGCCGTTGGCCTCAAAGCGCTTGAAATCTCCACTTGCAAATTCCACAAAAAGAGAGTTTCAAATCTGCTCTGTCTAAAGGAAGGTTCAACTCTGTGAGTTGAATACACACCACAAAAAGAAGTTACTGAGAATTCTTCTGTCTAGCATTATATGAAAAATCCCGTTTCCAACGAAGGCCACAAAGAGGTCCAAATATCCACTTGCAGATTCTGCAAAAAGAGTGTTTCCAAACTGCTCTATGAAAAGAAACGTTAAACTCTGTGAGTTGAACGCAAACATCACAAAGTAGTTTCTGAGAATGACTCCGTCTAGTTTTTATACGAAGATATTTCCTTTCCTACCATTCACTTCAAAGCGCTTGAAGTCTCCCCCTGAAAATTCCACAAAAAGTGTTTCCAATCTGCTCCGCCTAAAGGAAGCTTCAACTCTGTGACTTGAATACCCACAACCCAAAGAAGTTACTGAGAATTCTTCTGTCTAGCATTATATGAAGAAATCCCGTTTCCAACGACGGCCTCAAATACATCCAAATATCCAGTTGCTGACTTTACAAACTGAGTGTTTCCAAACTGCTCTATGAAAAGAAAGGTTAAACACTGTGAGTTGAACACACACGTACCAAAGTAGTTTCTGAGAATGATTCTGTCTAGTTTGCATACGAAGATATTTCCTTTTCTACCATTGGCCTCAAAGCTCTGAAATCTCCACTTGCAAATTCCACAAAAAGAGAGTTTCAACTCTGCTGTTTCTAAAGGAAAGTTCAACTCTGAGAGTTGAATACACACCAGAAAAAGCAGTTACTGAGAAGTCTTCTGTCTAGCATTATATGAAGAAATCCCATTTCCAACGAAGACTTCAAAGAGGTCCAAATATCCACTTGCAGATTCTGCAAAAAGAGTGTTTCGAAACAACTGTATGAAAAGAAAGGTTAAACACTGTGAGTTGAACGCACACATTGCAAAGCAGTTTCTGAGAATGATTCCGTCTAATTATTATACGAAGGTATTTCCTTTTCTATCATTGGCCTCAAAGCGCTTGATACCTCCACCTGAAAATTCCACAAAAAGAGTGTTTCCAATCTACTCTGTCTAAAGGAACGTTCAACTCTGTGAGTTGAATACACACACACAGAAAGAATTCACTGAGAATTCTTCTGTCTGGCATTACATGAAGAAATCCCGTTTCCAACGAAGGCCTCAAAGAGGTCCAAATATCCACTTGCAGATTCTGCAAAAAGAGTGTTTCAAAACCGCTCCATTAAAAGGAATGTTGAACTCTGTGAGTTGAATGCAAACATCACAACTCAGTTGCTGAGAATGCTTCTGACTAGATTTTATGGTAAGATATTTCCTTTTCTACCGTAGGCTTCAATGCCCTCTAAATACACCCTTGCAAATTCTACAAAGAGACTGTTTCATAACTGCTCTATAGGAAGAAAGGTTCAACTCTGTGAGTTGAATGCAGAGATCACAACGTGGTTTCTGCGAATGATTCTTTGTAGTTTTTACATGAAGATATTTCGTTGTCAACCGTAGGCTTCAAAGCACTCAAAGTATTCACTTGGAACTTTTACAAAAAGAGTGTTAGAAAACTGCTCTTTCCAAAGTAAGGTTCAACTCTGTGAGTTGAATGCACACATAACAATCAAGAAGTTTCTGAGAATTCTTCTGTCCTGGTTTATATGAAAAAATCCCGTTTCCAACGAAGGCCTCAAAGACGTTTAAATATCCACTTGCAGACTTCACAAACAGAGGGTTTCCAAACTGCTCTATGAAAAGAAAGGTTAAACTCTGTGAGTTGAACGCACACATCACAAAGTAGCTTCTGAGAATGATACTGTCTAGTTTTTATACGAAGATATTTCCTTTCTACCATTGGCGTCAAAGCGCTAGAATTCTCCACTTGCAAATTCCACAAAAAGAGTGTTTCCAATCTGCTCTGTCTAAAGGAAGGTTCAACTCTGTGAGTTGAATACACACACACAAAGAAGCTACTGAGAATTCTTTTGTCAAGAATTATAAGAAGAAATCCCGTTTCCAACGAAGGCCTCAAAGAGTTCCAAATATCCACTTGCACACTGCACAAACTAAGTCTTTCCAAACTGCTCTATGCAAAGAAATGTTCAACTCTGTGAGTTTAATACACACATCACAAAGCAGTTTCTGAGAATGATACTGTCTAGTTTTTATACGAAGATATTTCCTTTTGTACCATTGGCCTCATACTGCTAGAATTTTCCACTTGCAAATTCCACAAAAAGAGTGTTTCCAATCCGCTCTGTCTACAGGAAGGTTCAACTCTCTGATTTGAATATATACATCCCAAAAGAAGTTACTGAGAATTCTTCTGTCTAGCATTATGTGAAGAAATCCCGTTTCCAACAAAAGCCTCAAAGAGGTCCAAATATCCAGTTGCAGAATTTACAAACTGACTGTTTCCAAACTCATCTATGAAAAGAAAGGTTAAACTCTGTGAGTTGAATGCACATATCACAAAGTAGTTCCTGAGAATGATTCTGTCTAGTTTTCATACGAAGATATTTCCTTTTCCACCAATGGCCTCAAAGTGCTTGAAATCTCCCCTTGCAAATTCCACAGACAAGTGTTTCAAATCTGCACTGTCTAAAGGAAAGTTCAACCCTGTGAGTTGAATACACACACACAGAAAAAAATTCACTGAGAATTCTATTGTCTATCATTACACGAAGAAATCCCGTTTACTACGAAGGCCTCAAAGAGGTCCAAATATCCAGCTGCAGACATTACAAACTGAGTGTTTCCAAAGTGCTCTATGAAAAGAAGTGTTAAACACTGTGAGTTCAATGCACACATCCCAAAGCAGTTTCTGAGAATGATTCCGTCTATTTTTTCTACGAAGATATTTCCTTTTCTGCCGTTGGCCTCAAAGCGCTTGAAATCTCCACTTGCAAATTCCACAAAAAGAGAGTTTCAAATCTGCTCTGTCTAAAGGAAGGTTCAACTCTGTGAGTTGAATACACACCACAAAAAGAAGTTACTGAGAATTCTTCTGTCTAGCATTATATGAAAAATCCCGTTTCCAACGAAGGCCACAAAGAGGTCCAAATATCCACTTGCAGATTCTGCAAAAAGAGTGTTTCCAAACTGCTCTATGAAAAGAAACGTTAAACTCTGTGAGTTGAACGCAAACATCACAAAGTAGTTTCTGAGAATGACTCCGTCTAGTTTTTATACGAAGATATTTCCTTTCCTACCATTCACTTCAAAGCGCTTGAAGTCTCCCCCTGAAAATTCCACAAAAAGTGTTTCCAATCTGCTCCGCCTAAAGGAAGCTTCAACTCTGTGACTTGAATACCCACAACCCAAAGAAGTTACTGAGAATTCTTCTGTCTAGCATTATATGAAGAAATCCCGTTTCCAACGAAGGCCTCAAATACATCCAAGTATCCAGTTGCTGACTTTACAAACTGAGTGTTTCCAAACTGCTCTATGAAAAGAAAGGTTAAACACTGTGAGTTGAACACACACGTACCAAAGTAGTTTCTGAGAATGATTCTGTCTAGTTTGCATACGAAGATATTTCCTTTTCTACCATTGGCCTCAAAGCTCTGAAATCTCCACTTGCAAATTCCACAAAAAGAGAGTTTCAAATCTGCTGTTTCTAAAGGAAAGTTCAACTCTGAGAGTTGAATACACACCAGAAAAAGCAGTTACTGAGAAGTCTTCTGTCTAGCATTATATGAAGAAATCCCATTTCCAACGAAGACTTCAAAGAGGTCCAAATATCCACTTGCAGATTCTGCAAAAAGAGTGTTTCGAAACAACTGTATGAAAAGAAAGGTTAAACACTGTGAGTTGAACGCACACATTGCAAAGCAGTTTCTGAGAATGATTCCGTCTAATTATTATACGAAGGTATTTCCTTTTCTATCATTGGCCTCAAAGCGCTTGATACCTCCACCTGAAAATTCCACAAAAAGAGTGTTTCCAATCTACTCTGTCTAAAGGAACGTTCAACTCTGTGAGTTGAATAAACACACACAGAAAGAATTCACTGAGAATTCTTCTGTCTGGCATTACATGAAGAAATCCCGTTTCCAACGAAGGCCTCAAAGCAGGTCCAAATATCCACTTGCAGATTCTGCAAAAAGAGTGTTTCAAAACCGCTCCATTAAAAGGAATGTTGAACTCTGTGAGTTGAATGGAAACATCACAACTCAGTTGCTGAGAATGCTTCTGACTAGATTTTATGGTAAGATATTTCCTTTTCTACCGTAGGCTTCAATGCCCTCTAAATACACCCTTGCAAATTCTACAAAGAGACTGTTTCATAACTGCTCTATAGGAAGAAAGGTTGAACTCTGTGAGTTGAATGCAGAGATCACAACGTGGTTTCTGCGAATGATTCTTTGTAGTTTTTACATGAAGATATTTCGTTGTCAACCGTAGGCTTCAAAGCACTCAAAGTATTCACTTGGAACTTTTACAAAAAGAGTGTTAGAAAACTGCTCTTTCCAAAGTAAGGTTCAACTCTGTGAGTTGAATGCACACATAACAATCAAGAAGTTTCTGAGAATTCTTCTGTCCTGGTTTATATGAAAAAATCCCGTTTCCAACGAAGGCCTCAAAGACGTTTAAATATCCACTTGCAGACTTCACAAACAGAGGGTTTCCAAACTGCTCTATGAAAAGAAAGGTTAAACTCTGTGAGTTGAACGCACACATCACAAAGTAGCTTCTGAGAATGATACTGTCTAGTTTTTATACGAAGATATTTCCTTTCTACCATTGGCGTCAAAGCGCTAGAATTCTCCACTTGCAAATTCCACAAAAAGAGTGTTTCCAATCTGCTCTGTCTAAAGGAAGGTTCAACTCTGTGAGTTGAATACACACACACAAAGAAGCTACTGAGAATTCTTTTGTCAAGAATTATAAGAAGAAATCCCGTTTCCAACGAAGGCCTCAAAGAGTTCCAAATATCCACTTGCACACTGCACAAACTAAGTCTTTCCAAACTGCTTTAAGCAAAGAAATGTTCAACTCTGTGAGTTTAATACACACATCACAAAGCAGTTTCTGAGAATGATACTGTCTAGTTTTTATACGAAGATATTTCCTTTTGTACCATTGGCCTCATACTGCTAGAATTTTCCACTTGCAAATTCCACAAAAAGAGTGTTTCCAATCCGCTCTGTCTAAAGGAAGGTTCAACTCTCTGATTTGAATACATACATCCCAAAAGAAGTTACTGAGAATTCTTCTGTCTAGCATTATGTGAAGAAATCCCGTTTCCAACGAAAGCCTCAAAGAGGTCCAAATATCCAGTTGCAGAATTTACAAACTGACTGTTTCCAAACTCATCTATGAAAAGAAAGGTTAAACCCTGTGAGTTGAATGCACATATCACAAAGTACTTCCTGAGAATGATTCTGTCTAGTTTTTATACGAAGATATTTCCTTTTCCACCAATGGCCTCAAAGTGCTTGAAATCTCCCCTTGCAAATTCCACAGAAAAGTGTTTCAAATCTGCACTGCCTGAAGGAAGGTTCAACCCTGTGAGTTGAATACACACACACAGAAAAAAATTCACTGAGAATTCTATTGTCTATCATTACACGAAGAAATCCCGTTTACTACGAAGGCCTCAAAGAGGTCCAAATATCCAGCTGCAGACATTACAAACTGAGTGTTTCCAAAGTGCTCTATGAAAAGAAGTGTTAAACACTGTGAGTTCAATGCACACATCCCAAAGCAGTTTCTGAGAATGATTCCGTCTATTTTTTCTACGAAGATATTTCCTTTTCTACCATTGGCCTCAAAGCGCTTGAAATCTCCACTTGCAAATTCCACAAAAAGAGAGTTTCAAATCTGCTCTGTCTAAAGGAAGGTTCAACTCTGTGAGTTGAATACACACCACAAAAAGAAGTTACTGAGAATTCTTCTGTCTAGCATTATATGAAAAATCCCGTTTCCAACGAAGGCCACAAAGAGGTCCAAATATCCACTTGCAGATTCTGCAAAAAGAGTGTTTCCAAACTGCTCTATGAAAAGAAACGTTAAACTCTGTGAGTTGAATGCAAACATCACAAAGTAGTTTCTGAGAATGACTCCGTCTAGTTTTTATACGAAGATATTTCCTTTCCTACCATTCACTTCAAAGCGCTTGAAGTCTCCCCCTGAAAATTCCACAAAAAGTGTTTCCAATCTGCTCCGCCTAAAGGAAGCTTCAACTCTGTGAGTTGAATACCCACAACCCAAAGAAGTTACTGAGAATTCTTCTGTCTAGCATTATATGAAGAAATCCCGTTTCCAACGAAGGCCTCAAATACATCCAAATATCCAGTTGCTGACTTTACAAACTGAGTGTTTCCAAACTGCTCTATGAAAAGAAAGGTTAAACACTGTGAGTTGAACACACACGTACCAAAGTAGTTTCTGAGAATGATTCTGTCTAGTTTGCATACGAAGATATTTCCTTTTCTACCATTGGCCTCAAAGCTCTGAAATCTCCACTTGCAAATTCCACAAAAAGAGAGTTTCAAATCTGCTGTTTCTAAAGGAAAGTTCAACTCTGAGAGTTGAATACACACCAGAAAAAGCAGTTACTGAGAAGTCTTCTGTCTAGCATTATATGAAGAAATCCCATTTCCAACGAAGACTTCAAAGAGGTCCAAATATCCACTTGCAGATTCTGCAAAAAGAGTGTTTCGAAACAACTGTATGAAAAGAAAGGTTAAACACTGTGAGTTGAACGCACACATTGCAAAGCGGTTTCTGAGAATGATTCCGTCTAATTATTATACGAAGGTATTTCCTTTTCTATCATTGGCCTCAAAGCGCTTGATACCTCCACCTGAAAATTCCACAAAAAGAGTGTTTCCAATCTACTCTGTCTAAAGGAACGTTCAACTCTGTGAGTTGAATACACACACACAGAAAGAATTCACTGAGAATTCTTCTGTCTGGCATTACATGAAGAAATCCCGTTTCCAACGAAGGCCTCAAAGAGGTCCAAATATCCACTTGCAGATTCTGCAAAAAGAGTGTTTCAAAACCGCTCCATTAAAAGGAATGTTGAACTCTGTGAGTTGAATGCAAACATCACAACTCAGTTTCTGAGAATGCTTCTGACTAGATTTTATGGTAAGATATTTCCTTTTCTACCGTAGGCTTCAATGCCCTGTAAATACACCCTTGCAAATTCTACAAAGAGACTGTTTCATAACTGCTCTACAGGAGGAAAGGTTCAACTCTGTGAGTTGAATGCAGAGATCACAACGTGGTTTCTGCGAATGATTCTTTGTAGTTTTTACATGAAGATATTTCGTTGTCTACCATAGGCTTCAAAGCACTCAAAGTATTCACTTGGAACTTTTACAAAAAGAGTGTTAGAAAACTGCTCTTTCCAAAGTAAGGTTCAACACTGTGAGTTGAATGCACACATAACAAACAAGAAGTTTCTGAGAATTCTTCTGTCCTGGTTTATAGGAAGAAATCCCGTTTCCAACGAAGGCCTCAAAGACGTTTAAATATCCACTTGCAGACTTCACAAACAGAGTGTTTCCAAACTGCTCTATGAAAAGAAAGGGTAAACACTGTGAGTTGAACGCACACCTCACAAAGTAGTTTCTGAGAATGATACTGTCTAGTTTTTATACGAAGATATTTCCTTTTGTACCATTGGCCTCATACTGCTAGAATTTTCCACTTGCAAATTCCACAAAAAGAGTGTTTCCAATCCGCTCTGTCTAAAGGAAGGTTCAACTCTCTGATTTGAATACATACATCCCAAAAGAAGTTACTGAGAATTCTTCTGTCTAGCATTATGTGAAGAAATCCCGTTTCCAACGAAAGCCTCAAAGAGGCCCAAATATCCAGTTGCAGCATTTACAAACTGACTGTTTCCAAACTCATCTATGAAAAGAAAGGTTAAACTCTGTGAGTTGAATGCACATATCACAAAGTAGTTCCTGAGAATGATTCTGTCTAGTTTTTATACGAAGATATTTCCTTTTCCACCAATGGCCTCAAAGTGCTTGAAATCTCCCCTTGCAAATTCCACAGACAAGTGTCTCAAATCTGCACTGTCTAAAGGAAGGTTCAACCCTGTGAGTTGAATACACACACACAGAAAAAAATTCACTGAGAATTCTATTGTCTATCATTACACGAAGAAATCCCGTTTACTACGAAGGCCTCAAAGAGGTCCAAATATCCAGCTGCAGACATTACAAACTGAGTGTTTCCAAAGTGCTCTATGAAAAGAAGTGTTAAACACTGTGAGTTCAATGCACACATCCCAAAGCAGTTTCTGAGAATGATTCCGTCTATTTTTTCTACGAAGATATTTCCTTTTCTACCGTTGGCCTCAAAGCGCTTGAAATCTCCACTTGCAAATTCCACAAAAAGAGAGTTTCAAATCTGCTCTGTCTAAAGGAAGGTTCAACTCTGTGAGTTGAATACACACCACAAAAAGAAGTTACTGAGAATTCTTCTGTCTAGCATTATATGAAAAATCCCGTTTCCAACGAAGGCCACAAAGAGGTCCAAATATCCACTTGCAGATTCTGCAAAAAGAGTGTTTCCAAACTGCTCTATGAAAAGAAACGTTAAACTCTGTGAGTTGAACGCAAACATCACAAAGTAGTTTCTGAGAATGACTCCGTCTAGTTTTTATACGAAGATATTTCCTTTCCTACCATTCACTTCAAAGCGCTTGAAGTCTCCCCCTGAAAATTCCACAAAAAGTGTTTCCAATCTGCTCCGCCTAAAGGAAGCTTCAACTCTGTGAGTTGAATACCCACAACCCAAAGAAGTTACTGAGAATTCTTCTGTCTAGCATTATATGAAGAAATCCCGTTTCCAACGAAGGCCTCAAATACATCCAAATATCCAGTTGCTGACTTTACAAACTGAGTGTTTCCAAACTGCTCTATGAAAAGAAAGGTTAAACACTGTGAGTTGAACACACACGTACCAAAGTAGTTTCTGAGAATGATTCTGTCTAGTTTGCATACGAAGATATTTCCTTTCTACCATTGGCGTCAAAGCGCTAGAATTCTCCACTTGCAAATTCCACAAAAAGAGTGTTTCCAATCTGCTCTGTCTAAAGGAAGGTTCAACTCTGTGAGTTGAATACACACACACAAAGAAGCTACTGAGAATTCTTTTGTCAAGAATTATAAGAAGAAATCCCGTTTCCAACGAAGGCCTCAAAGAGTTCCAAATATCCACTTGCACACTGCACAAACTAAGTCTTTCCAAACTGCTCTATGCAAAGAAATGTTCAACTCTGTGAGTTTAATACACACATCACAAAGCAGTTTCTGAGAATGATACTGTCTAGTTTTTATACGAAGATATTTCCTTTTGTACCATTGGCCTCATACTGCTAGAATTTTCCACTTGCAAATTCCACAAAAAGAGTGTTTCCAATCCGCTCTGTCTAAAGGAAGGTTCAACTCTCTGATTTGAATACATACATCCCAAAAGAAGTTACTGAGAATTCTTCTGTCTAGCATTATGTGAAGAAATCCCGTTTCCAACGAAAGCCTCAAAGAGGTCCAAATATCCAGTTGCAGAATTTACAAACTGACTGTTTCCAAACTCATCTATGAAAAGAAAGGTTAAACTCTGTGAGTTGAATGCACATATCACAAAGTAGTTCCTGAGAATGATTCTGTCTAGTTTTCATACGAAGATATTTCCTTTTCCACCAATGGCCTCAAAGTGCTTGAAATCTCCCCTTGCAAATTCCACAGACAAGTGTTTCAAATCTGCACTGTCTAAAGGAAGGTTCAACCCTGTGAGTTGAATACACACACACAGAAAAAAATTCACTGAGAATTCTATTGTCTATCATTACACGAAGAAATCCCGTTTACCACGAAGGCCTCAAAGAGGTCCAAATATCCAGCTGCAGACATTACAAACTGAGTGTTTCCAAAGTGCTCTATGAAAAGAAGTGTTAAACACTGTGAGTTCAATGCACACATCCCAAAGCAGTTTCTGAGAATGATTCCGTCTATTTTTTCTACGAAGATATTTCCTTTTCTGCCGTTGGCCTCAAAGCGCTTGAAATCTCCACTTGCAAATTCCACAAAAAGAGAGTTTCAAATCTGCTCTGTCTAAAGGAAGGTTCAACTCTGTGAGTTGAATACACACCACAAAAAGAAGTTACTGAGAATTCTTCTGTCTAGCATTATATGAAAAATCCCGTTTCCAACGAAGGCCACAAAGAGGTCCAAATATCCACTTGCAGATTCTGCAAAAAGAGTGTTTCCAAACTGCTCTATGAAAAGAAACGTTAAACTCTGTGAGTTGAACGCAAACATCACAAAGTAGTTTCTGAGAATGACTCCGTCTAGTTTTTATACGAAGATATTTCCTTTCCTACCATTCACTTCAAAGCGCTTGAAGTCTCCCCCTGAAAATTCCACAAAAAGTGTTTCCAATCTGCTCCGCCTAAAGGAAGCTTCAACTCTGTGACTTGAATACCCACAACCCAAAGAAAGAAGTTACTGAGAATTCTTCTGTCTAGCATTATATGAAGAAATCCCGTTTCCAACGAAGGCCTCAAATACATCCAAATATCCAGTTGCTGACTTTACAAACTGAGTGTTTCCAAACTGCTCTATGAAAAGAAAGGTTAAACACTGTGAGTTGAACACACACGTACCAAAGTAGTTTCTGAGAATGATTCTGTCTAGTTTGCATACGAAGATATTTCCTTTTCTACCATTGGCCTCAAAGCTCTGAAATCTCCACTTGCGAATTCCACAAAAAGAGAGTTTCAAATCTGCTGTTTCTAAAGGAAAGTTCAACTCTGAGAGTTGAATACACACCAGAAAAAGCAGTTACTGAGAAGTCTTCTGTCTAGCATTATATGAAGAAATCCCATTTCCAACGAAGACTTCAAAGAGGTCCAAATATCCACTTGCAGATTCTGCAAAAAGAGTGTTTCGAAACAACTGTATGAAAAGAAAGGTTAAACACTGTGAGTTGAACGCACACATTGCAAAGCAGTTTCTGAGAATGATTCCGTCTAATTATTATACGAAGGTATTTCCTTTTCTATCATTGGCCTCAAAGCGCTTGATACCTCCACCTGAAAATTCCACAAAAAGAGTGTTTCCAATCTACTCTGTCTAAAGGAACGTTCAACTCTGTGAGTTGAATACACACACACAGAAAGAATTCACTGAGAATTCTTCTGTCTGGCATTACATGAAGAAATCCCGTTTCCAACGAAGGCCTCAAAGAGGTCCAAATATCCACTTGCAGATTCTGCAAAAAGAGTGTTTCAAAACCGCTCCATTAAAAGGAATGTTGAACTCTGTGAGTTGAATGCAAACATCACAACTCAGTTTCTGAGAATGCTTCTGACTAGATTTTATGGTAAGATATTTCCTTTTCTACCGTAGGCTTCAATGCCCTCTAAATACACCCTTGCAAATTCTACAAAGAGACTGTTTCATAACTGCTCTATAGGAAGAAAGGTTGAACTCTGTGAGTTGACTGCAGAGATCACAACGTGGTTTCTGCGAATGATTCTTTGTAGTTTTTACATGAAGATATTTCGTTGTCAACCGTAGGCTTCAAAGCACTCAAAGTATTCACTTGGAACTTTTACAAAAAGAGTGTTAGAAAACTGCTCTTTCCAAAGTAAGGTTCAACTCTGTGAGTTGAATGCACACATAACAATCAAGAAGTTTCTGAGAATTCTTCTGTCCTGGTTTATATGAAAAAATCCCGTTTCCAACGAAGGCCTCAAAGACGTTTAAATATCCACTTGCAGACTTCACAAACAGAGGGTTTCCAAACTGCTCTATGAAAAGAAAGGTTAAACTCTGTGAGTTGAACGCACACATCACAAAGTAGCTTCTGAGAATGATACTGTCTAGTTTTTATACGAAGATATTTCCTTTCTACCATTGGCGTCAAAGCGCTAGAATTCTCCACTTGCAAATTCCACAAAAAGAGTGTTTCCAATCTGCTCTGTCTAAAGGAAGGTTCAACTCTGTGAGTTGAATACACACACACAAAGAAGCTACTGAGAATTCTTTTGTCAAGAATTATAAGAAGAAATCCCGTTTCCAACGAAGGCCTCAAAGAGTTCCAAATATCCACTTGCACACTGCACAAACTAAGTCTTTCCAAACTGCTCTATGCAAAGAAATGTTCAACTCTGTGAGTTTAATACACACATCACAAAGCAGTTTCTGAGAATGATACTGTCTAGTTTTTATACGAAGATATTTCCTTTTGTACCATTGGCCTCATACTGCTAGAATTTTCCACTTGCAAATTCCACAAAAAGAGTGTTTCCAATCCGCTCTGTCTAAAGGAAGGTTCAACTCTCTGATTTGAATACATACATCCCAAAAGAAGTTACTGAGAATTCTTCTGTCTAGCATTATGTGAAGAAATCCCGTTTCCAACGAAAGCCTCAAAGAGGTCCAAATATCCAGTTGCAGAATTTACAAACTGACTGTTTCCAAACTCATCTATGAAAAGAAAGGTTAAACTCTGTGAGTTGAATGCACATATCACAAAGTAGTTCCTGAGAATGATTCTGTCTAGTTTTCATACGAAGATATTTCCTTTTCCACCAATGGCCTCAAAGTGCTTGAAATCTCCCCTTGCAAATTCCACAGACAAGTGTTTCAAATCTGCACTGTCTAAAGGAAGGTTCAACCCTGTGAGTTGAATACACACACACAGAAAAAAATTCACTGAGAATTCTATTGTCTATCATTACACGAAGAAATCCCGTTTACTACGAAGGCCTCAAAGAGGTCCAAATATCCAGCTGCAGACATTACAAACTGAGTGTTTCCAAAGTGCTCTATGAAAAGAAGTGTTAAACACTGTGAGTTCAATGCACACATCCCAAAGCAGTTTCTGAGAATGATTCCGTCTATTTTTTCTACGAAGATATTTCCTTTCCTACCGTTGGCCTCAAAGCGCTTGAAATCTCCACTTGCAAATTCCACAAAAAGAGAGTTTCAAATCTGCTCTGTCTAAAGGAAGGTTCAACTCTGTGAGTTGAATACACACCACAAAAAGAAGTTACTGAGAATTCTTCTGTCTAGCATTATATGAAAAATCCCGTTTCCAACGAAGGCCACAAAGAGGTCCAAATATCCACTTGCAGATTCTGCAAAAAGAGTGTTTCCAAACTGCTCTATGAAAAGAAACGTTAAACTCTGTGAGTTGAACGCAAACATCACAAAGTAGTTTCTGAGAATGACTCCGTCTAGTTTTTATACGAAGATATTTCCTTTCCTACCATTCACTTCAAAGCGCTTGAAGTCTCCCCCTGAAAATTCCACAAAAAGTGTTTCCAATCTGCTCCGCCTAAAGGAAGCTTCAACTCTGTGACTTGAATACCCACAACCCAAAGAAGTTACTGAGAATTCTTCTGTCTAGCATTATATGAAGAAATCCCGTTTCCAACGAAGGCCTCAAATACATCCAAATATCCAGTTGCTGACTTTACAAACTGAGTGTTTCCAAACTGCTCTATGAAAAGAAAGGTTAAACACTGTGAGTTGAACACACACGTACCAAAGTAGTTTCTGAGAATGATTCTGTCTAGTTTGCATACGAAGATATTTCCTTTTCTACCATTGGCCTCAAAGCTCCGAAATCTCCACTTGCAAATTCCACAAAAAGAGAGTTTCAAATCTGCTGTTTCTAAAGGAAAGTTCAACTCTGAGAGTTGAATACACACCAGAAAAAGCAGTTACTGAGAAGTCTTCTGTCTAGCATTATATGAAGAAATCCCATTTCCAACGAAGACTTCAAAGAGGTCCAAATATCCACTTGCAGATTCTGCAAAAAGAGTGTTTCGAAACAACTGTATGAAAAGAAAGGTTAAACACTGTGAGTTGAACGCACACATTGCAAAGCGGTTTCTGAGAATGATTCCGTCTAATTATTATACGAAGGTATTTCCTTTTCTATCATTGGCCTCAAAGCGCTTGATACCTCCACCTGAAAATTCCACAAAAAGAGTGTTTCCAATCTACTCTGTCTAAAGGAACGTTCAACTCTGTGAGTTGAATACACACACACAGAAAGAATTCACTGAGAATTCTTCTGTCTGGCATTACATGAAGAAATCCCGTTTCCAACGAAGGCCTCAAAGAGGTCCAAATATCCACTTGCAGATTCTGCAAAAAGAGTGTTTCAAAACCGCTCCATTAAAAGGAATGTTGAACTCTGTGAGTTGAATGCAAACATCACAACTCAGTTTCTGAGAATGCTTCTGACTAGATTTTATGGTAAGATATTTCCTTTTCTACCGTAGGCTTCAATGCCCTCTAAATACACCCTTGCAAATTCTACAAAGAGACTGTTTCATAACTGCTCTATAGGAAGAAAGGTTGAACGCTGTGAGTTGAATGCAGAGATCACAACGTGGTTTCTGCGAATGATTCTTTGTAGTTTTTACATGAAGATATTTCGTTGTCAACCGTAGGCTTCAAAGCACTCAAAGTATTCACTTGGAACTTTTACAAAACGAGTGTTAGGAAACTGCTCTTTCCAAAGTAAGGTTCAACTCTGTGAGTTGAATGCACACATAACAATCAAGAAGTTTCTGAGAATTCTTCTGTCCTGGTTTATATGAAAAAATCCCGTTTCCAACGAAGGCCTCAAAGACGTTTAAATATCCACTTGCAGACTTCACAAACAGAGGGTTTCCAAACTGCTCTATGAAAAGAAAGGTTAAACTCTGTGAGTTGAACGCACACATCACAAAGTAGCTTCTGAGAATGATTACTGTCTAGTTTTTATACGAAGCATATTTCCTTTCTACCATTGGCGTCAAAGCGCTAGAATTCTCCACTTGCAAATTCCACAAAAAGAGTGTTTCCAATCTGCTCTGTCTAAAGGAAGGTTCAACTCTGTGAGTTGAATACACACACACAAAGAAGCTACTGAGAATTCTTTTGTCAAGAATTATAAGAAGAAATCCCGTTTCCAACGAAGGCCTCAAAGAGTTCCAAATATCCACTTGCACACTGCACAAACTAAGTCTTTCCAAACTGCTCTATGCAAAGAAATGTTCAACTCTGTGAGTTTAATACACACATCACAAAGCAGTTTCTGAGAATGATACTGTCTAGTTTTTGTACGAAGATATTTCCTTTTGTACCATTGGCCTCATACTGCTAGAATTTTCCACTTGCAAATTCCACAAAAAGAGTGTTTCCAATCCGCTCTGTCTAAAGGAAGGTTCAACTCTCTGATTTGAATACATACATCCCAAAAGAATTTACTGAGAATTCTTCTGTCTAGCATTATGTGAAGAAATCCCGTTTCCAACGAAAGCCTCAAAGAGGTCCAAATATCCAGTTGCAGAATTTACAAACTGACTGTTTCCAAACTCATCTATGAAAAGAAAGGTTAAACTCTGTGAGTTGAATGCACATATCACAAAGTAGTTCCTGAGAATGATTCTGTCTAGTTTTTATACGAAGATATTTCCTTTTCCACCAATGGCCTCAAAGTGCTTGAAATCTCCCCTTTCAAATTCCACAGACAAGTGTTTCAAATCTGCACTGTCTAAAGGAAGGTTCAACCCTGTGAGTTGAATACACACACACAGAAAAAAATTCACTGAGAATTCTATTGTCTATCATTACACGAAGAAATCCCGTTTACTACGAAGGCCTCAAAGAGGTCCAAATATCCAGCTGCAGACATTACAAACTGAGTGTTTCCAAAGTGCTCTATGAAAAGAAGTGTTAAACACTGTGAGTTCAATGCACACATCCCAAAGCAGTTTGCTGAGAATGATTTCCGTCTATTTTTTCTACGAAGATATTTCCTTTTCTGCCGTTGGCCTCAAAGCGCTTGAAATCTCCACTTGCAAATTCCACAAAAAGAGAGTTTCAAATCTGCTCTGTCTAAAGGAAGGTTCAACTCTGTGAGTTGAATACACACCACAAAAAGAAGTTACTGAGAATTCTTCTGTCTAGCATTATATGAAAAATCCCGTTTCCAACGAAGGCCACAAAGAGGTCCAAATATCCACTTGCAGATTCTGCAAAAAGAGTGTTTCCAAACTGCTCTATGAAAAGAAACGTTAAACTCTGTGAGTTGAACGCAAACATCACAAAGTAGTTTCTGAGAATGACTCCGTCTAGTTTTTATACGAAGATATTTCCTTTCCTACCATTCACTTCAAAGCGCTTGAAGTCTCCCCCTGAAAATTCCACAAAAAGTGTTTCCAATCTGCTCCGCCTAAAGGAAGCTTCAACTCTGTGACTTGAATACCCACAACCCAAAGAAGTTACTGAGAATTCTTCTGTCTAGCATTATATGAAGAAATCCCGTTTCCAACGAAGGCCTCAAATACATCCAAATATCCAGTTGCTGACTTTACAAACTGAGTGTTTCCAAACTGCTCTATGAAAAGAAAGGTTAAACACTGTGAGTTGAACACACACGTACCAAAGTAGTTTCTGAGAATGATTCTGTCTAGTTTGCATACGAAGATATTTCCTTTTCTACCATTGGCCTCAAAGCTCTGAAATCTCCACTTGCAAATTCCACAAAAAGAGAGTTTCAAATCTGCTGTTTCTAAAGGAAAGTTCAACTCTGAGAGTTGAATACACACCAGAAAAAGCAGTTACTGAGAAGTCTTCTGTCTAGCATTATATGAAGAAATCCCATTTCCAACGAAGACTTCAAAGAGGTCCAAATATCCACTTGCAGATTCTGCAAAAAGAGTGTTTCGAAACAACTGTATGAAAAGAAAGGTTAAACACTGTGAGTTGAACGCACACATTGCAAAGCAGTTTCTGAGAATGATTCCGTGTAATTATTATACGAAGGTATTTCCTTTTCTATCATTGGCCTCAAAGCGCTTGATACCTCCACCTGAAAATTCCACAAAAAGAGTGTTTCCAATCTACTCTGTCTAAAGGAACGTTCAACTCTGTGAGTTGAATACACACACACAGAAAGAATTCACTGAGAATTCTTCTGTCTGGCATTACATGAAGAAATCCCGTTTCCAACGAAGGCCTCAAAGAGGTCCAAATATCCACTTGCAGATTCTGCAAAAAGAGTGTTTCAAAACCGCTCCATTAAAAGGAATGTTGAACTCTGTGAGTTGAATGCAAACATCACAACTCAGTTTCTGAGAATGCTTCTGACTAGATTTTATGGTAAGATATTTCCTTTTCTACCGTAGGCTTCAATGCCCTGTAAATACACCCTTGCAAATTCTACAAAGAGACTGTTTCATAACTGCTCTATAGGAGGAAATGTTCAACTCTGTGAGTTGAATGCAGAGATCACAACGTGGTTTCTGCGAATGATTCTTTGTAGTTTTTACATGAAGATATTTCGTTGTCTACCGTAGGCTTCAAAGCATTCAAAGTATTCACTTGGAACTTTTACAAAAAGAGTGTTAGAAAACTGCTCTTTCCAAAGTAAGGTTCAACTCTGTGAGTTGAATGCACACATAACAAACAAGAAGTTTCTGAGAATTCTTCTGTCCTGGTTTATATGAAGAAATCCCGTTTCCAACGAAGGCCTCAAAGACGTTTAAATATCCACTTGCAGACTTCACAAACAGAGTGTTTCCAAACTGCTCTATGAAAAGAAAGGGTAAACACTGTGAGTTGAACGCACACCTCACAAAGTAGTTTCTGAGAATGATACTGTCTAGTTTTTATACGAAGATATTTCCTTTTGTACCATTGGCCTCATACTGCTAGAATTTTCCACTTGCAAATTCCACAAAAAGAATATTTCCAATCTGCTCTGTCTAAAGGAAGGTTCAACTCTGTGAGTTGAGTACACACACACAAAGAAGCTACTGAGAATTCTTTTGTCAAGAATTATAAGAAGAAATCCCGTTTCCAACCAAGGCCTCAAAGAGTTCCAAATATCCACTTGCACACTGCACAAACTAAGTCTTTCCATACTGCTCTATGCAAAGAAATGTTCAACTCTGTGAGTTTAATACACACATCACAAAGCAGTTTCTGAGAATGATACTGTCTAGTTTTTATACGAAGATATTTCCTTTTGTACCATTGGCCTCATACTGCTAGAATTTTCCACTTGCAAATTCCACAAAAAGAGTGTTTCCAATCCGCTCTGTCTAAAGGAAGGTTCAACTCTCTGATTTGAATACATACATCCCAAAAGAAGTTACTGAGAATTCTTCTGTCTAGCATTATGTGAAGAAATCCCGTTTCCAACGAAAGCCTCAAAGAGGCCCAAATATCCAGTTGCAGCATTTACAAACTGACTGTTTCCAAACTCATCTATGAAAAGAAAGGTTAAACTCTGTGAGTTGAATGCACATATCACAAAGTAGTTCCTGAGAATGATTCTGTCTAGTTTTTATACGAAGATATTTCCTTTTCCACCAATGGCCTCAAAGTGCTTGAAATCTCCCCTTGCAAATTCCACAGACAAGTGTCTCAAATCTGCACTGTCTAAAGGAAGGTTCAACCCTGTGAGTTGAATACACACACACAGAAAAAAATTCACTGAGAATTCTATTGTCTATCATTACACGAAGAAATCCCGTTTACTACGAAGGCCTCAAAGAGGTCCAAATATCCAGCTGCAGACATTACAACCTGAGTGTTTCCAAAGTGCTCTATGAAAAGAAGTGTTAAACACTGCGAGTTCAATGCACACATCCCAAAGCAGTTTCTGAGAATGATTCCGTCTATTTTTTCTACGAAGATATTTCCTTTTCTGCCGTTGGCCTCAAAGCGCTTGAAATCTCCACTTGCAAATTCCACAAAAAGAGAGTTTCAAATCTGCTCTGTCTAAAGGAAGGTTCAACTCTGTGAGTTGAATACACACCACAAAAAGAAGTTACTGAGAATTCTTCTGTCTAGCATTATATGAAAAATCCCGTTTCCAACGAAGGCCACAAAGAGGTCCAAATATCCACTTGCAGATTCTGCAAAAAGAGTGTTTCCAAACTGCTCTATGAAAAGAAACGTTAAACTCTGTGAGTTGAACGCAAACATCACAAAGTAGTTTCTGAGAATGACTCCGTCTAGTTTTTATACGAAGTATATTTCCTTTTCTACCATTCACTTCAAAGCGCTTGAAGTCTCCCCCTGAAAATTCCAGAAAAAGTGTTTCCAATCTGCTCCGCCTAAAGGAAGCTTCAACTCTGTGAGTTGAATACCCACAAACCAAAGAAGTTACTGAGAATTCTTCTGTCTAGCACTATATGAAGAAATCCCGTTTCCAACGAAGGCCTCAAATACATCCAAATATCCAGTTGCTGACTTTACAAACTGGGTGTTTCCAAACTGCTCTATGAAAAGAAAGGTTAAACACTGTGAGTTGAACACACACGTACCAAAGTAGTTTCTGAGAATGATTCTGTCTAGTTTGCATACGAAGATATTTCCTTTTCTACCATTGGCCTCAAAGCTTTGAAATCTCCACTTGCAAATTCCACAAAAAGAGAGTTTCAACTCTGCTGTTTCTAAAGGAAAGTTCAACTCTGAGAGTTGAATACACACCAGAAAAAGCAGTTACTGAGAAGTCTTCTGTCTAGCATTATATGAAGAAATCCCATTTCCAACGAAGACTTCAAAGAGGTCCAAATATCCACTTGCAGATTCTGCAAAAAGAGTGTTTCGAAACAAAACTGTATGAAAAGAAAGGTTAAACACTGTGAATTGAACGCACACATTGCAAAGCAGTTTCTGAGAATGATTCCGTCTAATTATTATACGAAGGTATTTCCTTTTCTATCATTGGCCTCAAAGCGCTTGATACCTCCACCTGAAAATTCCACAAAAAGAGTGTTTCCAATCTACTCTGTCTAAAGGAACGTTCAACTCTGTGAGTTGAATACACACACACAGAAAGAATTCACTGAGAATTCTTCTGTCTGGCATTACATGAAGAAATCCCGTTTCCAACGAAGGCCTCAAAGAGGTCCAAATATCCACTTGCAGATTCTGCAAAAAGAGTGTTTCAAAACCGCTCCATTAAAAGGAATGTTGAACTCTGTGAGTTGAATGCAAACATCACAACTCAGTTTCTGAGAATGCTTCTGACTAGATTTTATGGTAAGATATTTCCTTTTCTACCGTAGGCTTCAATGCCCTCTAAATACACCCTTGCAAATTCTACAAAGAGACTGTTTCATAACTGCTCTATAGGAAGAAAGGTTGAACTCTGTGAGTTGACTGCAGAGATCACAACGTGGTTTCTGCGAATGATTCTTTGTAGTTTTTACATGAAGATATTTCGTTGTCAACCGTAGGCTTCAAAGCACTCAAAGTATTCACTTGGAACTTTTACAAAAAGAGTGTTAGAAAACTGCTCTTTCCAAAGTAAGGTTCAACTCTGTGAGTTGAATGCACACATAACAATCAAGAAGTTTCTGAGAATTCTTCTGTCCTGGTTTATATGAAAAAATCCCGTTTCCAACGAAGGCCTCAAAGACGTTTAAATATCCACTTGCAGACTTCACAAACAGAGGGTTTCCAAACTGCTCTATGAAAAGAAAGGTTAAACTCTGTGAGTTGAACGCACACATCACAAAGTAGCTTCTGAGAATGATACTGTCTAGTTTTTATACGAAGATATTTCCTTTCTACCATTGGCGTCAAAGCGCTAGAATTCTCCACTTGCAAATTCCACAAAAAGAGTGTTTCCAATCTGCTCTGTCTAAAGGAAGGTTCAACTCTGTGAGTTGAATACACACACACAAAGAAGCTACTGAGAATTCTTTTGTCAAGAATTATAAGAAGAAATCCCGTTTCCAACGAAGGCCTCAAAGAGTTCCAAATATCCACTTGCACACTGCACAAACTAAGTCTTTCCAAACTGCTCTATGCAAAGAAATGTTCAACTCTGTGAGTTTAATACACACATCACAAAGCAGTTTCTGAGAATGATACTGTCTAGTTTTTATACGAAGATATTTCCTTTTGTACCATTGGCCTCATACTGCTAGAATTTTCCACTTGCAAATTCCACAAAAAGAGTGTTTCCAATCCGCTCTGTCTAAAGGAAGGTTCAACTCTCTGATTTGAATACATACATCCCAAAAGAAGTTACTGAGAATTCTTCTGTCTAGCATTATGTGAAGAAATCCCGTTTCCAACGAAAGCCTCAAAGAGGTCCAAATATCCAGTTGCAGAATTTACAAACTGACTGTTTCCAAACTCATCTATGAAAAGAAAGGTTAAACTCTGGGAGTTGAATGCACATATCACAAAGTAGTTCCTGAGAATGATTCTGTCTAGTTTTCATACGAAGATATTTCCTTTTCCACCAATGGCCTCAAAGTGCTTGAAATCTCCCCTTGCAAATTCCACAGACAAGTGTTTCAAATCTGCACTGTCTAAAGGAAGGTTCAACCCTGTGAGTTGAATACACACACACAGAAACAAATTCACTGAGAATTCTATTGTCTATCATTACACGAAGAAATCCCGTTTACCACGAAGGCCTCAAAGAGGTCCAAATATCCAGCTGCAGACATTACAAACTGAGTGTTTCCAAAGTGCTCTATGAAAAGAAGTGTTAAACACTGTGAGTTCAATGCACACATCCCAAAGCAGTTTCTGAGAATGATTCCGTCTATTTTTTCTACGAAGATATTTCCTTTTCTGCCGTTGGCCTCAAAGCGCTTGAAATCTCCACTTGCAAATTCCACAAAAAGAGAGTTTCAAATCTGCTCTGTCTAAAGGAAGGTTCAACTCTGTGAGTTGAATACACACCACAAAAAGAAGTTACTGAGAATTCTTCTGTCTAGCATTATATGAAAAATCCCGTTTCCAACGAAGGCCACAAAGAGGTCCAAATATCCACTTGCAGATTCTGCAAAAAGAGTGTTTCCAAACTGCTCTATGAAAAGAAACGTTAAACTCTGTGAGTTGAACGCAAACATCACAAAGTAGTTTCTGAGAATGACTCCGTCTAGTTTTTATACGAAGATATTTCCTTTCCTACCATTCACTTCAAAGCGCTTGAAGTCTCCCCCTGAAAATTCCACAAAAAGTGTTTCCAATCTGCTCCGCCTAAAGGAAGCTTCAACTCTGTGACTTGAATACCCACAACCCAAAGAAGTTACTGAGAATTCTTCTGTCTAGCATTATATGAAGAAATCCCGTTTCCAACGAAGGCCTCAAATACATCCAAATATCCAGTTGCTGACTTTACAAACTGAGTGTTTCCAAACTGCTCTATGAAAAGAAAGGTTAAACACTGTGAGTTGAACACACACGTACCAAAGTAGTTTCTGAGAATGATTCTGTCTAGTTTGCATACGAAGATATTTCCTTTTCTACCATTGGCCTCAAAGCTCTGAAATCTCCACTTGCAAATTCCACAAAAAGAGAGTTTCAAATCTGCTGTTTCTAAAGGAAAGTTCAACTCTGAGAGTTGAATACACACCAGAAAAAGCAGTTACTGAGAAGTCTTCTGTCTAGCATTATATGAAGAAATCCCATTTCCAACGAAGACTTCAAAGAGGTCCAAATATCCACTTGCAGATTCTGCAAAAAGAGTGTTTCGAAACAACTGTATGAAAAGAAAGGTTAAACACTGTGAGTTGAACGCACACATTGCAAAGCAGTTTCTGAGAATGATTCCGTCTAATTATTATACGAAGGTATTTCCTTTTCTATCATTGGCCTCAAAGCGCTTGATACCTCCACCTGAAAATTCCACAAAAAGAGTGTTTCCAATCTACTCTGTCTAAAGGAACGTTCAACTCTGTGAGTTGAATACACACACACAGAAAGAATTCACTGAGAATTCTTCTGTCTGGCATTACATGAAGAAATCCCGTTTCCAACGAAGGCCTCAAAGAGGTCCAAATATCCACTTGCAGATTCTGCAAAAAGAGTGTTTCAAAACCGCTCCATTAAAAGGAATGTTGAACTCTGTGAGTTGAATGCAAACATCACAACTCAGTTGCTGAGAATGCTTCTGACTAGATTTTATGGTAAGATATTTCCTTTTCTACCGTAGGCTTCAATGCCCTCTAAATACACCCTTGCAAATTCTACAAAGAGACTGTTTCATAACTGCTCTATAGGAAGAAAGGTTCAACTCTGTGAGTTGAATGCAGAGATCACAACGTGGTTTCTGCGAATGATACTTTGTAGTTTTTACATGAAGATATTTCGTTGTCAACCGTAGGGTTCAAAGCACTCAAAGTATTCACTTGGAACTTTTACAAAAAGAGTGTTAGAAAACTGCTCTTTCCAAAGTAAGGTTCATACTCTGTGAGTTGAATGCACACATAACAATCAAGAAGTTTCTGAGAATTCTTCTGTCCTGGTTTATATGAAAAAATCCCGTTTCCAACGAAGGCCTCAGAGACGTTTAAATATCCACTTGCAGACTTCACAAACAGAGTGTTTCCAAACTGCTCTATGAAAAGAAAGGTTAAACTCTGTGAGTTGAACGCACACATCACAAAGTTGTTTCTGAGAAAGATACTGTCTAGTTTTTATACGAAGATATTTCCTTTCTACCATTGGCGTCAAAGCGTTAGAATTCTCCACTTGCAAATTCCACAAAAAGAGTGTTTCCAATCTGCTCTGTCTAAAGGAAGGTTCAACTCTGTGAGTTGAATACACACACACAAAGAAGCTACTGAGAATTCTTTTGTCAAGAATTATAAGAAGAAATCCCGTTTCCAACGAAGGCCTCAAAGAGTTCCAAATATCCACTTGCACACTGCAAAAACTAAGTCTTTCCAAACTGCTCTATGCAAAGAAATGTTCAACTCTGTGAGTTTAATTCACACATCACAAAGCAGTTTCTGAGAATGATACTGTCTAGTTTTTATACGAAGATATTTCCTTTTGTACCATTGGCCTCATACTGCCAGAATTTTCCACTTGCAAATTCCACAAAAAGAGTGTTTCCAATCCGCTCTGTCTAAAGGAAGGCTCAACTCTCTGATTTGAATACATACATCCCAAAAGAAGTTACTGAGAATTCTTCTGTCTAGCATTATGTGAAGAAATCCCGTTTCCAACGAAAGCCTCAAAGAGGCCCAAATATCCAGTTGCAGCATTTACAAACTGACTGTTTCCAAACTCATCTATGAAAAGAAAGGTTAAACTCTGTGAGTTGAATGCACATATCACAAAGTAGTTCCTGAGAATGATTCTGTCTAGTTTTTATACGAAGATATTTCCTTTTCCACCAATGGCCTCAAAGTGCTTGAAATCTCCCCTTGCAAATTCCACAGACAAGTGTCTCAAATCTGCACTGTCTAAAGGAAGGTTCAACCCTGTGAGTTGAATACACACACACAGAAAAAAATTCACTGAGAATTCTATTGTCTATCATTACACGAAGAAATCCCGTTTACTACGAAGGCCTCAAAGAGGTCCAAATATCCAGCTGCAGACATTACAAACTGAGTGTTTCCAAAGTGCTCTATGAAAAGAAGTGTTAAACACTGTGAGTTCAATGCACACATCCCAAAGCAGTTTCTGAGAATGATTCCGTCTATTTTTTCTACGAAGATATTTCCTTTTCTACCGTTGGCCTCAAAGCGCTTGAAATCTCCACTTGCAAATTCCACAAAAAGAGAGTTTCAAATCTGCTCTGTCTAAAGGAAGGTTCAACTCTGTGAGTTGAATACACACCACAAAAAGAAGTTACTGAGAATTCTTCTGTCTAGCATTATATGAAAAATCCCGTTTCCAACGAAGGCCACAGAGAGGTCCAAATATCCACTTGCAGATTCTGCAAAAAGAGTGTTTCCAAACTGCTCTATGAAAAGAAACGTTAAACTCTGTGAGTTGAACGCAAACATCACAAAGTAGTTTCTGAGAATGACTCCGTCTAGTTTTTATACGAAGATATTTCCTTTCCTACCATTCACTTCAAAGCGCTTGAAGTCTCCCCCTGAAAATTCCACAAAAAGTGTTTCCAATCTGCTCCGCCTAAAGGAAGCTTCAACTCTGTGAGTTGAATACCCACAACCCAAAGAAGTTACTGAGAATTCTTCTGTCTAGCATTATATGAAGAAATCCCGTTTCCAACGAAGGCCTCAAATACATCCAAATATCCAGTTGCTGACTTTACAAACTGAGTGTTTCCAAACTGCTCTATGAAAAGAAAGGTTAAACACTGTGAGTTGAACACACACGTACCAAAGTAGTTTCTGAGAATGATTCTGTCTAGTTTGCATACGAAGATATTTCCTTTTCTACCATTGGCCTCAAAGCTCTGAAATCTCCACTTGCAAATTCCACAAAAAGAGAGTTTCAAATCTGCTGTTTCTAAAGGAAAGTTCAACTCTGAGAGTTGAATACACACCAGAAAAAGCAGTTACTGAGAAGTCTTCTGTCTAGCATTATATGAAGAAATCCCATTTCCAACGAAGACTTCAAAGAGGTCCAAATATCCACTTGCAGATTCTGCAAAAAGAGTGTTTCGAAACAACTGTATGAAAAGAAAGGTTAAACACTGTGAGTTGAACGCACACATTGCAAAGCAGTTTCTGAGAATGATTCCGTCTAATTATTATACGAAGGTATTTCCTTTTCTATCATTGGCCTCAAAGCGCTTGATACCTCCACCTGAAAATTCCACAAAAAGAGTGTTTCCAATCTACTCTGTCTAAAGGAACGTTCAACTCTGTGAGTTGAATACACACACACAGAAAGAATTCACTGAGAATTCTTCTGTCTGGCATTACATGAAGAAATCCCGTTTCCAACGAAGGCCTCAAAGAGGTCCAAATATCCACTTGCAGATTCTGCAAAAAGAGTGTTTCAAAACCGCTCCATTAAAAGGAATGTTGAACTCTGTGAGTTGAATGCAAACATCACAACTCAGTTTCTGAGAATGCTTCTGACTAGATTTTATGGTAAGATATTTCCTTTTCTACCGTAGGCTTCAATGCCCTCTAAATACACCCTTGCAAATTCTACAAAGAGACTGTTTCATAACTGCTCTATAGGAAGAAAGGTTGAACTCTGTGAGTTGAATGCAGAGATCACAACGTGGTTTCTGCGAATGATTCTTTGTAGTTTTTACATGAAGATATTTCGTTGTCAACCGTAGGCTTCAAAGCACTCAAAGTATTCACTTGGAACTTTTACAAAAAGAGTGTTAGAAAACTGCTCTTTCCAAAGTAAGGTTCAACTCTGTGAGTTGAATGCACACATAACAATCAAGAAGTTTCTGAGAATTCTTCTGTCCTGGTTTATATGAACAAATCCTGTTTCCAACGAAGGCCTCAAAGTACGTTTAAATATCCACTTGCAGACTTCACAAACAGAGTGTTTCCAAACTGCTCTATGAAAAGAAAGGTTAAACTCTGTGAGTTGAACGCGCACATCACAAAGTAGTTTCTGAGAATGATACTGTCTAGTTTTTATACGAAGATATTTCCTTTCTACCATTGGCGTCAAAGCGCTAGAATTCTCCACTTGCAAATTCCACAAAAAGAGTGTTTCCAATCTGCTCTGTCTAAAGGAAGGTTCAACTCTGTGAGTTGAATACACACACACAAAGAAGCTACTGAGAATTCTTTTGTCAAGAATTATAAGAAGAAATCCCGTTTCCAACGAAGGCCTCAAAGAGTTCCAAATATCCACTTGCACACTGCACAAACTAAGTCTTTCCAAACTGCTCTATGCAAAGAAATGTTCAACTCTGTGAGTTTAATACACACATCACAAAGCAGTTTACTGAGAATGATAACTGTCTAGTTTTTATACGAAGATATTTCCTTTTGTACCATTGGCCTCATACTGCTAGAATTTTCCACTTGCAAATTCCACAAAAAGAGTGTTTCCAATCCGCTCTGTCTAAAGGAAGGTTCAACTCTCTGATTTGAATACATACATCCCAAAAGAAGTTACTGAGAATTCTTCTGTCTAGCATTATGTGAAGAAATCCCGTTTCCAACGAAAGCCTCAAAGAGGTCCTAATATCCAGTTGCAGAATTTACAAACTGACTGTTTCCAAACTCATCTATGAAAAGAAAGGTTAAACTCTGGGAGTTGAATGCACATATCACAAAGTAGTTCCTGAGAATGATTCTGTCTAGTTTTCATACGAAGATATTTCCTTTTCCACCAATGGCCTCAAAGTGCTTGAAATCTCCCCTTGCAAATTCCACAGACAAGTGTCTCAAATCTGCACTGTCTAAAGGAAGGTTCAACCCTGTGAGTTGAATACACACACACAGAAAAAAATTCACTGAGAATTCTATTGTCTATCATTACACGAAGAAATCCCGTTTACTACGAAGGCCTCAAAGAGGTCCAAATATCCAGCTGCAGACATTGCAAACTGAGTGTTTCCAAAGTGCTCTATGAAAAGAAGTGTTAAACACTGTGAGTTCAATGCACACATCCCAAAGCAGTTTCTGAGAATGATTCCGTCTATTTTTTCTACGAAGATATTTCCTTTTCTGCCGTTGGCCTCAAAGCGCTTGAAATCTCCACTTGCAAATTCCACAAAAAGAGAGTTTCAAATCTGCTCTGTCTAAAGGAAGGTTCAACTCTGTGAGTTGAATACACACCACAAAAAGAAGTTACTGAGAATTCTTCTGTCTAGCATTATATGAAAAATCCCGTTTCCAACGAAGGCCACAAAGAGGACCAAATATCCACTTGCAGATTCTGCAAAAAGAGTGTTTCCAAACTGCTCTATGAAAAGAAACGTTAAACTCTGTGAGTTGAACGCAAACATCACAAAGTAGTTTCTGAGAATGACTCCGTCTAGTTTTTATACGAAGATATTTCCTTTCCTACCATTCACTTCAAAGCGCTTGAAGTCTCCCCCTGAAAATTCCACAAAAAGTGTTTCCAATCTGCTCCGCCTAAAGGAAGCTTCAACTCTGTGACTTGAATACCCACAACCCAAAGAAGTTACTGAGAATTCTTCTGTCTAGCACTATATGAAGAAATCCCGTTTCCAACGAAGGCCTCAAATACATCCAAATATCCAGTTGCTGACTTTACAAACTGAGTGTTTCCAAACTGCTCTATGAAAAGAAAGGTTAAACACTGTGAGTTGAACACACACGTACCAAAGTAGTTTCTGAGAATGATTCTGTCTAGTTTGCATACGAAGATATTTCCTTTTCTACCATTGGCCTCAAAGCTCTGAAATCTCCACTTGCAAATTCCACAAAAAGAGAGTTTCAAATCTGCTGTTTCTAAAGGAAAGTTCAACTCTGAGAGTTGAATACACACCAGAAAAAGCAGTTACTGAGAAGTCTTCTGTCTAGCATTATATGAAGAAATCCCATTTCCAACGAAGACTTCAAAGAGGTCCAAATATCCACTTGCAGATTCTGCAAAAAGAGTGTTTCGAAACAACTGTATGAAAAGAAAGGTTAAACACTGTGAGTTGAACGCACACATTGCAAAGCGGTTTCTGAGAATGATTCCGTCTAATTATTATACGAAGGTATTTCCTTTTCTATCATTGGCCTCAAAGCGCTTGATACCTCCACCTGAAAATTCCACAAAAAGAGTGTTTCCAATCTACTCTGTCTAAAGGAACGTTCAACTCTGTGAGTTGAATACACACACACAGAAAGAATTCACTGAGAATTCTTCTGTCTGGCATTACATGAAGAAATCCCGTTTCCAACGAAGGCCTCAAAGAGGTCCAAATATCCACTTGCAGATTCTGCAAAAAGAGTGTTTCAAAACCGCTCCATTAAAAGGAATGTTGAACTCTGTGAGTTGAATGCAAACATCACAACTCAGTTTCTGAGAATGCTTCTGACTAGATTTTATGGTAAGATATTTCCTTTTCTACCGTAGGCTTCAATGCCCTCTAAATACACCCTTGCAAATTCTACAAAGAGACTGTTTCATAACTGCTCTATAGGAAGAAAGGTTGAACTCTGTGAGTTGACTGCAGAGATCACAACGTGGTTTCTGCGAATGATTCTTTGTAGTTTTTACATGAAGATATTTCGTTGTCAACCGTAGGCTTCAAAGCACTCAAAGTATTCACTTGGAACTTTTACAAAAAGAGTGTTAGAAAACTGCTCTTTCCAAAGTAAGGTTCAACTCTGTGAGTTGAATGCACCCATAACAATCAAGAAGTTTCTGAGAATTCTTCTGTCCTGGTTTATATGAAAAAATCCCGTTTCCAACGAAGGCCTCAAAGACGTTTAAATATCCACTTGCAGACTTCACAAACAGAGGGTTTCCAAACTGCTCTATGAAAAGAAAGGTTAAACTCTGTGAGCTGAACGCACACATCACAAAGTAGCTTCTGAGAATGATACTGTCTAGTTTTTATACGAAGATATTTCCTTTCTACCATTGGCGTCAAAGCGCTAGAATTCTCCACTTGCAAATTCCACAAAAAGAGTGTTTCCAATCTGCTCTGTCTAAAGGAAGGTTCAACTCTGTGAGTTGAATACACACACACAAAGAAGCTACTGAGAATTCTTTTGTCAAGAATTATAAGAAGAAATCCCGTTTCCAACGAAGGCCTCAAAGAGTTCCAAATATCCACTTGCACACTGCACAAGCTAAGTCTTTCCAAACTGCTCTATGCAAAGAAATGTTCAACTCTGTGAGTTTAATACACACATCACAAAGCAGTTTACTGAGAATGATATACTGTCTAGTTTTTATACGAAGGATATTTCCTTTTGTACCATTGGCCTCATACTGCTAGAATTTTCCACTTGCAAATTCCACAAAAAGAGTTTTTCCAATCCGCTCTGTCTAAAGGAAGGTTCAACTCTCTGATTTGAATACATACATCCCAAAAGAAGTTACTGAGAATTCTTCTGTCTAGCATTATGTGAAGAAATCCCGTTTCCAACGAAAGCCTCAAAGAGGTCCAAATATCCAGTTGCAGCATTTACAAACTGACTGTTTCCAAACTCATCTATGAAAAGAAAGGTTAAACTCTGTGAGTTGAATGCACATATCACAAAGTAGTTCCTGAGAATGATTCTGTCTAGTTTTTATACGAAGATATTTCCTTTTCCACCAATGGCCTCAAAGTGCTTGAAATCTCCCCTTGCAAATTCCACAGACAAGTGTTTCAAATCTGCACTGTCTAAAGGAAGGTTCAACCCTGTGAGTTGAATACACACACACAGAAAAAAATTCACTGAGAATTCTATTGTCTATCATTACACGAAGAAATCCCGTTTACTACGAAGGCCTCAAAGAGGTCCAAATATCCAGCTGCAGACATTACAAACTGAGTGTTTCCAAAGTGCTCTATGAAAAGAAGTGTTAAACACTGTGAGTTCAATGCACACATCCCAAAGCAGTTTCTGAGAATGATTCCGTCTATTTTTTCTACGAAGATATTTCCTTTTCTGCCGTTGGCCTCAAAGCGCTTGAAATCTCCACTTGCAAATTCCACAAAAAGAGAGTTTCAAATCTGCTCTGTCTAAAGGAAGGTTCAACTCTGTGAGTTGAATACACACCACAAAAAGAAGTTACTGAGAATTCTTCTGTCTAGCATTGTATGAAAAATCCCGTTTCCAACGAAGGCCACAAAGAGGTCCAAATATCCACTTGCAGATTCTGCAAAAAGAGTGTTTCCAAACTGCTCTATGAAAAGAAACGTTAAACTCTGTGAGTTGAATGCAAACATCACAAAGTAGTTTCTGAGAATGACTCCGTCTAGTTTTTATACGAAGATATTTCCTTTTCTACCGTTGGCCTCAAAGCGCTTGAAGTCTCCCCCTGAAAATTCCACAAAAAGTGTTTCCAATCTACTCCGCCTAAAGGAAGCTTCAACTCTGTGAGTTGAATACCCACAACCCAAAGAAGTTACTGAGAATTATTCTGTCTAGCATTATATGAAGAAATCCCGTTTCCAACGAAGGCCTCAAATACATCCAAATATCCAGTTGCTGACTTTACAAACTGAGTGTTTCCAAACTGCTCTATGAAAAGAAAGGTTAAACACTGTGAGTTGAACACACACGTACCAAAGTAGTTTCTGAGAATGATTCTGTCTAGTTTGCATAAGAAGATATTTCCTTTTCTACCATTGGCCTCAAAGCTCTGAAATCTCCACTTGCAAATTCCACAAAAAGAGAGTTTCAAATCTGCTGTTTCTAAAGGAAAGTTCAACTCGGAGAGTTGAATACACACCAGAAAAAGCAGTTACTGAGAAGTCTTCTGTCTAGCATTATATGAAGAAATCCCATTTCCAACGAAGACTTCAAAGAGGTCCAAATATCCACTTGCAGATTCTGCAAAAAGAGTGTTTCGAAACAACTGTATGAAAAGAAAGGTTAAACACTGTGAGTTGAACGCACACATTGCAAAGCAGTTTCTGAGAATGATTCCGTCTAATTATTATACGAAGGTATTTCCTTTTCTATCATTGGCCTCAAAGCGCATGATACCTCCACCTGAAAATTCCACAAAAAGAGTGTTTCCAATCTACTCTGTCTAAAGGAACGTTCAACTCCGTGAGTTGAATACACACACACAGAAAGAATTCACTGAGAATTCTTCTGTCTGGCATTACATGAAGAAATCCCGTTTCCAACGAAGGCCTCAAAGAGGTCCAAATATCCACTTGCAGATTCTGCAAAAAGAGTGTTTCAAAACCGCTCCATTAAAAGGAATGTTGAACTCTGTGAGTTGAATGCAAACATCACAACTCAGTTTCTGAGAATGCTTCTGACTAGATTTTATGGTAAGATATTTCCTTTTCTACCGTAGGCTTCAATGCCCTCTAAATACACCCTTGCAAATTCTACAAAGAGACTGTTTCATAACTGCTCTACAGGAAGAAAGGTTCAACTCTGTGAGTTGAATGCAGAGATCACAACGTGGTTTCTGCGAATGATTCTTTGTAGTTTTTACATGAAGAATATTTCGTTGTCTACCGTAGGCTTCAAAGCACTCAAAGTATTCACTTGGAACTTTTACAAAAAGAGTGTTAGAAAACTGCTCTTTCCAAAGTAAGGTTCAACTCTGTGAGTTGAATGCACACATAACAAACAAGAAGTTTCTGAGAATCCTTCTGTCCTGGTTTATATGAAAAAATCCCGTTTCCAACGAAGGCCTCAAAGACGTTTAAATATCCACTTGCAGACTTCACAAACAGAGTGTTTCCAAACTGCTCTATGAAAAGAAAGGTTAAACTCTGTGAGTTGAACGCACACATCACAAAGTAGTTTCTGAGAATGATACTGTCCAGTTTTTATACGAAGATATTTCCTTTCCTACCATTGGCGTCAAAGCGCTAGAATTCTCCACTTGCAAATTCCACAAAAAGAGGGTTTCCAATCTGCTCTGCCTAAAGGAAGGTTCAACTCTGTGAGTTGAATACACACACACAAAGAAGCTACTGAGAATTCTTTTGTCAAGAATTATAAGAAGAAATCCCGTTTCCAACGAAGGCCTCAAAGAGTTCCAAATATCCACTTGCACACTGTACAAACTAAGTCTTTCCAAACTGCTCTATGCAAAGAAATGTTCAACTCTGTGAGTTTAATGCACACATCACAAAGCAGTTTCTGAGAATGATTCCCTCTAGTTTTTATACGAAGATAGCCTTTTCTACCATTGGCCTCAAGGCTCTTGGAATCTCCACCTGAAAATTCCGCAAAAAGCGTGTTTCCAATCCGCTCTGTCTAAAGGAAGGTTCAACTCTCTGAGTTGAATACATACATCCCAAAAGAAGTTACTGAGAATTCTTCTGTCTAGCATTATGTGAAGAAATCCCGTTTCCAACGAAAGCCTCAAAGAGGTCCAAATATCCAGTTGCAGAATTTACAAACTGACTGTTTCCAAACTCATCTATGAAAAGAAAGGTTAAACTCTGTGAGTTGAATGCATATATCACAAAGTAGTTCCTGACAATGACTCTGTCTAGTTTTTATACGAAGATATTCCCTTTTCCACCAATGGCCACAAAGTGCTTGAAATCTCCCCTTGCAAATTCCACAGAAAAGTGTTTCAAATCTGTACTGTCTGAAGGAAGGTTCAACCCTGTGAGTTGAATACACACACACAGAAAAAAATTCACTGAGAATTCTATTGTCTATCATTACCCGAAGAAATCCCGTTTACTACGAAGGCCTCAAAGAGGTCCAAATATCCAGCTGCAGACATTCCAAACTGACTGTTTCCAAAGTGCTCTATGAAAAGAAGTGTTAAACACTGTGAGTTCAATGCACACATCCCAAAGCAGTTTCTGAGAATGATTCCGTCTATTTTTTCTACGAAGATATTTCCTTTTCTACCGTTGGCCCCAAAGCGCTTGAAATCTCCACTTGCAAATTCCACAAAAAGAGAGTTTCAAATCTGCTCTGTCTAAAGGAAGGTTCAACTCTGTGAGTTGAATACACACCACAAAAAGAAGTTACTGAGAATTCTTCTGTCTAGCATTATATGAAAAATCCCGTTTCCAACGAAGGCCACAAAGAGGTCCAAATATCCACTTGCAGATTCTGCAAAAAGAGTGTCTCCAAACTGCTCTATGAAAAGAAACGTTAAACTCTGTGAGTTGAACGCAAACATCACAAAGTAGTTTCTGAGAATGACTCCGTCTAGTTTTTATACGAAGATATTTCCTTTTCTACCGTTGGCCTCAAAGCGCTTGAAGTCTCCCCCTGAAAATTCCACAAAAAGTGTTTCCAATCTGCTCCGCCTAAAGGAAGCTTCAACTCTGTGAGTTGAATACCCACAACACAAAGAAGTTACTGAGAATTCTTCTGTCTAGCATTATATGAAGAAATCCCGTTTCCAACGAAGGCCTCAAATACATCCAAATATCCAGTGGCTGACTTTACAAACTGAGTGTTTCCAAACTGCTCTATGAAAGGAAAGGTTAAACACTGTGAGTTGAACACACACGTACCAAAGTAGTTTCTGAGAATGATTCTGTCTAGTTGGCATACGAAGATATTTCCTTTTCTACCATTGGCCTCAATGCTTTGAAATCTCCACTTGCAAATTCCACAAAAAGAGAGTTTCATATCTGCTGTTTCTAAAGGAAAGTTCAACTCTGAGAGTTGAATACACACCAGAAAAACCAGTTACTGAGAAGTCTTCTGTCTAGCATTATATGAAGAAATCCCATTTCCAACGAAGACTTCAAAGAGGTCCAAATATCCACTTCCAGATTCCGCAAAAAGGGTGTTTCGAAACAACTGTATGAAAAGAAAGGTTAAACACTGTGAGTTGAAGGCACACATTGCAAAGCAGTTTCTGAGAATGATTCCATCTAATTATTATACGAAGGTATTTCCTTTTCTATCATGGGCCTCAAAGCGCTTGATACCTCCACGTGAACATTCCACAAAAAGAGTGTTTCCAATCTACTCTGTCTAAGGGAACGTTCAACTCTGTGAGTTGAGTACACACACACAGAAAGAATTCACTGAGAGTTCTTCTGTCTGGGATTACATGAAGAAATCCCGTTTCCAACGAAGGCCTCAAAGAGGTCCAAATATCCACTTGCAGATTCTGGAAAAAGAGTGTTTCAAAACCGCTCTATGAAAAGGAATGTTGAACTCTGTGAGTTGAATGCAAACATCACAACTCAGTTTCTGAGAATGCTTCTGACTAGATTTTATGGTCAGATATTTCCTTTTCTACCGTAGGCCTCAATGCCCTCTAAATACACCCTTGCAAATTCTACAAAGAGACTGTTTCATAACTGCTCTATAGGAAGAAAGGTTGAACTCTGTGAGTTGAATGCAGAGATCACAACGTGGTTTCGGCGAATGATTCTTTGTAGTTTTTACATGAAGAATATTTCGTTGTCTACCGTAGGCTTCAAAGCACTCAAAGTATTCACTTGGAACTTTTACAAAAAGAGTGTTAGAAAACTGCTCTTTCCAAAGTAAGGTTCAACTCTGTGAGTTGAATGCACACATAACAAACAAGAAGTTTCTGAGAATCCTTCTGTCCTGGTTTATAGGAAGAAATCCCGTTTCCAACGAAGGCCTCAAAGACGTTTAAATATCCACTTGCAGACTTCACAAACAGAGTGTTTCCAAACTGCTCTATGAAAAGAAAGGGTAAACACTGTGAGTTGAACGCACACATCACAAAGTAGTTTCTGAGAATGATACTGTCTAGTTTTTATACGAAGATATTTCCTTTTGTACCATTGGCCTCATACTGCTAGAATTTTCCACTTGCAAATTCCACAAAAAGAGTGTTTCCAATCTGCTCTGTCTAAAGGAAGGTTCAACTCTGTGAGTTGAGTACACACACACAAAGAAGCTACTGAGAATTCTTTTGTCAAGAATTATAAGAAGAAATCCCGTTTCCAACCAAGGCCTCAAAGAGTTCCAAATATCCACTTGCACACTGCACAAACTAAGTCTTTCCATACTGCTCTATGCAAAGAAATGTTCAACTCTGTGAGTTTAATACACACATCACAAAGCAGTTTCTGAGAATGATACTGTCTAGTTTTTATACGAAGATATTTCCTTTTGTACCATTGGCCTCATACTGCTAGAATTTTCCACTTGCAAATTCCACAAAAAGAGTGTTTCCAATCCGCTCTGTCTAAAGGAAGGTTCAACTCTCTGATTTGAATACATACATCCCAAAAGAAGTTACTGAGAATTCTTCTGTCTAGCATTATGTGAAGAAATCCCGTTTCCAACGAAAGCCTCAAAGAGGCCCAAATATCCAGTTGCAGCATTTACAAACTGACTGTTTCCAAACTCATCTATGAAAAGAAAGGTTAAACTCTGTGAGTTGAATGCACATATCACAAAGTAGTTCCTGAGAATGATTCTGTCTAGTTTTTATACGAAGATATTTCCTTTTCCACCAATGGCCTCAAAGTGCTTGAAATCTCCCCTTGCAAATTCCACAGACAAGTGTCTCAAATCTGCACTGTCTAAAGGAAGGTTCAACCCTGTGAGTTGAATACACACACACAGAAAAAAATTCACTGAGAATTCTATTGTCTATCATTACACGAAGAAATCCCGTTTACTACGAAGGCCTCAAAGAGGTCCAAATATCCAGCTGCAGACATTACAAACTGAGTGTTTCCAAAGTGCTCTATGAAAAGAAGTGTTAAACACTGTGAGTTCAATGCACACATCCCAAAGCAGTTTCTGAGAATGATTCCGTCTATTTTTTCTACGAAGATATTTCCTTTTCTACCGTTGGCCTCAAAGCGCTTGAAATCTCCACTTGCAAATTCCACAAAAAGAGAGTTTCAAATCTGCTCTGTCTAAAGGAAGGTTCAACTCTGTGAGTTGAATACACACCACAAAAAGAAGTTACTGAGAATTCTTCTGTCTAGCATTATATGAAAAATCCCGTTTCCAACGAAGGCCACAAAGAGGTCCAAATATCCACTTGCAGATTCTGCAAAAAGAGTGTTTCCAAACTGCTCTATGAAAAGAAACGTTAAACTCTGTGAGTTGAACGCAAACATCACAAAGTAGTTTCTGAGAATGACTCCGTCTAGTTTTTATACGAAGATATTTCCTTTTCTACCATTCACTTCAAAGCGCTTGAAGTCTCCCCCTGAAAATTCCACAAAAAGTGTTTCCAATCTGCTCCGCCTAAAGGAAGCTTCAACTCTGTGAGTTGAATACCCACAACCCAAAGAAGTTACTGAGAATTCTTCTGTCTAGCACTATATGAAGAAATCCCGTTTCCAACGAAGGCCTCAAATACATCCAAATATCCAGTTGCTGACTTTACAAACTGAGTGTTTCCAAACTGCTCTATGAAAAGAAAGGTTAAACACTGTGAGTTGAACACACACGTACCAAAGTAGTTTCTGAGAATGATTCTGTCTAGTTTGCATACGAAGATATTTCCTTTTCTACCATTGGCCTCAAAGCTCTGAAATCTCCACTTGCAAATTCCACAAAAAGAGAGTTTCAAATCTGCTGTTTCTAAAGGAAAGTTCAACTCTGAGAGTTGAATACACACCAGAAAAAGCAGTTACTGAGAAGTCTTCTGTCTAGCATTATATGAAGAAATCCCATTTCCAACGAAGACTTCAAAGAGGTCCAAATATCCACTTGCAGATTCTGCAAAAAGAGTGTTTCGAAACAACTGTATGAAAAGAAAGGTTAAACACTGTGAGTTGAACGCACACATTGCAAAGCAGTTTCTGAGAATGATTCCGTCTAATTATTATACGAAGGTATTTCCTTTTCTATCATTGGCCTCAAAGCGCTTGATACCTCCACCTGAAAATTCCACAAAAAGAGTGTTTCCAATCTACTCTGTCTAAAGGAACGTTCAACTCTGTGAGTTGAATACACACACACAGAAAGAATTCACTGAGAATTCTTCTGTCTGGCATTACATGAAGAAATCCCGTTTCCAACGAAGGCCTCAAAGAGGTCCAAATATCCACTTGCAGATTCTGCAAAAAGAGTGTTTCAAAACCGCTCCATTAAAAGGAATGTTGAACTCTGTGAGTTGAATGCAAACATCACAACTCAGTTGCTGAGAATGCTTCTGACTAGATTTTATGGTAAGATATTTCCTTTTCTACCGTAGGCTTCAATGCCCTCTAAATACACCCTTGCAAATTCTACAAAGAGACTGTTTCATAACTGCTCTATAGGAAGAAAGGTTCAACTCTGTGAGTTGAATGCAGAGATCACAACGTGGTTTCTGCGAATGATTCTTTGTAGTTTTTACATGAAGATATTTCGTTGTCAACCGTAGGCTTCAAAGCACTCAAAGTATTCACTTGGAACTTTTACAAAAAGAGTGTTAGAAAACTGCTCTTTCCAAAGTAAGGTTCAACTCTGTGAGTAGAATGCACACATAACAATCAAGAAGTTTCTGAGAATTCTTCTGTCCTGGTTTATATGAAAAAATCCCGTTTCCAACGAAGGCCTCAAAGACGTTTAAATATCCACTTGCAGACTTCACAAACAGAGGGTTTCCAAACTGCTCTATGAAAAGAAAGGTTAAACTCTGTGAGTTTAATACACACATCACAAAGCAGTTTCTGAGAATGATACTGTCTAGTTTTTATACGAAGATATTTCCTTTTGTACCATTGGCCTCATACTGCTAGAATTTTCCACTTGCAAATTCCACAAAAAGAGTGTTTCCAATCCGCTCTGTCTAAAGGAAGGTTCAACTCTCTGATTTGAATACATACATCCCAAAAGAAGTTACTGAGAATTCTTCTGTCTAGCATTATGTGAAGAAATCCCGTTTCCAACGAAAGCCTCAAAGAGGCCCAAATATCCAGTTGCAGCATTTACAAACTGACTGTTTCCAAACTCATCTATGAAAAGAAAGGTTAAACTCTGGGAGTTGAATGCACATATCACAAAGTAGTTCCTGAGAATGATTCTGTCTAGTTTTTATACGAAGATATTTCCTTTTCCACCAATGGCCTCAAAGTGCTTGAAATCTCCCCTTGCAAATTCCACAGACAAGTGTCTCAAATCTGCACTGTCTAAAGGAAGGTTCAACCCTGTGAGTTGAATACACACACACAGAAAAAAATTCACTGAGAATTCTATTGTCTATCATTACACGAAGAAATCCCGTTTACTACGAAGGCCTCAAAGAGGTCCAAATATCCAGCTGCAGACATTACAACCTGAGTGTTTCCAAAGTGCTCTATGAAAAGAAGTGTTAAACACTGTGAGTTCAATGCACACATCCCAAAGCAGTTTCTGAGAATGATTCCGTCTATTTTTTCTACGAAGATATTTCCTTTTCTGCCGTTGGCCTCAAAGCGCTTGAAATCTCCACTTGCAAATTCCACAAAGAGAGAGTTTCAAATCTGCTCTGTCTAAAGGAAGGTTCAACTCTGTGAGTTGAATACACACCACAAAAAGAAGTTACTGAGAATTCTTCTGTCTAGCATTATATGAAAAATCCCGTTTCCAACGAAGGCCACAAAGAGGTCCAAATATCCACTTGCAGATTCTGCAAAAAGAGTGTTTCCAAACTGCTCTATGAAAAGAAACGTTAAACTCTGTGAGTTGAACGCAAACATCACAAAGTAGTTTCTGAGAATGACTCCGTCTAGTTTTTATACGAAGATATTTCCTTTCCTACCATTCACTTCAAAGCGCTTGAAGTCTCCCCCTGAAAATTCCACAAAAAGTGTTTCCAATCTGCTCCGCCTAAAGGAAGCTTCAACTCTGTGACTTGAATACCCACAACCCAAAGAAGTTACTGAGAATTCTTCTGTCTAGCATTATATGAAGAAATCCCGTTTCCAACGAAGGCCTCAAATACATCCAAATATCCAGTTGCTGACTTTACAAACTGAGTGTTTCCAAACTGCTCTATGAAAAGAAAGGTTAAACACTGTGAGTTGAACACACACGTACCAAAGTAGTTTCTGAGAATGATTCTGTCTAGTTTGCATACGAAGATATTTCCTTTTCTACCATTGGCCTCAAAGCTCTGAAATCTCCACTTGCAAATTCCACAAAAAGAGAGTTTCAAATCTGCTGTTTCTAAAGGAAAGTTCAACTCTGAGAGTTGAATACACACCAGAAAAAGCAGTTACTGAGAAGTCTTCTGTCTAGCATTATATGAAGAAATCCCATTTCCAACGAAGACTTCAAAGAGGTCCAAATATCCACTTGCAGATTCTGCAAAAAGAGTGTTTCGAAACAACTGTATGAAAAGAAAGGTTAAACACTGTGAGTTGAACGCACACATTGCAAAGCAGTTTCTGAGAATGATTCCGTCTAATTATTATACGAAGGTATTTCCTTTTCTATCATTGGCCTCAAAGCGCTTGATACCTCCACCTGAAAATTCCACAAAAAGAGTGTTTCCAATCTACTCTGTCTAAAGGAACGTTCAACTCTGTGAGTTGAATACACACACACAGAAAGAATTCACTGAGAATTCTTCTGTCTGGCATTACATGAAGAAATCCCGTTTCCAACGAAGGCCTCAAAGAGGTCCAAATATCCACTTGCAGATTCTGCAAAAAGAGTGTTTCAAAACCGCTCTATTAAAAGGAATGTTGAACTCTGTGAGTTGAATGCAAACATCACAACTCAGTTTACTGAGAATGCTTCTGACTAGTATTTTATGGTAAGATATTTCCTTTTCTACCGTAGGCTTCAATGCCCTCTAAATACACCCTTGCAAATTCTACAAAGAGACTGTTTCATAACTGCTCTATAGGAAGAAAGGTTCAACTCTGTGAGTTGAATGCAGAGATCACAACGTGGTTTCTGCGAATGATTCTTTGTAGTTTTTACAGGAAGATATTTCGTTGTCAACCGTAGGGTTCAAAGCACTCAAAGTATTCACTTGGAACTTTTACAAAAAGAGTGTTAGAAAACTGCTCTTTCCAAAGTAAGGTTCAACTCTGTGAGTTGAATGCACACATAACAATCAAGAAGTTTCTGAGAATTCTTCTGTCCTGGTTTATATGAAAAAATCCTGTTTCCAACGAAGGCCTCAAAGACGTTTAAATATCCACTTGCAGACTTCACAAACAGAGTGTTTCCAAACTGCTCTATGAAAAGAAAGGTTAAACTCTGTGAGTTGAACGCACACATCACAAAGTAGCTTCTGAGAATGATACTGTCTAGTTTTTATACGAAGATATTTCCTTTCTACCATTGGTGTCAAAGCGCTAGAATTCTCCACTTGCAAATTCCACAAAAAGAGTGTTTCCAATCTGCTCTGTCTAAAGGAAGGTTCAACTCTGTGAGTTGAATACACACACACAAAGAAGCTACTGAGAATTCTTTTGTCAAGAATTATAAGAAGAAATCCCGTTTCCAACGAAGGCCTCAAAGAGTTCCAAATATCCACTTGCACACTGCACAAACTAAGTCTTTCCAAACTGCTCTATGCAAAGAAATGTTCAACTGCTGTGAGTTTAATACACACATCACAAAGCAGTTTCTGAGAATGATACTGTCTAGTTTTTATATGAAGATATTTCCTTTTGTACCATTGGCCTCATACTGCTAGAATTTTCCACTTGCAAATTCCACAAAAAGAGTGTTTCCAATCCGCTCTGTCTAAAGGAAGGTTCAACTCTCTGATTTGAATACATACATCCCAAAAGAAGTTCCTGAGAATTCTTCTGTCTAGCATTATGTGAAGAAATCCCGTTTCCAATGAAAGCCTCAAAGAGGTCCAAATATCCAGTTGCAGAATTTACAAACTGACTGTTTCCAAACTCATCTATGAAAAGAAAGGTTAAACCCTGTGAGTTGAATGCACATATCACAAAGTAGTTCCTGAGAATGATTCTGTCTAGTTTTTATACGAAGATATTTCCTTTTCCACCAATGGCCTCAAAGTGCTGGAAATCTCCCCTTGCAAATTCCACAGAAAAGTGTTTCAAATCTGCACTGTCTGATGGAAGGTTCAACCCTGTGAGTTGAATACACACACACAGAAAAAAATTCACTGAGAATTCTATTGTCTATCATTACACGAAGAAATCCCGTTTACTACGAAGGCCTCAAAGAGGTCGAAATATCCAGCTGCAGACATTACAAACTGAGTGTTTCCAAAGTGCTCTATGAAAAGAAGTGTTAAACACTGTGTGTTCAATGCACACATCCCAAAGCAGTTTCTGAGAATGATTCCGTCTATTTTTTCTACGAAGTATATTTCCTTTTCTGCCGTTGGCCTCAAAGCGCTTGAAATCTCCACTTGCAAATTCCACAAAAAGAGAGGTTCAAATCTGCTCTGTCTAAAGGAAGGTTCAACTCTGTGAGTTGAATACACACCACAAAAAGAAGTTACTGAGAATTCTTCTGTCTAGCATTATATGAAAAATCCCGTTTCTAACGAAGGCCACAAAGAGGTCCAAATATCCACTTGCAGATTCTGCAAAAAGAGTGTTTCCAAACTGCTCTATGAAAAGAAACGTTAAACTCTGTGAGTTGAACGCAAACATCACAAAGTAGTTTCTGAGAATGACTCCGTCTAGTTTTTATACGAAGATATTTCCTTTCCTACCATTCACTTCAAAGCGCTTGAAGTCTCCCCCTGAAAATTCCACAAAAAGTGTTTCCAATCTGCTCCGCCTAAAGGAAGCTTCAACTCTGTGAGTTGAATACCCACAACCCAAAGAAGTTACTGAGAATTCTTCTGTCTAGCATTATATGAAGAAATCCCGTTTCCAACGAAGGCCTCAAATACATCCAAATATCCAGTTGCTGACTTTACAAACTGAGTGTTTCCAAACTGCTCTATGAAAAGAAAGGTTAAACACTTGTGAGTTGAACACACACGTACCAAAGTAGTTTCTGAGAATGATTCTGTCTAGTTTGCATACGAAGATATTTCCTTTTCTACCATTGGCCTCAAAGCTCTGAAATCTCCACTTGCAAATTCCACAAAAAGAGAGTTTCAAATCTGCTGTTTCTAAAGGAAAGTTCAACTCTGAGAGTTGAATACACACCAGAAAAAGCAGTTACTGAGAAGTCTTCTGTCTAGCATTATATGAAGAAATCCCATTTCCAACGAAGACTTCAAAGAGGTCCAAATATCCACTTGCAGATTCTGCAAAAAGAGTGTTTCGAAACAACTGTATGAAAAGAAAGGTTAAACACTGTGAGTTGAACGCACACATTGCAAAGCAGTTTCTGAGAATGATTCCGTCTAATTATTATACGAAGGTATTTCCTTTTCTATCATTGGCCTCAAAGCGCTTGATACCTCCACATGAAAATTCCACAAAAAGAGTGTTTCCAATCTACTCTGTCTAAAGGAACGTTCAACTCTGTGAGTTGAATACACACACACAGAAAGAATTCACTGAGAATTCTTCTGTCTGGCATTACATGAAGAAATCCCGTTTCCAACGAAGGCCTCAAAGAGGTCCAAATATCCACTTGCAGATTCTGCAAAAAGAGTGTTTCAAAACCGCTCCATTAAAAGGAATGTTGAACTCTGTGAGTTGAATGCAAACATCACAACTCAGTTTCTGAGAATGCTTCTGACTAGATTTTATGGTAAGATATTTCCTTTTCTACCGTAGGCTTCAATGCCCTCTAAATACACCCTTGCAAATTCTACAAAGAGACTGTTTCATAACTGCTCTATAGGAAGAAAGGTTCAACTCTGTGAGTTGAATGCAGAGATCACAACGTGGTTTCTGCGAATGATTCTTTGTAGTTTTTACATGAAGATATTTCGTTGTCAACCGTAGGCTTCAAAGCACTCAAAGTATTCACTTGGAACTTTTACAAAAAGAGTGTTAGAAAACTGCTCTTTCCAAAGTAAGGTTCAACTCTGTGAGTTGAATACACACATAACAATCAAGAAGTTTCTGAGAATTCTTCTGTCCTGGTTTATATGAAGAAATCCCGTTTCCAACGAAGGCCTCAAAGACGTTTAAATATCCACTTGCAGACTTCACAAACAGAGGGTTTCCAAACTGCTCTATGAAAAGGAAGGTTAAACTCTGTGAGTTGAACTGCACACATCACAAAGTAGCTTCTGAGAATGATACTGTCTAGTTTTTATACGAAGATATTTCCTTTCTACCATTGGCGTCAAAGCGCTAGAATTCTCCACTTGCAAATTCCACAAAAAGAGTGTTTCCAATCTGCTCTGTCTAAAGGAAGGTTCAACTCTGTGAGTTGAATACACACACACAAAGAAGCTACTGAGAATTCTTTTGTCAAGAATTATAAGAAGAAATCCCGTTTCCAACGAAGGCCTCAAAGAGTTCCAAATATCCACTTGCACACTGCACAAACTAAGTCTTTCCAAACTGCTCTATGCAAAGAAATGTTCAACTCTGTGAGTTTAATACACACATCACAAAGCAGTTTCTGAGAATGATACTGTCTAGTTTTTATACGAAGATATTTCCTTTTGTACCATTGGCCTCATACTGCTAGAATTTTCCACTTGCAAATTCCACAAAAAGAGTGTTTCCAATCCGCTCTGTCTAAAGGAAGGTTCAACTCTCTGATTTGAATACATACATCCCAAAAGAAGTTACTGAGAATTCTTCTGTCTAGCATTATGTGAAGAAATCCCGTTTCCAATGAAAGCCTCAAAGAGGTCCAAATATCTAGTTGCAGAATTTACAAACTGACTGTTTCCAAACTCATCTATGAAAAGAAAGGTTAAACTCTGGGAGTTGAATGCACATATCACAAAGTAGTTCCTGAGAATGATTCTGTCTAGTTTTTATACGAAGATATTTCCTTTTCCACCAATGGCCTCAAAGTGCTTGAAATCTCCCCTTGCAAATTCCACAGACAAGTGTTTCAAATCTGCACTGTCTAAAGGAAGGTTCAACCCTGTGAGTTGAATACACACACACAGAAAAAAATTCACTGAGAATTCTATTGTCTATCATTACACGAAGAAATCCCGTTTACTACGAAGGCCTCAAAGAGGTCCAAATATCCAGCTGCAGACATTACAAACTGAGTGTTTCCAAAGTGCTCTATGAAAAGAAGTGTTAAACACTGTGAGTTCAATGCACACATCCCAAAGCAGTTTCTGAGAATGATTCCGTCTATTTTTTCTACGAAGATATTTCCTTTTCTGCCGTTGGCCTCAAAGCGCTTGAAATCTCCACTTGCAAATTCCACAAAAAGAGAGTTTCAAATCTGCTCTGTCTAAAGGAAGGTTCAACTCTGTGAGTTGAATACACACCACAAAAAGAAGTTACTGAGAATTCTTCTGTCTAGCATTATATGAAAAATCCCGTTTCCAACGAAGGCCACAAAGAGGTCCAAATATCCACTTGCAGATTCTGCAAAAAGAGTGTTTCCAAACTGCTCTATGAAAAGAAACGTTAAACTCTGTGAGTTGAACGCAAACATCACAAAGTAGTTTCTGAGAATGACTCCGTCTAGTTTTTATACGAAGATATTTCCTTTCCTACCATTCACTTCAAAGCGCTTGAAGTCTCCCCCTGAAAATTCCACAAAAAGTGTTTCCAATCTGCTCCGCCTAAAGGAAGCTTCAACTCTGTGACTTGAATACCCACAACCCAAAGAAGTTACTGAGAATTCTTCTGTCTAGCACTATATGAAGAAATCCCGTTTCCAACGAAGGCCTCAAATACATCCAAATATCCAGTTGCTGACTTTACAAACTGAGTGTTTCCAAACTGCTCTATGAAAAGAAAGGTTAAACACTGTGAGTTGAACACACACGTACCAAAGTAGTTTCTGAGAATGATTCTGTCTAGTTTGCATACGAAGATATTTCCTTTTCTACCATTGGCCTCAAAGCTCTGAAATCTCCACTTGCAAATTCCACAAAAAGAGAGTTTCAAATCTGCTGTTTCTAAAGGAAAGTTCAACTCTGAGAGTTGAATACACACCAGAAAAAGCAGTTACTGAGAAGTCTTCTGTCTAGCATTATATGAAGAAATCCCATTTCCAACGAAGACTTCAAAGAGGTCCAAATATCCACTTGCAGATTCTGCAAAAAGAGTGTTTCGAAACAACTGTATGAAAAGAAAGGTTAAACACTGTGAGTTGAACGCACACATTGCAAAGCAGTTTCTGAGAATGATTCCGTCTAATTATTATACGAAGGTATTTCCTTTTCTATCATTGGTCTCAAAGCGCTTGATACCTCCACCTGAAAATTCCACAAAAAGAGTGTTTCCAATCTACTCTGTCTAAAGGAACGTTCAACTCTGTGAGTTGAATACACACACACAGAAAGAATTCACTGAGAATTCTTCTGTCTGGCATTACATGAAGAAATCCCGTTTCCAACGAAGGCCTCAAAGAGGTCCAAATATCCACTTGCAGATTCTGCAAAAAGAGTGTTTCAAAACCGCTCCATTAAAAGGAATGTTGAACTCTGTGAGTTGAATGCAAACATCACAACTCAGTTTCTGAGAATGCTTCTGACTAGATTTTATGGTAAGATATTTCCTTTTCTACCGTAGGCTTCAATGCCCTCTAAATACACCCTTGCAAATTCTACAAAGAGACTGTTTCATAACTGCTCTATAGGAAGAAAGGTTGAACTCTGTGAGTTGAATGCAGAGATCACAACGTGGTTTCTGCGAATGATTCTTTGTAGTTTTTACAGGAAGATATTTCGTTGTCAACCGTGGGCTTCAAAGCACTCAAAGTATTCACTTGGAACTTTTACAAAAAGAGTGTTAGAAAACTGCTCTTTCCAAAGTAAGGTTCAACTCTGTGAGTTGAATGCACACATAACAATCAGGAAGTTTCTGAGAATTCTTCTGTCCTGGTTTATATGAAAAATCCCGTTTCCAACGAAGGCCTCAAAGACGTTTAAATATCCACTTGCAGACTTCACAAACAGAGGGTTTCCAAACTGCTCTATGAAAAGAAAGGTTAAACTCTGTGAGTTGAACGCACACATCACAAAGTAGCTTCTGAGAATGATACTGTCTAGTTTTTATACGAAGATATTTCCTTTCTACCATTGGTGTCAAAGCGCTAGAATTCTCCACTTGCAAATTCCACAAAAAGAGTGTTTCCAATCTGCTCTGTCTAAAGGAAGGTTCAACTCTGTGAGTTGAATACACACACACAAAGAAGCTACTGAGAATTCTTTTGTCAAGAATTATAAGAAGAAATCCCGTTTCCAACGAAGGCCTCAAAGAGTTCCAAATATCCACTTGCACACTGCACAAACTAAGTCTTTCCAAACTGCTCTATGCAAAGAAATGTTCAACTCTGTGAGTTTAATACACACATCACAAAGCAGTTTCTGAGAATGATACTGTCTAGTTTTTATACGAAGATATTTCCTTTTGTACCATTGGCCTCATACTGCTAGAATTTTCCACTTGCAAATTACACAAAAAGAGTGTTTCCAATCCGCTCTGACTAAAGGAAGGTTCAACTCTCTGATTTGAATACATACATCCCAAAAGAAGTTACTGAGAATTCTTCTGTCTAGCATTATGTGAAGAAATCCCGTTTCCAACGAAAGCCTCAAAGAGGTCCAAATATCCAGTTGCAGAATTTACAAACTGACTGTTTCCAAACTCATCTATGAAAAGAAAGGTTAAACTCTGTGAGTTGAATGCACATATCACAAAGTAGTTCCTGAGAATGATTCTGTCTAGTTTTTATACGAAGATATTTCCTTTTCCACCAATGGCCTCAAAGTGCTTGAAATCTCCCCTTGCAAATTCCACAGACAAGTGTTTCAAATCTGCACTGTCTAAAGGAAGGTTCAACCCTGTGAGTTGAATACACACACACAGAAACAAATTCACTGAGAATTCTATTGTCTATCATTACACGAAGAAATCCCGTTTACTACGAAGGCCTCAAAGAGGTCCAAATATCCAGCTGCAGACATTACAAACTGAGGGTTTCCAAAGTGCTCTATGAAAAGAAGTGTTAAACACTGTGAGTTCAATGCACACATCCCAAAGCAGTTTCTGAGAATGATTCCGTCTATTTTTTCTACGAAGATATTTCCTTTTCTGCCGTTGGCCTCAAAGCGCTTGAAATCTCCACTTGCAAATTCCACAAAAAGAGAGTTTCAAATCTGCTCTGTCTAAAGGAAGGTTCAACTCTGTGAGTTGAATACACACCACAAAAAGAAGTTACTGAGAATTCTTCTGTCTAGCATTATATGAAAAATCCCGTTTCCAACGAAGGCCACAAAGAGGTCCAAATATCCACTTGCAGATTCTGCAAAAAGAGTGTTTCCAAACTGCTCTATGAAAAGAAACGTTAAACTCTGTGAGTTGAACGCAAACATCACAAAGTAGTTTCTGAGAATGACTCCGTCTAGTTTTTATACGAAGATATTTCCTTTCCTACCATTCACTTCAAAGCGCTTGAAGTCTCCCCCTGAAAATTCCACAAAAAGTGTTTCCAATCTGCTCCGCCTAAAGGAAGCTTCAACTCTGTGAGTTGAATACCCACAACCCAAAGAAGTTACTGAGAATTCTTCTGTCTAGCATTATATGAAGAAATCCCATTTCCAACGAAGGCCTCAAATACATCCAAATATCCAGTTGCTGACTTTACAAACTGAGTGTTTCCAAACTGCTCTATGAAAAGAAAGGTTAAACACTGTGAGTTGAACACACACGTACCAAAGTAGTTTCTGAGAATGATTCTGTCTAGTTTGCATACGAAGATATTTCCTTTTCTACCATTGGCCTCAAAGCTCTGAAATCTCCACTTGCAAATTCCACAAAAAGAGAGTTTCAAATCTGCTGTTTCTAAAGGAAAGTTCAACTCTGAGAGTTGAATACACACCAGAAAAAGCAGTTACTGAGAAGTCTTCTGTCTAGCATTATATGAAGAAATCCCATTTCCAACGAAGACTTCAAAGAGGTCCAAATATCCACTTGCAGATTCTGCAAAAAGAGTGTTTCGAAACAACTGTATGAAAAGAAAGGTTAAACACTGTGAGTTGAACGCACACATTGCAAAGCAGTTTCTGAGAATGATTCCGTCTAATTATTATACGAAGGTATTTCCTTTTCTATCATTGGCCTCAAAGCGCTTGATACCTCCACCTGAAAATTCCACAAAAAGAGTGTTTCCAATCTACTCTGTCTAAAGGAACGTTCAACTCTGTGAGTTGAATACACACACACAGAAAGAATTCACTGAGAATTCTTCTGTCTGGCATTACATGAAGAAATCCCGTTTCCAACGAAGGCCTCAAAGAGGTCCAAATATCCACTTGCAGATTCTGCAAAAAGAGTGTTTCAAAACCGCTCCATTAAAAGGAATGTTGAACTCTGTGAGTTGAATGCAAACATCACAACTCAGTTTCTGAGAATGCTTCTGACTAGATTTTATGGTAAGATATTTCCTTTTCTACCGTAGGCTTCAATGCCCTCTAAATACACCCTTGCAAATTCTACAAAGAGACTGTTTCATAACTGCTCTATAGGAAGAAAGGTTGAACTCTGTGAGTTGACTGCAGAGATCACAACGTGGTTTCTGCGAATGATTCTTTGTAGTTTTTACATGAAGATATTTCGTTGTCAACCGTAGGCTTCAAAGCACTCAAAGTATTCACTTGGAACTTTTACAAAAAGAGTGTTAGAAAACTGCTCTTTCCAAAGTAAGGTTCAACTCTGTGAGTTGAATGCACACATAACAATCAAGAAGTTTCTGAGAATTCTTCTGTCCTGGTTTATATGAAAAAATCCCGTTTCCAACGAAGGCCTCAAAGACGTTTAAATATCCACTTGCAGACTTCACAAACAGAGGGTTTCCAAACTGCTCTATGAAAAGAAAGGTTAAACTCTGTGAGTTGAACGCACACATCACAAAGTAGCTTCTGAGAATGATACTGTCTAGTTTTTATACGAAGATATTTCCTTTCTACCATTGGCATCAAAGCGCTAGAATTCTCCACTTGCAAATTCCACAAAAAGAGTGTTTCCAATCTGCTCTGTCTAAAGGAAGGTTCAACTCTGTGAGTTGAATACACACACACAAAGAAGCTACTGAGAATTCTTTTTTCAAGAAATTATAAGAAGAAATCCCGTTTCCAACGAAGGCCTCAAAGAGTTCCAAATATCCACTTGCACACTGCAAAAACTAAGTCTTTCCAAACTGCTCTATGCAAAGAAATTGTTCAACTCTGTGAGTTTAATACACACATCACAAAGCAGTTTCTGAGAATGATACTGTCTAGTTTTTATACGAAGATATTTCCTTTTGTACCATTGGCCTCATAATGCTAGAATTTTCCACTTGCAAATTCCACAAAAAGAGGGTTTCCAATCCGCTCTGTCTAAAGGAAGGTTCAACTCTCTGATTTGAATACATACATCCCAAAAGAAGTTACTGAGAATTCTTCTGTCTAGCATTATGTGAAGAAATCCCGTTTCCAACGAAAGCCTCAAAGCAGGTCCAAATATCCAGTTGCAGAATTTACAAACTGACTGTTTCCAAACTCATCTATGAAAAGAAAGGTTAAACTCTGTGAGTTGAATGCACATATCACAAAGTAGTTCCTGAGAATGATTCTGTCTAGTTTTTATACGAAGATATTTCCTTTTCCACCAATGGCCTCAAAGTGCTTGAAATCTCCCCTTGCAAATTCCACAGACAAGTGTTTCAAATCTGCACTGTCTAAAGGAAGGTTCAACCCTGTGAGTTGAATACACACACACAGAAACAAATTCACTGAGAATTCTATTGTCTATCATTACACGAAGAAATCCCGTTTACTACGAAGGCCTCAAAGAGGTCCAAATATCCAGCTGCAGACATTACAAACTGAGTGTTTCCAAAGTGCTCTATGAAAAGAAGTGTTAAACACTGTGAGTTCAATGCACACATCCCAAAGCAGTTTCTGAGAATGATTCCGTCTATTTTTTCTACGAAGATATTTACTTTTCTGCCGTTGGCCTCAAAGCGCTTGAAATCTCCACTTGCAAATTCCACAAAAAGAGAGTTTCAAATCTGCTCTGTCTAAAGGAAGGTTCAACTCTGTGAGTTGAATACACACCACAAAAAGAAGTTACTGAGAATTCTTCTGTCTAGCATTATATGAAAAATCCCGTTTCCAACGAAGGCCACAAAGAGGTCCAAATATCCACTTGCAGATTCTGCAAAAAGAGTGTTTCCAAACTGCTCTATGAAAAGAAACGTTAAACTCTGTGAGTTGAACGCAAACATCACAAAGTAGTTTCTGAGAATGACTCCGTCTAGTTTTTATACGAAGATATTTCCTTTCCTACCATTCACTTCAAAGCGCTTGAAGTCTCCCCCTGAAAATTCCACAAAAAGTGTTTCCAATCTGCTCCGCCTAAAGGAAGCTTCAACTCTGTGAGTTGAATACCCACAACCCAAAGAAGTTACTGAGAATTCTTCTGTCTAGCATTATATGAAGAAATCCCGTTTCCAACGAAGGCCTCAAATACATCCAGATATCCAGTTGCTGACTTTACAAACTGAGTGTTTCCAAACTGCTCTATGAAAGGAAAGGTTGAACACTGTGAGTTGAACACACACGTACCAAAGTAGTTTCTGAGAATGATTCTGTCTAGTTTGCATACGAAGATATTTCCTTTTCTACCATTGGCCTCAAAGCTCTGAAATCTCCACTTGCAAATTCCACAAAAAGAGAGTTTCAAATCTGCTGTTTCTAAAGGAAAGTTCAACTCTGAGAGTTGAATACACACCAGAAAAAGCAGTTACTGAGAAGTCTTCTGTCTAGCATTATATGAAGAAATCCCATTTCCAACGAAGACTTCAAAGAGGTCCAAATATCCACTTGCAGATTCTGCAAAAAGAGTGTTTCGAAACAACTGTATGAAAAGAAAGGTTAAACACTGTGAGTTGAACGCACACATTGCAAAGCAGTTTCTGAGAATGATTCCGTCTAATTATTATACGAAGGTATTTCCTTTTCTATCATTGGCCTCAAAGCGCTTGATACCTCCACCTGAAAATTCCACAAAAAGAGTGTTTCCAATCTACTCTGTCTAAAGGAACGTTCAACTCTGTGAGTTGAATACACACACACAGAAAGAATTCACTGAGAATTCTTCTGTCTGGCATTACATGAAGAAATCCCGTTTCCAACGAAGGCCTCAAAGAGGTCCAAATATCCACTTGCAGATTCTGCAAAAAGAGTGTTTCAAAACCGCTCCATTAAAAGGAATGTTGAACTCTGTGAGTTGAATGCAAACATCACAACTCAGTTGCTGAGAATGCTTCTGACTAGATTTTATGGTAAGATATTTCCTTTTCTACCGTAGGCTTCAATGCCCTCTAAATACACCCTTGCAAATTCTACAAAGAGACTGTTTCATAACTGCTCTATAGGAAGAAAGGTTCAACTCTGTGAGTTGAATGCAGAGATCACAACGTGGTTTCTGCGAATGATTCTTTGTTGTTTTTACATGAAGATATTTCGTTGTCAACCGTAGGCTTCAAAGCACTCAAAGTATTCACTTGGAACTTTTACAAAAAGAATGTTAGAAAACTGCTCTTTCCAAAGTAAGGTTCAACTCTGTGAGTTGAATGCACACATAACAATCAAGAAGTTTCTGAGAATTCTTCTGTCCTGGTTTATATGAAAAAATCCCGTTTCCAACGAAGGCCTCAAAGACGTTTAAATATCCACTTGCAGACTTCACAAACAGAGGGTTTCCAAACTGCTCTATGAAAAGAAAGGTTAAACTCTGTGAGTTTAATACACACATCACAAAGCAGTTTCTGAGAATGATACTGTCTAGTTTTTATACGAAGATATTTCCTTTTGTACCATTGGCCTCATACTGCTAGAATTTTCCACTTGCAAATTCCACAAAAAGAGTGTTTCCAATCCGCTCTGTCTAAAGGAAGGTTCAACTCTCTGATTTGAATACATACATCCCAAAAGAAGTTACTGAGAATTCTTCTGTCTAGCATTATGTGAAGAAATCCCGTTTCCAACGAAAGCCTCAAAGAGGTCCAAATATCCAGTTGCAGAATTTACAAACTGACTGTTTCCAAACTCATCTATGAAAAGAAAGGTTAAACTCTGTGAGTTGAATGCACATATCACAAAGTAGTTCCTGAGAATGATTCTGTCTAGTTTTCATACGAAGATATTTCCTTTTCCACCAATGGCCTCAAAGTGCTTGAAATCTCCCCTTGCAAATTCCACAGACAAGTGTTTCAAATCTGCACTGTCTAAAGGAAGGTTCAACCCTGTGAGTTGAATACACACACACAGAAAAAAATTCACTGAGAATTCTATTGTCTATCATTACACGAAGAAATCCCGTTTACTACGAAGGCCTCAAAGAGGTCCAAATATCCAGCTGCAGACATTTCAAACTGAGTGTTTCCAAAGTGCTCTATGAAAAGAAGTGTTAAACACTGTGAGTTCAATGCACACATCCCAAAGCAGTTTCTGAGAATGATTCCGTCTATTTTTTCTACGAAGATATTTCCTTTTCTGCCGTTGGCCTCAAAGCGCTTGAAATCTCCACTTGCAAATTCCACAAAAAGAGAGTTTCAAATCTGCTCTGTCTAAAGGAAGGTTCAACTCTGTGAGTTGAATACACACCACAAAAAGAAGTTACTGAGAATTCTTCTGTCTAGCATTATATGAAAAATCCCGTTTCCAACGAAGGCCACAAAGAGGTCCAAATATCCACTTGCAGATTCTGCAAAAAGAGTGTTTCCAAACTGCTCTATGAAAAGAAACGTTAAACTCTGTGAGTTGAACGCAAACATCACAAAGTAGTTTCTGAGAATGACTCCGTCTAGTTTTTATACGAAGATATTTCCTTTTCTACTGTTGGCCTCAAAGCGCTTGAAGTCTCCCCCTGAAAATTCCACAAAAAGTGTTTCCAATCTGCTCCGCCTAAAGGAAGCTTCAACTCTGTGAGTTGAATACCCACAGCCCAAAGAAGTTACTGAGAATTCTTCTGTCTAGCATTATATGAAGAAATCCCGTTTCCAACGAAGGCCTCAAATACATCCAAATATCCAGTTGCTGACTTTACAAACTGAGTGTTTCCAAACTGCTCTATGAAAAGAAAGGTTAAACACTGTGAGTTGAACACACACGTACCAAAGTAGTTTCTGAGAATGATTCTGTCTAGTTTGCATACGAAGATATTTCCTTTTCTACCATTGGCCTCAAAGCTCTGAAATCTCCACTTGCAAATTCCACAAAAAGAGAGTTTCAAATCTGCTGTTTCTAAAGGAAAGTTCAACTCTGAGAGTTGAATACACACCAGAAAAAGCAGTTACTGAGAAGTCTTCTGTCTAGCATTATATGAAGAAATCCCATTTCCAACGAAGACTTCAAAGAGGTCCAAATATCCACTTGCAGATTCTGCAAAAAGAGTGTTTCGAAACAACTGTATGAAAAGAAAGGTTAAACACTGTGAGTTGAACGCACACATTGCAAAGCGGTTTCTGAGAATGATTCCGTCTAATTATTATACGAAGGTATTTCCTTTTCTATCATTGGCCTCAAAGCGCTTGATACCTCCACCTGAAAATTCCACAAAAAGAGTGTTTCCAATCTACTCTGTCTAAAGGAACGTTCAACTCTGTGAGTTGAATACACACACACAGAAAGAATTCACTGAGAATTCTTCTGTCTGGCATTACATGAAGAAATCCCGTTTCCAACGAAGGCCTCAAAGAGGTCCAAATATCCACTTGCAGATTCTGCAAAAAGAGGGTTTCAAAACCGCTCCATTAAAAGGAATGTTGAACTCTGTGAGTTGAATGCAAACATCACAACTCAGTTTCTGAGAATGCTTCTGACTAGATTTTATGGTAAGATATTTCCTTTTCTACCGTAGGCTTCAATGCCCTCTAAATACACCCTTGCAAATTCTACAAAGAGACTGCTTCATAACTGCTCTATAGGAGGAAAGGTTCAACTCTGTGAGTTGAATGCAGAGATCACAACGTGGTTTCTGCGAATGATTCTTTGTAGTTTTTACATGAAGATATTTCGTTGTCTACCGTAGGCTTCAAAGCACTCAAAGTATTCACTTGGAACTTTTACAAAAAGAGTGTTAGAAAACTGCTCTTTCCAAAGTAAGGTTCAACTCTGTGAGTTGAATGCACACATAACAAACAAGAAGTTTCTGAGAATTCTTCTGTCCTGGTTTATAGGAAAAAATCCCTTTTCCAACGAAGGCCTCAAAGACGTTTAAATATCCACTTGCAGACTTCACAAACAGAGTGTTTCCAAACTGCTCTATGAAAAGAAAGGTTAAACTCTGTGAGTTGAACGCACACATCACAAAGTAGTTTCTGAGAATGATACTGTCTAGTTTTTATACGAAGATATTTCCTTTTGTACCATTGGCCTCATACTGCTAGAATTTTCCACTTGCAAATTCCACAAAAAGAGTGTTTCCAATCTGCTCTGTCTAAAGGAAGGTTCAACTCTGTGAGTTGAGTACACACACACAAAGAAGCTACTGAGAATTCTTTTGTCAAGAATTATAAGAAGAAATACCGTTTCCAACCAAGGCCTCAAAGAGTTCCAAATATCCACTTGCACACTGCACAAACTAAGTCTTTCCATATTGCTCTATGCAAAGAAATGTTCAAATCTGTGAGTTTAATACACACATCACAAAGCAGTTTCTGAGAATGATACTGTCTAGTTTTTATACGAAGATATTTCCTTTTGTACCATTGGCCTCATACTGCTAGAATTTTCCACTTGCAAATTCCACAAAAAGAGTGTTTCCAATCCGCTCTGTCTAAAGGAAGGTTCAACTCTCTGATTTGAATACATACATCCCAAAAGAAGTTACTGAGAATTCTTCTGTCTAGCATTATGTGAAGAAATCCCGTTTCCAACGAAAGCCTCAAAGAGGTCCAAATATCCAGTTGCAGAATTTACAAACTGACTGTTTCCAAACTCATCTATGAAAAGAAAGGTTAAACTACTGGGAGTTGAATGCACATATCACAAAGTAGTTCCTGAGAATGATTCTGTCTAGTTTTCATACGAAGATATTTCCTTTTCCACCAATGGCCTCAAAGTGCTTGAAATCTCCCCTTGCAAATTCCACAGACAAGTGTTTCAAATCTGCACTGTCTAAAGGAAGGTTCAACCCTGTGAGTTGAATACACACACACAGAAAAAAATTCACTGAGAATTCTATTGTCTATCATTACACGAAGAAATCCCGTTTACTACGAAGGCCTCAAAGAGGTCCAAATATCCAGCTGCAGACATTACAAACTGAGTGTTTCCAAAGTGCTCTATGAAAAGAAGTGTTAAACACTGTGAGTTCAATGCACACATCCCAAAGCAGTTTCTGAGAATGATTCCGTCTATTTTTTCTACGAAGATATTTCCTTTTCTGCCGTTGGCCTCAAAGCGCTTGAAATCTCCACTTGCAAATTCCACAAAAAGAGAGTTTCAAATCTGCTCTGTCTAAAGGAAGGTTCAACTCTGTGAGTTGAATACACACCACAAAAAGAAGTTACTGAGAATTCTTCTGTCTAGCATTATATGAAAAATCCCGTTTCCAACGAAGGCCACAAAGAGGTCCAAATATCCACTTGCAGATTCTGCAAAAAGAGTGTTTCCAAACTGCTCTATGAAAAGAAACGTTAAACTCTGTGAGTTGAACGCAAACATCACAAAGTAGTTTCTGAGAATGACTCCGTCTAGTTTTTATACGAAGATATTTCCTTTCCTACCATTCACTTCAAAGCGCTTGAAGTCTCCCCCTGAAAATTCCACAAAAAGTGTTTCCAATCTGCTCCGCCTAAAGGAAGCTTCAACTCTGTGACTTGAATACCCACAACCCAAAGAAGTTACTGAGAATTCTTCTGTCTAGCATTATATGAAGAAATCCCGTTTCCAACGAAGGCCTCAAATACATCCAAATATCCAGTTGCTGACTTTACAAACTGAGTGTTTCCAAACTGCTCTATGAAAAGAAAGGTTAAACACTGTGAGTTGAACACACACGTACCAAAGTAGTTTCTGAGAATGATTCTGTCTAGTTTGCATACGAAGATATTTCCTTTTCTACCATTGGCCTCAAAGCTCTGAAATCTCCACTTGCAAATTCCACAAAAAGAGAGTTTCAAATCTGCTGTTTCTAAAGGAAAGTTCAACTCTGAGAGTTGAATACACACCAGAAAAAGCAGTTACTGAGAAGTCTTCTGTCTAGCATTATATGAAGAAATCCCATTTCCAACGAAGACTTCAAAGAGGTCCAAATATCCACTTGCAGATTCTGCAAAAAGAGTGTTTCGAAACAACTGTATGAAAAGAAAGGTTAAACACTGTGAGTTGAACGCACACATTGCAAAGCGGTTTCTGAGAATGATTCCGTCTAATTATTATACGAAGGTATTTCCTTTTCTATCATTGGCCTCAAAGCGCTTGATACCTCCACCTGAAAATTCCACAAAAAGAGTGTTTCCAATCTACTCTGTCTAAAGGAACGTTCAACTCTGTGAGTTGAATACACACACACAGAAAGAATTCACTGAGAATTCTTCTGTCTGGCATTACATGAAGAAATCCCGTTTCCAACGAAGGCCTCAAAGAGGTCCAAATATCCACTTGCAGATTCTGCAAAAAGAGTGTTTCAAAACCGCTCCATTAAAAGGAATGTTGAACTCTGTGAGTTGAATGCAAACATCACAACTCAGTTGCTGAGAATGCTTCTGACTAGATTTTATGGTAAGATATTTCCTTTTCTACCGTAGGCTTCAATGCCCTCTAAATACACCCTTGCAAATTCTACAAAGAGACTGTTTCATAACTGCTCTATAGGAAGAAAGGTTGAACTCTGTGAGTTGACTGCAGAGATCACAACGTGGTTTCTGCGAATGATTCTTTGTAGTTTTTACATGAAGATATTTCGTTGTCTACCGTAGGCTTCAAAGTACTCAAAGTATTCACTTGGAACTTTTACAAAAAGAGTGTTAGAAAACTGCTCTTTCCAAAGTAAGGTTCAACTCTGTGAGTTGAATGCACACATAACAAACAAGAAGTTTCTGAGAATTCTTCTGTCCTGGTTTATATGAAAAAATCCCGTTTCCAACGAAGGCCTCAAAGACGTTTAAATATCCACTTGCAGACTTCACAAACAGAGTGTTTCCAAACTGCTCTAAGAAAAGAAAGGTTAAACTCTGTGAGTTGAACGCACACATCACAAAGTAGTTTCTGAGAATGATACTGTCCAGTTTTTACACGGAGATATTTCCTTTCCTACCATTGGCGTCAAAGCGCTAGAATTCTCCACTTGCAAATTCCACAAAAAGTGGGTTTCCAATCTGCTCTGCCTAAAGGCAGGTTCAACTCTGTGAGTTGAATACACACACACAAGGAAGCTACTGAGAATTCTTTTGTCAAGAATTATAAGAAGAAATCCCGTTTCCAAC